>NC_000002.12:107792648-108095678 GCF_000001405.40 Homo sapiens
TGACACATGCTACGGCATCGGTGAACTCCAAGGTCATTATGCTAAGTGAAATAAACCAGTCACAAAAAGACAAATACTGTGTAATTCCACTTCTATAGGGTACCTAGAGGAGTTAAATTTATAGAAACAGAAAATAGAATGGAGGTGGCCAGACACTGAGGGGAGAAAATAGAGTTGTTTAATGGATATGGAGTTTCAGTTTTTCAAGATGAACATACTCTGGGGATTGGTCACACAACAATGTGAATAAACTTGAAACTACTGAACTATACACTTAGAATAATTAGCATGGGCCAGGCGCGGTGGCTCATGCCTGTAATCCCAGCATTTTGGGAGGCTGAGGCAGGTGGATCACCTGAGGTCAGGAGTTTGAGACTAGCCTGGTCAACAAGGAGAAACCCCATCTCTGTTAAAAATACAAAAATTAGCCGGGCATGGTGGCACCCGCCTGTAGTCCCAGCTACTCAAGAGGCTGAGGCAGGAGAATCGGATGAACCCGGGAGGCGGAGGTTGCAGTGAGCCAAGATCGGGACATTGCACTCCAGCCTGGGTGAGAAGAGCGAAACTCTGTCTCAAAAAAAAAAAAGAAAAAAAGAAAGAAAGAACGAAAAAAGAAATATTTAGCATGGTAAATTTTATGTTATATGTTTTATTTTTATCACAATTAAAAATGAAATTAAACTGCTTGGGGAAAAGACAACATATTTCAAATTCTCAAATTATAACCAAGCTTTAAACCTTAAGAAACTAGATTGTACTTAATGGTAAATTTTGTGTTGCATGTTTCCACCATAATATTAAAATAAACCAAATGTAAATTCTAAAACTAAAATGTATAATTTGAAAAACTGAAAAGGCAATAGCTCACTGGATGGGCTCAATAGTAGAGCAGAGACGAGAGAGAACAGAGTCAGTAAACTTGAGGAGAGATCAATAGAATTTACTCAGTCTGAACAACAGAGAGAAATACAGTGAAAATCATGAACCTATGACAATAGCAGGAGAGCTAACTTCCATACCATTGGAGATCTAGGAGAAGAAATAAAGCAAGACACAACAGAGAGTGAAAAACAGTTCTTAAAAAATTACATAGAAAGGCACAGGCTTTAGAATAGCCAGAACAATCTTAAAAGTAAGAGTAAAATGAAAGGAATCACTCTCCTCAATACTAATGTCTATTATGTAGTTATCATAAACAAAACAATGTGGTATTAGTGGACACGTAGACACATAAATCAATGGAACAGAGTAGAAAGCTAAGAAGTACACCCACAAAAATATGCCCAGCTCTTTTTTTTGACAAAAGTACTAAAACAGTCCCAAGCGTAAGGAGCTAGAATAATTGGACATCCATAAGCAGGAAAAAATAATGAAACTCAACCAAAACTTTATACAAATAAACTTTATACAAATAAACTTTACATCTTATAAAAATAAAAATTTTCATATATATGAAAATCCTTGGGAGCTAGGGCAAGACAAAGAGTTGATAAACTTGGCACTAAAAGCACAGTCCTTAATAGAAAATATTAATAAATTGAACCTTATCAAAAGTTAAAACTTTGCTCTGCAAAGACTGTGGGGAAGATGAAAAGACAAGCTACAGATGTAGGGGAAATATTTATAGACCACATATTTGAGAAAGACTTGTATGGAGATTATCTAACAAACACACAAACTCAGCAACAATAAACAAACAATATGATTAGAAAATGGGCAAAAGACATGGGTACGCATTTCACCAAAGAAGATATGCAGAGGGTACATAAGTACAAGAAAAAATGTTCAACATCACTGGCCACTAAGGAAATAAAATGACATATCACTACACACTGCTATCAGAATGGCTAAAATAAAAAATAATAATAAAACAGTGAAAACACCAAAGTCCGGTGAGAATGTGGAAAAGCTGAATCATTTACACAATCACTGGTGGGATTACAAAATGGTAGAGCCACTCTGAAAAATGTTTATCAGTTTCTTATAAAACTAAACATCCAATTACCACATGTCCAAGAAATTACAATTTTGGGCAGATATCCTAGAGAAATGAAAATTTATATTTACACAAAATCTTTCTATGCATGTTCATTACAGCTTTAGTTTTAACAGCAAAAGAAGGTAAACAACTCAGATGTTCTTCAATAGGTAAAAGGTTAAAAAACCTATGGGACATCCATACCATGAAATGCTACTCAGCAATAACAGGAAACACACTATTCATCTCCAGAAAATTATACTAAGTAGAAAAAGCCAATCCTCAAAGGCCACCTATGTATCATTTTATTTTTATAACAAGTTTGAAATGACAACATTATGGACATAGGAAACAGAATCACGTTGCCAATGGTGGGATAGTGGGATGAGGAGGGAGCGGGTTTAGCTATAAAAGAATAACATCAGAGGAGATTGGGCATGTTCAGGGTGGTATGTCCCGTAATCCCAGCACTCTGGGAGGCCAAAGCGGGTGGATCATCTGAGATCAGGAGCTCGAGACTAGCCTGGCCAATATGGTTTAACTCTGTCTCTACTAAAAATAGAAAAATCATCCGGGCGTGGTGTCATGCACCTGTAATCTCCGCAGTAATCCCAGCTACTCGGGAGGCTGAGGCAGGAGAATCACTTGAACCTGGGAGGTTGCAGTGAGTCAAGATTATGGGGGAAAAAAAGAATAACATGAGTGATCCTTGCCATGATAGAATGTTCTGGTTGTGATGTTTTACTATAATTGTGCAAGATATTTGCATAAGAAATAAAGGGGGCAGAGGTTCTCTTATTTCTTCCAACTTTATGTGAATCAGTAATCTCAAAGGAAAGTTTTAAATAAAAAAGGAAAGCTTACATTAATGGGTCCCACATTTTTAAAATTATGGTAAAAGATATGTAACCTACAAAATGGGAGAAAATAAGTAAGTGTTGAAAGCATATGAACAGACACTTCTCAAAAGAAGACATTTATGCAGCCAAAAAACACATGAAAAAATGCTCACCATCACTGGCCATCAGAGAAATGCAAATCAAAACCACAATGAGATACCATCTCACACCAGTTAGAATGGCAATCATTAAAAAGTCAGGAAACAACAGGTGCTGGAGAGGATGTGGAGAAATAGGAACACTTTTACACTGTTGGTGGGACTGTAAACTAGTTCAACCGTTGTGGAAGTCAGTGTGGCGATTCCTCAGGGATCTAGAACTGGAAATACCATTTGACCCAGCCATCCCATTACTGGGTATATACCCAAAGGACTGTAAATCATGCTGCTATAAAGACACATGCACATGTATGTTTATTGCGGCATTATTCACAATAGCAAAGACTTGGAACCAACCCAAATGTCCATCAATGATATACTGGATTAAGAAAATGTGGCACATATACACCATGGAATACTATGCAGCCATAAAAAATGATGAGTTCATGTCCTTTGTAGGGACATGGATGAAATTGGAAACCATCATTCTCAGTAAACTATCGCAAGAACAAAAAACCAAACACCGCATATTCTCACTCATAGGTGGGAATTGAACAATGAGATCACATGGACACAGGAAGGGGAATATCACACTCTGGGGACTGTTGTGGGGTGGGGGGAGGGGGGAGGGATAGCATCGGGAGATATACCTAATGCTAGATGACGAGTTAGTGGGTGCAGTGCACCAGCATGGCACATGTATACATATGTAACTAACCTGCACAATATGCACATGTACCCTAAAACTTAAAGTATAATTAAAAAAATAAAAATAAAAAAATAAAAAGTAAAAGCACAACTATATGCAGAAAAAATAAAATAAAATAAAATAAAATGTATCATTTTCCCATTTTTAAGTGCATGACTCAGTGGCATTAAGTACATTCACGTTGCTGTGTGACAATCACACCCTCCATCTCCAGAACTCTTTCATCATCCCAAACTAAAACTGTCCTCATTAAACAACACTCTCAATTTCCCCCACCTCCCAGCCCCTGGAACCAACACTTCACTTTCTATTTCTATGAATCTGACTACTCTAGGCATCTCATGTAAGTGGAATATACAATATTTGTCCTTTTGTGACGGGCTTACTCCACTTAGCACAATGTCCACAAGGTCCATCCATGTTGTAGCATGTGTCAGCATTTCCTTCCTTTTTTACTTTGGAATATTATTCTATTGTATGTTTATCCATAATAGGTCCTATGTGTTTGAGTGTTTAAGTCTTCATCCCAAAAAACAGCTTTAAAAACTGATTCATAAACAGTGCAATTTACCCTGGTAGGAAGAGATGAAATACTGTCAGACACCAGAGAGGGGCAATAACTCACTGGCTTTAGTTTATTTGCTTTCTGGTAGATCCCCAGAAACTGCCTGAAAAGCATGAAAGCCAGTGCCTAACATGCCAGCAGGTGCTTGGAAGCCTGAAAGAAATAGGCAGTAAGTAGAAAACCCAGGAGCCATGAGAGTCAAATAAAACAGGGGCTCAGGGTTCCAAACGGAAGCTCAAGTTTAGCAGCCAAATAAAAGTATCAGATATCTGGCAGTGACATAAATACTGCAAACTTAGTCTTATGGCCGGGCGCGGTGGCTCACACCTGTAATTCCAGCACTTTGGGAGGCCGAGGTGGGCAGATCACGAGGTCAGGAGTTCAAGACCAGCCTGGCCAACATGGTGAAACCCTGTCTCTACTAAAAATACAAAAATTAGCTGGGCATGATGGCACGTTCCTATAATCCCCAGCTACTCAGGAGGTTGAGGCAGGAGAATTGCTTGAACCAGGATCTGGGAAGCAGTGGTTGCAATGAGCCAAGATCGCGCCACTGCACTCCAGCCTGGGCTACAGAGTGAGACTCCGTCTCAAAAAAAGTAAAAAATAAAAATAAATAAATAAATAAATAAAACACCAGCAAGAAAAATTAAAATGATGCATAAAATATAGAACTAAATACAAAAATTCCATATTAATTCTAGCTCTTCACAAGCAGAAGGGAAGATTGCAGAAAAATGGTCTGTGATATAAAGATTAACATGATGTTCAGGAAGAGAAACTTCAATACCTGCTGATGACTTTTTATGTAGCAACCAGGGGTACTGTGAAGCTTCCTCAGGCCTGGAGTAAGCATTGTTTAATAAGCAAAAGTCGGCCAAGCCCAGTGGTTCCACCTGTAATCCCAGCACTTTGGGAGGCTGAGGCAGGTGGATCACTTGAGGTCAGGAGTTTCAGACCAGCCTGGCCAACATGGGGAAACACCATTTCTATTGAAAATACAAAAATTAGCTGGGCATGGTGGTGCTTGCCTGTAATCTCAGCTACTTGGGAGGCTGAGGCATGAGAATCACTTGAACCCAGGAGACGGTGAGCTGAGATTGCACCACTGCACTCCAGCCTGAGCAACAGAACAGACTCTGTCTCAGAAAAAACTACAAAACTAAAAGTGGCTTCCTGTGGCTGACTCTTCACACATTAGACCTCATTTGATCCTTTTTTAAAACACAATTATGTCAATTTCCTTCCCATTTTAAAAATGGGACATTCAGACATAGAAAATTGAATAACTTGTTAAGAGTTGTTATCTGACATTTTCTTAGCGTTAAAATGTAACCATGATTAGGAGATCCAAGAATATAAAATCCTAGTTTAGCCCACAATTCCACCTCATGGTGAGTTCCTGAGGGAAATGTATGTGTCCAAAAAGGATAACAGGCAGGAAGCAAAGGCATCAGAGGGCCCTGGCCCTGTCCCTCAGTGCAGGGGATCCTCCAGCCCATGAGGGAGGCAGGACATCAGGGCCACTCCTCACAAGCCTTAAACAGCACCCACACAACTGGGCCCTACCCTGAATATAGGAATCTAATAAATGTCCTGAGCAGGCAGAAGTCGAATTACAGGAGAGTTCAGGGATGTGTACAAATAAGGAAAAAAAAATGGCTTGGCCTCCTTCCAGTGAGGAAAATAATCTGGGTCAGCTTTGGCCTTGACCTCCTGGGTGGCAGAAGACAAAGGATGAGCATGGACAATGTGGTGGAATCCTCAACAAATGGGGACTGTACCCATGGTTAACTGAAGCCCAAACAGTGTCCTAGCATCATTGCAAGCATCAGGCTTCCCAGGTGATGAGGCTAGTGAGAGAGATGGGGAGGATGAAGGAAGCTGGTAGGCAGTGTTCCCTCCCTGGACCTTGAAGACATGGATGCATGATGAAGACATCATAGGCGCTGGCGGGCTGGCCTCAGCTGGGGGACAGCAAAGCCCACACACCAAGCATCTCTGTCAGTTTCAGTCTTTTTGAGTTAACTCCTTCAGGCCCTGGACAGTGGCCAGGAGCAAGATCTCAGGAGTTACAGATGGAAACCCTCCTTGGCTTTATGCGAGACAGAGAGGGCGTAATGTATCTCCTTGGCCCAGGAGCCTACTTTCTATGGATCATTAAAGGGATCTATTTGGGCTAAGGGCAAGTCTCACCCTTCATACACCTGACCTGCTCAGCCTGCAGGTGGGCTTGTGAGATGGACCAAGATCTGACCATGCATAGGGAATGGGAGTGGGCTGCCAGGGAAGGAGGCAGCACAGAGGCCTTCTCCCTCCTGGAGTAAAACAGTCTAAACCCTAGTAACGTCATCCATGGCTCAGGGGGAGGGCATGGCCCCTAGGTCCAGAACACTTGCAACATGTTATGGCTTTCATGGAAAGGTAGTAGAGTGAGCTGTGATTCTTAATGCACCTCTACTGTGAATAGTGTTTGGTGGTCATGAATTTTAAGAAGCAATCCATAGGGCTTCATTGAAGAAAAGATGCTCTGATGATATTTTCCATCTAAAACCCCAATGCCCCAGACCTGAAAGTAGCTATACATGAGTGGCTCTTCACACATTTTATCTTCTTACTTTTTATAAAAACCCAGTGAAAATAGCATTATCTCATCTTTAAAATGAGGAAATCAGGATTACAGTGTGAGGCTGACGTTAGTTGGCCCACTCAGAAAGGCAGGCTGGACCATTTGCTCCCAGCTGGCAGACCAGAAGCAGAGCTCACACTCCCTTCTCCTCGGTGGAAGGAGTTTGTGATCAGTTGCTACGGGAGAAGGAAAGAAAAGATGCTGCCATGGCTTTGCTTGTCTAGAACCCTGAGGTTCCCAAGGGAAGTATTTATGCACCATTTCACTTTATCCTCACAAGAGGATAGCCTCACCTGTAAGATAACTGAGTATATGTTGTTTCTAGTTTAACAGCTAATTACATTGGGGCATAGGGAACTTCAGTAACTTCCTGAAGGCTGGTTTCCTGTGGAGCATGTAGAAGTAGAATCTCCAGCTGGGCATGACCACCATGGTAGCACCTCAAGCTGCAGGGGCAGAAGGAGGCACAGGCTATGAAAACTCATCACCATTAAAGAGAGCACAGGGCCACTGAGTTAACAAAGCAACATTCTAAGAACAAAGCTAGATAAGTGGGAAAGGACTTTGTTAAATCTGCTAGAGTAGTTTGTCATGCAGACCGCCAAGTGCCTTCATTCAGCAGGTTGAGATCAGCCAGCTTGAGGACCACTGGCACCCACCCTCATTGCAACTTTCCCCAAAGGCAAAGACCGAGACTTCTTTTCTGTACTCACAGAATTGATATTACTGATTACTATTTAAGAGTTTGATGTTCAATAAATATTGAACAATATCAATAATTATAAACCTAATTCACACAGGTGTAGAAGTATGAATACTAGCACAAGAATATTTGTTGTTATTGAAACTTGGTATCTTGTCTGAGTAATGGTAAGATGTGCTGAAGGCTGCATAAAATTCAAAGTTAAGAAGTATAACTGGGTTTATTAGCCAGGCTTGGTGGCAGGTGCCTATAGTCCCAGCTACTCAGAAGGCTGAGGCAGGAGAATGACGTGAACCTGGGAGGCGGAGGTTGCAGTGAGCCAAGATCATGCCACTGCTACCACTGCACTCCAGCCTGGGCAACAGAGCGAGACTCCATCTCAAAAAAAAAAAAAAAAGTATGACTGGGTTTAAAGAGTTACGCAACATCTTAAAAAAATAGCAACACTCTCCCAAACAGTTTCCAATGACATCTATACAAACAAAGAATAAGAAAAAAATTTTCTCACCTTATCCTCTGTGTTCTTTCATAATACACTTTTATTTTGAGCTTAGCTAATGCAAATCAGAAATTCACTGTTGAAAATCCCACAACGAATACCCTTTATAAAATACCACATTGACTTAGGTAGAATCCTCTTGGCCCCATCTCCTCTCATCAGACTGAGGCTATTAAAAGTTGTTCAGACTGACCTCTTACAAAGACAGCAATTTCTAGGGAAGAAACTCCCTGTGACAATTCATGTCTTTGCACATTTCTGGGAGATGTCATTTTCTCAGGCAAGAAAAAGGTATTCTGTCATCTAACATGAGCTTCCTATCTGAGAAGTGATTTAACAGCCTTTCTTTCAAATCTACTAATAGCGGCTGCTCCCCATGCACATTTTATTATAAATACTTGAATTACAGACAGATAGTGAAAGGACATGATTTTCTTGCTTCTTTTTACCAGAATGATTAGTACAGTAAAAGGTCTGGAATTAAGTGGACGTCTACAGGGTTACTGCAGGTTAATTTCTACCCCTCTGAAAATTGTTTGAATTTGCTTTGATTTCAGCACTTCCTTTAGAGAGAATTTCCTGGATGTAAGCATCTGCGGACATAGCATGGTCTACATATTTGCAAGTGTCATAATTTTGTCTGCTTGTGAACTGTGCCTATCACTTATACCTGCCCCCACTTTGACTCTCACCTGCACTGAAGTTAATGGTTAATGATAAACACAGTTCAATTCCTTAATTGTGTTAATTTTTAATTATATATGTATAACAAACAACTCTAACCTACACAAATGAAATCTGCATTCTGAAAGTGGAAATATTTGTGTAACAAAGGATAATGAATGAGTAAGCAAAGTGTGAGCTTGCTGGCCTTGGCCCGTGGTTATTATCACCCCAGCTAGGATTCCCAGTAACCCATCAAACTGCAAGCTGGTGTTGATCAAAGGGATGAATCAGACAGCTGTCTCCATCTTCACCTGGCTCCCGCTGCTGCCAGCCCCACAGCTGCCTTCTTTGTCAATTCTTTCTGTGAGAGAGGCAGGTACCAAACACAGTGGTATCATTGGCCTTGTCAGAGTAGTAAGAATGTGATATGATAGTTTCTGCCTGGAGACAGGAAAACCAAGAGGGTAAAGATCAGATCTTAGGATCAGTCTGTTTATATAGAAACAGATTAAATAATTTAGCTAAAGACACCGCTATTACTAAATCTCAGAGGAATCCCAAAAAGCAAGCTCTCTTCCTCTTTACAATTTTATCCTCAATTATGCCTAGGCTTGGATAGTATCTGATTCATTTCTCATAATGTTATTTATTTTTATTTCTTGTTATTTTAAAATATACTTGTTTTATATTTGACGTTCATATTATTTTTATTATCGAAAGCCCCTGGGGTGACCTGTTGTTTGTTGTTTGTGTTCATTCTTGCTCATTGTGGCCTGTATCCTCATCTGTTTCATAATTTTGGATTGTGAGCACATGTTCAGTAGGGTTGTAAAATGGGAATATATACCACCTGGCTCCAAATACATTGTGCATTTGCTTGTGTAAACATCTCAGTGGGGTTTTCAGCCTTTTATGTTACTTTTACATTTGGAGGGTTTGGGATCATTAAAACAATGTAAATTCAAACTTTTAATCCATCTCTATGGAAGACTTGTGAATCCAAATTTTCTGGGAGGTTATTGATTTTTTTTTCCCCCACCAAGCTTACCATGATAGGTAAGCTTCCACATTCTCTCCCTTTATCAATGCACAGTTTCTTTTTATTTAAGGCTTCCTTTGAGGGTTATCCCTTCCCTCACTTCTGGTTCTAATCTTTCATCTTGATTGGGTACATGATTTACCTTTTTATGTTCCTTAAATGTGTGCATCTTGGCTTGGAAGAATTCCCAGAGCAGCTGTTGTTTGGTGCCCACTGACCACTGTTGTTTGTAATTTTCTCTTTGCTTTTGGCCCTTGGGAATTTCCCTTACTTTCTTACAAGCTTAAGTCTGGATTTAAAAGTGTATTTGTTACATTTTACCTGACATTTCTAGGTGTCAGTAGCAAAAAGGTTTCAGATCACCTAATGGGCCAACTTGCTGTATACAGTAGCCCTACCATCTCTGACCTCACTACCCTCACCCACCCCATCAACACACACACACACACACACACACACACACACACACACACACACTACCCCTACTGCCTCATTTTTACTCAGTGATTTCTGATGGTAAAGTATCCCAGACATAATTCTCATTTATTCAATGACCGACCAGACAGTTCCTTTTTCTGTATCCACTCCCATTTTATAGCTCATTTGTACCTCCCCTGGTGAAGAGCAGGGGAGAGAATTAGATAAGCATTGACAAGTTCCATTTTAACAGGACTAGTAAAAGGTTTCACAGTAGCAAAACTCTAACAGGAGCTTTCTGAGCTCTCTGAAGATCAAGTCATCTGTTTTCCTATTTTTATCTATGAATTATTTAGAACTCACTAAGTTTCAAGTTTAGATAAGCCTCTCAGTGTGTGTGTGTGTGTGTGTCTGTGTCTGTGTCTGTGTGTGTCTATGTACATTTTGTTCACTGCACCTGTCCAAGGGGGAAAAAAATTCTCATTACCAGACCCATGAGAATAGCAGCAGATTATCTTTGCTTTTTTATGCATTGAAGAGAGGGAGAGCAATTTTTATCTCTGGATTGTACAGACATGCCTGGCCTTTAGGAGACTTGTAGAAACAAGGGAATTTCTTTGTACTCTATTTCTAAAGCAACTCGGGGGAAAATGGCAGGCAGGGCACATGTCATGTGCTTGCACTGAGAACAGATCATTAAAAGATGAATATTACCCTCAAGAGTGGTGATCTGGGATCCTGATGGGCCTGCTCTGCACAGATATACTCAGAGGGTTATCGAGGTTTGTGCTGCGGAAGGACAGACAAAAGTCAACTTGTCTCAGCCACAAGAGCTGAAACTGTTTTGGTATGTAATTTGGTTCACAAAAGGCAGCCTGTGTCATCTCCAGAATGGCTGGTCCAGGCTTGATAGACTCTTTTTTTTTAGACGGAGTCTGGCTCTGTCGCCCAGGCTGGAGTGCAGTGGCGCAATTTCGGCTCACTGCAAACTCCGCCTCCCAGGTTCACTCCATTCTCCTGCCTCAGCCTCCCTAGTAGCTGGGACTATAGGTGCCTGCAACCACACCCAGCTAATTTTTTGTATTTGTAGTAGAGACGGAGTTTCACCGTGTTAACCAGGATGGACTCGATCTCCCGAACTTGTGATCCGCCCGCCTCGGCCTCCCAGAATGCTGGGATTACAGGCGTGAGCCACCGCGCCCGGCCGATAGACTCTTTAATGCGTTTCCATTCCACTTCATCCTAGTTCTCATGTCTCTCTTCTGAATCAATGTCAGAGGAGGAACCAAGGCCCAGAGAAGTTAAGCAGTCTGCCCAAGGTTACAGCGACAATAAATGGTGGGACAGTCATTGTTCAACATAATTCTTTCTAGTCTTGAAACACCTTTTGGAGTCTTATTTTTATGTTTTGTTTTGTTTTCTAAATATCCTAATATCCTGTTATTTCTAAAACAATGGTTCTCAAACTTCAGCATGCATGCTCGAGGTTTTCATTCATGTAAACTGATAAATTGTTTTGTTTTGTTTTGTTTTGTTTTGTTTTGTTTTGTTTTGTTTTTAACCATAGGAAACCCAGGGGATTTTAACGCAGATGTATCCATGGAACAGTCTTTGAGATACACTACATTTGTACATTCAAAAAAATAATAAAATAAAAATAAATTTTCATTGACAAATATCAATAAATTAGCCAGAGCACTTCTTGTCTCAAAATAATCATAAAATGTCACAAACAGTTCAATAAATGGTGATTAAAGTAGAAACAAATATGTTTCTTCATCTTGAACAACCAGCTGAGTTTTGATGAGGAACAAATTTCAGTTTTCTTCTCAGTAGTAGCTTGAAGTCTGTACCCATGAGGGTATTTCTGCCATAATTGCTAATATCTAATGTAATTACACACTTAGTAATATATTATAGAGATCCCCTTGGCTTGGCAAGGAGTCAGGAATGGGATTGTTCTTCTTATGAAAATTCCAAGCAGCTTGATCATAAGTAACCTCTACTTGCTTTTCAGGAAAACAATTATATTTGCTATGTGCCTAAAATGAGTTGAAGTTGTAGATACTAAAACCAGTGATCATTAACGGATCACGCAATATGCACCAGGAAGTATATTATATATGCTATCCCATTTCATCTTCACCACAGGACAAGTAGCAGCATTCCTGTTTCATAGATGATGACAGCGAACACTTGCAAAGCCCTCATGTTCCAGGTCTTACTCAAAATGCTTTGTATGTACTAAGTCTTTTATCCCTCACAAAACCCCCATGGCAGATGGGGAGAGAGGTATTCTATTAACATTACCATCTCCATCTTTGCAGAAGAGAAACCAAGGCCCAGGGCGGTTAAGCAACTTGTTCAAGATTACTGAGATAACGCGTGGTGACACAGGCATTCAAACACAGTCTGCCCAGCTCTGGATTCTCTCTCTAACTGGAGAGCTGCTCAGTTAGAAAGAGGAGTGTTGTTCTCAAACCAAAGAGTGCAGCTGGACCACCTGGAGGGTTTGTGAAAGCACAAAGTGCCAGGCCCAGGCCCACAGTTTCTGATGTAGGAACTCTGGCTGGCACTCAGATTTTGTTTCTAATCAGTTCCCAGGCAGCTTAGATGCCACTCCTCCAGCAATCCCACTTTGGGAACCATTGCCCTAGAGTACAGGGCTTATCAGATTTTTTTGATGTTTTTTGAATTCTAGTCTGAAATGACTGCTGATACTGATAATACCCGGAACTGGGCCAAATGTTTTTTTTTTTTTTTTTTTTGAGACGGAGTCTTGCTCTGTCACCCAGGCTGGAGTGCAGTGGCGCAATCTCTGCTCACTGCAAGCTCCACCTCCCGGGTTCACGCCATTCTCCTGCCTCAGCCTCCTGAGTGACTGGGACTACAAGTGCCTGCCACCACGCCCGGCTAATTTTTTTGTATTTTCAGTAGAGATGGGGTTTCACCATGTTAGCCAGGATGTTCTCAATCTCTTCACCTCATGATCTGCCCGCCTTGGCCTCCCAAAGTGCTGGGATTACAGCCACCGCACCCGGCCAATTGGGCCAAATTTTACAGGTTGAGTTCAGAGTCTCCCACAAGGTCACCCTCACTTCATACACCTGCTGCAAGCTTGGGGGGTCCCAGGGCCACCTTTACTTCCTAACCAACTGGATACAAATGGTTCCTGCACCCCCTCTTGTTTAATTATTCACTAAACTGATACGTGAAAAACAGGAAAGTGCCATACTATGTTTACAGTTTTATTGTGGGAAAAAGGATGCAGATCAAGACACCCAAAAGAAGGGTCACATAAGGTGAGGTCTGGGGGATCCCAAATATGAGGCTTCTGGTGTTCTTTCCCCAAGTGGTCAGGTTGCATCACCCTGCCAGCACATCGATGTGTAACAATACACACAGAGTACTGTGAATACTCACCTGGGAAGCTCACCAAGCCTCAGTGTCCTATGTTTTTATTGGGATTTCAATATGTAGTCATGAATGGTTGAATCACTGGCCACATGAATGAACTCTGTCACTCTACAGCCTCCTTGCCTCCCCTGAGTTTAGGCCAATATCATTTGGCACAAAACCCTGATTCTCTAATTCCATGATTGATCTTTCCAGCAGGGGAAGCCGTATCCTAAGTCATCTTCCATCTTCTTAGCATAAACTCTCAGGTCCCACATGAGTAACAAAGGCACTCTTCCCACTCATGAAATCTCAAGGGTTTAGAGGATACCTAGCTGGAATAGGAGACAAAGGCCAGCCAGATTCTTTATCACAGGGAATTAGCCAATGTGAAATCTTTAGCAGCAAGCTAAGAAGTGTCAGATTAACTTGCCCAAAGTTAAAACATGGTACGGGGCAGGAGCAAGACTTATGTCTTTCAGATGCAAAGGGTTGCACTCCTAATTGTTATATTTCCTACCTTCTATTATAGTTTTATCATAGTGAAAATCCAACATAAGGTATCGGTGAAGTAGATGATGGTGGAGGCCTGAGTGAGGAAGGGGAATGTGCAAATCTTGGGAACTGTAAATTGCTACTGCCAGGACTTACACTGAATATTCTTTTTAAAATATTTCTTTCCTATATGCCTCAAAGAATAAATCTTTCTCACTGTTTTTTTTCCTGTCTTAGCAGCGCTAACAACACTGCAACTAGTTAGCACATTACCTGCCAGTTTAATTGCCATCATTATCACCAGCAGATATCCTTCCCGCCCTATTTCACAGCACTGCTATATATAAGTCAAGTGGAGCCCATCTGTGATCTGTGCAGAGTAGGGCCTCCAAATGTTGGTGTGATAGATTCAAGAGCTCATTATGAGTGGCCTATATCTCAAAGTGGCAGCACGCTTTCTCCAGCACAATTATTTTCCCATTAGGTGCCGTGATAAGACATAAATAAAATATAAGGAAGTAATAAAGGCCAACATTTATTGAGTACTTATTGTGTTCCAGGTACTGTGCTTTATATATCTTACCCCATTCAAAGATGATAACCACCACAGGAAGGAAATACTATTATTGTTGTCATTTTCCTAACAAGCAAACAGAAGCATAGAATGGGTAAGAAAAGGGTCAGATGCACCTCTTGTAAATAGAACCAGTGCTTGAACCCATGTGGCGTTGCTCCAGGACACACACCCTTAACCACTATTCCTATGGTCCCAACTAATATAAAAACCTTAATATTGCCATTACTACATACAAACTAATTATCTTCATATTTCTGTTGTTTGTTTCACTAATTATATTCTCTGTCATGTACAAGAGTTTATAATGGAAAAAATGGAAGATGAAAGCAAAAGAGGAACCTATCTACTGCTATTTCTAACAGCTAATACAGTACAGTCTGTCTGTTACACATTTTTCAAAAGTGAGGATTCAAGATAAATTCCCTGGAATTATTCCTAAACAGTGAGGTCCATGGAGACAACAACTGAGCCATATCTGTCTTGCCTGCTGCTATTTCCAAAGGGGCAAACACAGTGTCTGTGAAGGGAGACTTTGTTTTCATTAAAAACAGCATCACACACTATGATACTCTGCATGGAAACTTTTCCAAAAGTGGCACTTTTCCATGATCTTTGTCTGATAATTCCATATCCCCATGAGCTGTGTGTGCCAAGGATACAGTATGGCCAGCACCAAGGACATTAAATTTGGGGTGTTCACATCAGCTGTACTGACAGACTGTGCCACCAAAAGCTGTGGGCACTATCCCTGCCAGGAGCCTCATGTCTGCATGTTCCATCTGTGGCCTGTGGATGGTCAGATGGTCATTTCAATGGCCAGTGTTTAGTGCCTCTTCCTCAGGAAAGCTTTAATGTTTGCTACGGGAAGTTGTTGGAGCATGTTAGTGCGTCGACAGTGATTATTCTGAAACCTGTCAAGTGACTCCGCTCTGTGACATTTGACAAGGGGACTGACTGTGAAATGTGATGCCATGGAGCTCTTCGGAGAAAACACTGATGTGTTTACGGCTCATAAAGAAGTTGTACGTAGCCACAGAGTAGAGGTTTTTGTTTTGTTTTTGTTTTTGTTTTCAGATGGAGTCTTGCTCTTGTCGCCCAAGCTGGAGTCCAGTGGCACGATCTCAGCTCACTGCAACTTCCACATCTTGGGTTCAAGTGATTCTCCTGCCTCAGCCTCTCGAGTAGCTAGGATTACAGGCATCCACCACCACGCCTGGCTAATTTTTGTATTTTTAGTAGAGATGGGGTTTCACCATGTTGGCCAGGCTGGTCTCGAACTCCTGACCACAGGTGATCCACCCACCTTGGCCTCCCAAAGTGCTGGAATTACAGGCCTGAGCCACCGCGCCCAGCCCAGAGTCGAGTTTTATTAGCGGCCGCTGCTGCCAGGTAATATTTTTAGCACAACCCTTTTGAGTCTGTGTTTACATTATGAGGTCATGATGTCTTTTCTAACAATGCTGCTTTATTAACTGTTTGTTTTAGTCCCCTTCTTAGGAATTCATTCCTAGCCTGTCAGTCCATGCCAATCCTGAGTTTGGCTTTTCAAAATGGAAGGATGTCAAAAAAAAAAAAAAATTGAAACGCTGGTTCTATGATAATTAAAGTAAAGCTCACATTGGAAAGCATTTGCTAATGTAGAAATTCAGCAAATACAGCATGTGTTGTCTTTAAATACAGCAATCTGACAGTCGAATGTTCTATTCACTTGGTATTAACAGTCTCTAAGTGTGTAAGACAACGTAGCAGATTCCATGAGGCAGCAACTTGGCAATAAAATGGAATCGGATTCATTCATGCCCTCTGCCTTTCAGCAGAAAATCTGCATGAGCTTCACTGCTCAGCCCAGGGATCGGTTGCGTGGTCAATGTGCCTGGCAGCTGAACTGTGACCTCATGTACCCCTTGGCACTGTTTAATGCAGCCATACTCCATTAGGCTCGCTGCTGTCGTAACAGTCCAGCACTTACAACTAAAGTCAGACATTGTTGTGTGATGACTGGTGAATACTCACTATCTATTTGGCTAATTATAGGCCACTTGTTTTACACAGTGTCATTTACAACACACCATTCATTTTATTCAAAACACTGGGCTTATTGATCTTCTGATGCATGGTTCCTAGTTTAATATTTAGAGGGGTCCTTATGAAGAAACTGGGTCATAAATTGGTTATGCCAGTCACTGCAAGGAAATTCCCCTGTTAATGTTAAGTAAATTGTACCATTTTCCAGATATAGGTGGCCAAGTGGCCTCACTGATACATTTGAAAAAAGTAAGTCCAGCTCAGGGATGGGTATAATTCATCCTGAGCACCATAA
Organism: Homo sapiens; assembly: GCF_000001405.40. Lineage (NCBI taxonomy): Eukaryota > Metazoa > Chordata > Mammalia > Primates > Hominidae > Homo > Homo sapiens. The sequence continues at coordinate 107,809,639 of NC_000002.12, forward strand.
AACTTCTCAAAAAAGATATGGACAAAGACATGTCTTGTTAGTGTGAATTACTTTAAATACAATTTTCAGGCTTGAAGCTTCTTGAAATAATGAAGCTTCGGTTTCCACATAATACATAAATAATTATGTTTTCACAAGAGTTCCTGGCACCTAGACTCCAATATGAAATGTAAATACTTGACACAGAAACATGGAGTGTGAGAAGGGCATTTTGCTTGCTTTCTGGAGAATACACCAGAGCCTTAGTTCAGGGAGAGATTTCTGTGGGCTCACAGCTGTCCTTGTGTGCAAAGAACCTGACCAAGACAGAATGGTACTGCAGAAACTCTGTTTAACGGTGTTAGCCTAGTTGAGAGCAGCTGCAGGTAGGAGGGCTGTCTCAAGGGCCCTGTGAGTGGCATTTGGAGGGCAGTGCCCAATCTTGTTCATGGGCTCTGGGACGAGGCTGCACCTGGCCCCAGGCAGAATAGCATGCTTTGTGCAGCTCACCAGAGCTCAGGTAAACAGTCCTTAAGCTGCTCATACAAACTGGTATGCAGTAAAGTTTGGGTGGGCCAGGATATCAACTCAGTTGAATCCCTTGCCCACTGCCCCCGAAAACGCTGCCGTCACAGGTAGCCTCCAGATCTTAGGAAATGCTCCCTTGCTCTGTATAGTTTGTCAAAAAAGGAGGAGCCTTCAGAGCTATCCGCAACTTGCACGTGGTCGCTGACTCCAAGTTTTCTGTGCCACAAACAGAACCCTAGTATCTCTACCTGAATTTCTTTCACTATGATTCTTTCTCTGTGAGGATGCCATATTGTTTACTTCTGGAGAGGAGAACTACCTTCTACAGTGGAGCCTAACTTTTACAGGGTCTTCCTAGGGGAGGCTTGAAAAAGTAAACAATTTGTTTAAGTTTTCTACAGGTAATGTCACATCTAGGTTGCTCTGAATGTATCTGGCTCTAAATATAAATCTGAGAGAAAGCCGATAAAAAGCATGAGCCCTGAATGTCTGTTCTAGATAATCAGAAAATGTATTCTTCTCTTCTGTTTACAGGAGCAGAATTAGAACAATTTGATTCTGAATACATTTAAGAATTAAAAAAAAACAAAATAATGTAAGTAATTATTAAATTTTTAAATAATTTGAACACTTCATTTAGTTTTTTTACATAGCTAAGAGGGGACAGCTCCTTATTTAGCAGAGGCCTTATATATTCAGACATACAAAGTAGGCCCAGCAGCTAGCTACCCCTGGGAGTGGAGAAGGGAGAACAGTTTTGCATAAGAAGGTAGGGGGAGCATGAGTGTCGCAAGACACTGTCTGATGGAGAAATAGGAGAAGTGGGGAGGTGATCTAGTAACACAGAGGAAACCAGGGACAGAAGATAAAAAGAAGCCAGGGAGAAATGCTGGGTGAGGATGGGGGAAGAATGTTCCAGAATGACAGTACCAGCTTTCCACTGTAAGTTCTTCCCTCTCTGCACTTTCCAAACTTTTGCAAATAGTTCACTATCACAATAGCCATGTAGTGGCAGAGCTGTGGGAGAATGAAGAAAAGGCACATGTCCCGTCTTACTGGGAACTGCACAGAATAGCCAGTGTATGCCATGGTCACAGGCTGCAAACTGTGCTCCCTCCCGATCTCCTCCCTGCCTCTCTCTCCCTCCCCAGCTGCTCCAGCTCCTGGCCTTCCCTTGGCCTCTCAAACACAATGAGGTTTCCCGGCTCAGGGCTGTTGCCATTTCCTGGGCCCTTTTGTCACCCAGGTCTTCTCTTCTATGTCACCTTTCCCAAGAGCCTCCTTGAGCCACCCGATGTCAAAGAGCCCACACCATGTCATGCCCCCATGTCACCGTCTTCTGTTGTTGTCACCACCTATCATCACCTGGAATTTCTTTATGTATGTGCTGTTTTCTGCATTGCTTACCTCTGTGTCAGCAGAGCTGCATTTCATGCTCATACATACTTGCCAAATGAGTAAATTCAAAAATAAACAGGACAGAGAAAAGCCAAAAGTAGAATAAGAGCATATTGGGATTGCAGGCAGACAATAGCAAGCAATAATCCAGCATGGCTTAATCTGCCATGACTCTCCAAATGTTGTGTATGTGATGCAGATGGTATGGAATCTGTTTGCATATTAAAGGGAAGGCTGACCTCAGATGCACAGAGGGCTTGGGAGCATGGATTACCTGTCTTGTTTTGTCCTGAACAAGGAGCCTTTTTATCCATTTGAGTCTTAGGCAATCTTAGCCAATTCTTAATAAAGAATGGCTGTTTGTTTTTATGTTTTGTGTATGTATAGTTTTCCATAGTCACATTTATTTAGCAACACTTAAGTAGCACATATTTTATATATCAGGCAGTGTTTAGAGAACTTAATAAATATTATCTTATGTATTCTTCATCATAACTCTATCAGGTAATGACTATTATTATCCACTCTTTACAGTTAAGGAAGCAGATTTAAGTCATATCTCAGCCAAGAACACAGAGCTAGTAAGTGGCAGATCCAGGACCATGCCAGGAAGTGTGATTTCAGGATACAAGCTCTTAAGCATTACATTAGGCCGCCTCTCTTACGGAATCATCCAGTGTTCAATCTCAAAATACTTACTGGTGTTAAAACACATCCTTCCTTCCAATGCATCCTCTTTATCTTCACAGCCGCCCCTTTTATGGAATCATCCAGCGTCCAATCTCAAAATACATATTGGTGTTAAAATGCATCCTTCCTTCCAATGCGTCCTCTTTCTCTTCATGGCAAAATGCTGCATATGAACAAAACCCACACTCTCGAATGTTCCATTCTGAAAGGAGGGAGTATTTCAGGCAAGTGGGTGACACTAATAATAAATGGTGAACTTAGTGTCATTTCAGGTTTTTTTTGGTCAGATAAAAGCTATATATCACTTCTTGCTTTAATATATGATGGCAATGTATTGAGTAAGCGTAATATAAGTGAACCTGAAAAGTGATCCTCAGAGCTTTTAGCAACACGATGTCTGGAGAAACTAACACCAAGGAAATCCCCCCAGGATGTCCCTAAAAGTAGCACCTTTAAAGTCTGTAAAGAGAATACATTTATTAAGTTAATGACAGAGCTTTATTTAATGCTACCAAATTCTTTGAAAAGACTATCAAGCCTCTGATCAAACAGTATTTTATCCTGCCATTAAGTTGTTATAATTACTCAGTATTTAGCCAGATGGCAAATAATTCCCAAAATCAGACCAGGTGTTCAAGAAGCAGAGATAATCACAAAGCTGATGACCGTGGTGAAACTAATTTAAAATGCTGTAACAGTGGCACAGTGGTGCTTCACATGAAAACTGACCAAAAAATTTTTTAAAAAAGAAAAAGAAAAAAGGTAAGAAAAAAATTGTTATTTCATGAAAATGAGGCTCAATAAATGCAGGTGTGAGAAAGCAGTGTTTAATTCTACTGTTTTTAATGCCAAGTTTTATGTCAATCAACAACTGTTTTGACAGGTGTAAGACCTATCGGAGGCTTAAAATGTGCACCAGCAATAAACACTGAGAAGGCCTCAAAATTAGCACCCGTGGCAGACGGTGTCAACTCAAATAAGTATCAAACTTGGACACAATCTAACTTTTCTCACATTCCTGCTTCATGCATAGAAGGCTGGATTTCACAGTCACAGCTAAAAGTCACGGAGTTCTTAATTCGTTCTCAAATGAAGTGTTTCCAATAGGCAGTCATCCCAGCTTCCTATGCTCACCCCACTCAGATGACCTAAGCAACATTTAGGTTCAACCAGAAGAAAGCTGGATTTTTGAAGCCTTGTGAGTAATGACAGAGTCCCAGGAAATATCTCTTGAGGCTCTGTTAGGTATAACTATTGGCATATTATGAAGCACTTCCCATTTTTGATAAGGGATTATTTAGACGAGGCGAAGTTAGGATTGAAGTTAGCCTACCTAGGCCCTCATGCATCTCTAATACTGACTGAGGATGCCATGAGTGGGCCAGATTTGTGGATGTGTGACCCGTGCTTAAGATCTACATTAGAAGGACCCTGGGCTTGGTCTAAGTCTCTGTTATTGCCAAGTTGAAATTCTTAATGTTTTGAAGAGAGGACCTCATTTTTCATTTTTCACTGAGCCCTGCAAATTATGTAGAAGGTCCTGACTGGGTGAGCTACTTAATCTCTCTGAGCATTAGTACTCATTCACAAATACTATTTGAAGAAACATATGGTAGGAAAACACCTAGCATGTAGTAAGCACTCAGTAGAAGCTATAATTGTTGATGCTTTGCCACTGTTATTGTTATTGGTGTCATTGTTATTATTAGTATTGTGACTTTTTTTTTTTTTGAGACGGAGTCTTGCTCTGTCGCCCAGGCTGGAGTGCAGTGGCGCAATCTCGGCTCACTGCAAGCTCCGCCTCCCTGGTTCACACCATTCTCCTGCTTAGCCTCCCGAGTAGCTGGGACTACAGGCGCCCACCACCACACCCCAGCTAATTTTTTTTGTATTTTTTTAGTAGAGAAGGGGTTTCACCATGTTAGCCAGCATGGTCTCGATCTCCTGACCTCGTGATCCGCCCGCCTTGGTCTCACAGGTGTGAGCCACCACGCCCGGCCATATTATGACAAGGCAGCTCATTTGCCTCTCAGCAGCAATTGACAGAGTTGTCCATGCTCTCCTCCTTGTAGACTTTATCCACTTGCCTTTCAGGACATTTCATCCTCCTGACTTTCTCCTGCATCTCTGAACTCTCATTTTCAATGTTCTTTTCGGGTTTGCATCTCTCCAACCTCTAAGTATTGTAGGGCTTCAAAACTCATCCTTGCATGTTTGCTATTTTTATTTAAGCCCATCCTACATGGTTTTATCCAGGGTCATATGTTAAATATCACATATGTTGATGTTATAGCCAAATTGTCCCATCCCCAAATAACCATATTTTAAATTCCTAACTCCTAGTCCCTCAGAATGTAATTACATTTAGAGATAGGGTTTTTAAAGAGGTTATTAAGTTAAAATGAGGTCATGAGTGTACCATGAGGTACCTCATGAGGCATAGAGAGACCATGTGAAGACACAAGGAGAAGACAGCTGTCCACAAGCCAAGGAGAGAGGCCTCAGAAGAAATCCATCCTGTTGCCACCCTTATCTCTAACTTGTGACCTGCAGAATCGTGGGAAAATAAATTTCTGTTATTTGAGCCACCCGGTTTCTGGTACTTTGTTTTGGTAAGCTAATAGAGCACAGGGCTCTCAAATATTTATTCTCAACTCAGACATCGGCCCCAAATGCTAGGTGAATTACTGTCCACTTGACACCTTCACTTGGATGTCTGTTAGGCACCTCACACTTAACATGAGTTCCTAAGATTTGCCATTTCAAACTTTCATTCTTTGCTCTCTTAGTTAATGCTACTTGCAGGCTTTCATTTGATCAAACCAAAAACCTTGGAATCATCCTCACCCTTCCCATTTGCTCAGGCTCTGCATTGGATTGGTCCGTAAGTCCCACAGGCTCTGACTTCATACTGTATCAAGAGCCTGACCTTTCAGCACCGCATCCTCACTCTCACTGTGGTATTACTATCCTCAACCACCTCTCACCTGGGTTATTCCCTATGACCTTTCAGTCTATTTCCAACACAACAGCCACAGTGATCATGGGAAAAATTATAAGTCAGATCATGTAACTCCTATTTTCAGATTTCTTCAATGGCTTTCCACCTCATGTAGAGGAAAAACCAAAATCCTGACTATGGGTTGAAGTCTACCCCACTCCCACCATCTTTCTGATCTCAACCAGGCATCATCTTTGCTCCACGTGCTCCAGTCACTCTGCCCCAGGCTGTTATTCCAATGCTCCAAGCATGCTCACATCCGAGAACTTGGCGTGCCATTTTCCCTTTAGTAGTCTCATAGCTTTAATTTAACCAGAACTTCCAAACATTTTCTATGCTCCTTTCCTATTGTTTTTCTCCTTATCACTTACCACTTTTCAACATATTCATTTTACTTATTATGTTACTCATTATCCTTTTTCCCCCACCAAGTCTAAACTCCTTCAAAACAGGCATTTTTCTTTTGTTTTGTTTACATTCATAGCACCCAGTACAGGATCTTGCACATAGTAGGTTATGAAAAGATACTTGCTGAATGAAAATGAACTGTGAATGAAAAATGGAAAAGTTACTGCTTTTTACTTTCTATACACTTATACCAAATTGGAAGTATAGTCAAGTGTGTATATTGACACCGTGCTACATGATACCGTCCATAACACACCATCTGTCTCCAAGGCAGGGAAAGTTTATTTTTAATAAAACTCTGTTGACTTTTAAAATATATCCTTTATTTTCTAGATAAAATTTCAGAAAACTATGTGTAATTGGAGATATTCTGACCTTGGAAGTTATGTATCTTTTATTTATAATGCAGAGACTTGATATATCTCAGCATATCTATATCTATGTACCAAACTACTTCACAATTCAATTGCTGGCATCCATATCAAATAGAGGAGAAGTTGTTCTGCCACAATGTAAGTCATCTTCTTTTTCTAGCCTTCAAAAATAATTTAAAATGCCTGGATTTCCCCCCAGGAGGTTTCTCGCTGGTTAGCTCAGACTTTTTCTCATGGTATCTACCTTCCAAGAGGTCAAAAGAGGAGGCTGTGGCCTCTTGAGTCTGAGCTTGGAAGGCCTGCAACATGTCTCTGCTGCATTCCACTGAGTCAAGCAAATCGCAAGGTCAGCTCAGATCCAAGGGGTAGAGAAACAGACTTCACTTCTAGGTGGGAAGAATGGTGACCTCACAAAAGGTAATAGCAATTTCAACTTCGCTTGATCATGGGAAGAACAGAAACATTACATCATAGGGATCAGAGGAACTTTGTGTCATATTTTGCAATCTACTATTATCTGCCATTTGTCCGAAATTATTCATGTTACTTCTCTTGGCAAACTGTTCCTGTCATCTCAGAGACCCCATAAGGCCAATCGCACTAGTTTAGCAGGTCTAATTGTCATAAACTTAAATCTTCCTATGTCAGTGTTTCACAGTGCATGGTCTCCAATCCAGCAGCATCACCTGAGAACTTTCTAGAAATGCAACTTTTGCACCCCATTAAGAAAACTACCAAATCAGAACCTCTCAGGAGAGGGAAAGGATCTTCTGTTTTAATAAGCCCTTAAGATAATTCTTATGGATGCTAAGGTTTGTGAGCCTCTGTTGTATATTTTACCAAAGAGTCTGAGCTCTTGACTTGATCCTCAGCCAAAGGCCACTGCTTAAAATGGGAATCATTTGCAGAATAGAGAAACTAAGGATGAAAAATAATTTAATTTTCCATTCAGCCACTCTTAGAGATGCTAGATTTTCTCTAAATTTTGTTCGTAAGCTGAAAAGTTTCTGCTTTAGTTTCTCTCTCTTGTGCAGTAACATATAATGAAGCTAGAAGAACTGAATTGACCTTTCCAATATTCTGCCTAGAAATCTCCTTAGCTAGATCCATATATTTTACTGGGGACCTTTTCTGTCATCCAAGTTATCTCAGAACACAATCATTTCACAACTAAATAGCATGGGTTGCCCGGTTTTAGCCTTCAATAACAATTTACTCATGATTTCTTTCGGCTTACACTAACATTTTGCCATTTTGTTTCATTTTTTATTGGTCAAAAATTTCCCCACTGCTTCTCCAGTTTTGGCTACCACTCATTCCCAAAGCAAAGGCCACATGTTTTCAATTTTTGACTCATTAACATTCTACTTCTAGGTACTAAATTTTGTAATCATTATTTTTTGCTATGTATCGACCACCCCAGAACTTAGGATGTTAAAACAACAACCATTTGTTTCCTCCAAAACTCTCAGATTTGCAGTTTGGGCCCAGCTGAGCCACGGTTGGGGTTCTCTTTCATGCACGTGGAGTCAGTTGGCAATCCTGCTGAGGGTTAGTTCTTAGAAGAGAGCCTCGCTTACATGTCTGACAGCTGGCTAGGCTGTGAACAGAAGTGCCTCTGTCCTCTTTTCCATGGCCTTTACAGCAGACTAGGCTTTCTCACATGGCAGCTGGGTTCCAAGAGGGCAAAATGGAAACTTCAAGCCTTCCAACGTCACTTTTTTTGCATTCTTTTAGCAAGGTAAATCACAAACTTGGCCTAGGTTCCAGGGGGAGGAAAAAGAGACCCTCCTTTGTTGGGAGGTGCAAGAATGGCTCATTATAATACAATGTCTGGGGAAATATCTGGCCATATTTTACAGTATACCAGATTATGCTTGGGAATATTTGCAATCTAAGCTCAAATCAAGGTTGAGTTAGTGGCCCCCAACTCCATATAACCTAGAACCTTTACCAAAATAAGATACTATATAAGTCTCTGAACCAAGAGATCTATGAATAGATTTTATCAAAGGCGTCATATGAAATGAATAGTTATAAGTCAGTGTGTTATGCACCAAAGGTGGCAAGAGCTGAACAATAATGACAGCCACAGTGCTATGGGTCAAGTTCATCCCCTCTGAAACTCATGTTGAAATGTGATTCCCAATGTGGCAGTGTTGGGAAGTGGGGCCTTGTGGGAGGTGTTTGGGTCATTAGAGTGGATCCTTCATGAATAGATTAGTGCCCTTCCAGGGGAGTAAGTTTTCCCTCTCATGAGACTGGATTAGTTATTGCAAGAGCAGTTTGTTCCTTCTCATGTTTGGTCTTTTAGGACACCCTTCCTTCCTTCCTTCCTTCCTTCCTTCCCTCCTTCCTTCTCCTTTCTTCTCCTTTCTTCCATGAGTTGAAACAGTATGAGGCCCTCAGCAGATGCAGCTGCCCAATTTGGGCTTTTCAGCCACCAGAAACACAAGCCAAATAAACCTTTTGTCTTCATAAATTATCCAGCCTCAGATATTCTGTTATAGCAACACAAAATGGACTAAGACAAACTGTGACTTCTGAAATGTCAACTCCTAGAACTTCTTAAGGCTTTTTTTTTAAATTTTATTATTATTATACTTTAAGTTTTAGGGTACATGTGCACAATGTGCAGGTTTGTTACATATGTATACATGTGCCATGTTGGTGTGCTGCACCCATTAACTCATCATTTAGCATTGGGTATATCTCCTAATGCTATCCCTCCCCCCTCCCCCACCCCACAACAGTCCCTGGAGTGTGATGTTCCCCTTCCGGTGTCCATGTGTTCTCATTGTTCAATTCCCACCTATGAGTGAGAACATGCAGTGTTTGGTTTTTCGTCCTTGCGATAGTTTGATGAGAATGATGGTTTCCAGTTTCATCCATGTCCCTACAAAGGACATGAACTCATCATTTTTTATGGCTGCATAGTATTCCATGGTGTATATGTGCCACAATTTCTTAATCCAGTCTATCATTGATGGACATTTGGGTTGGTTCCAAGTCTTTGCTACTGTGAATAGTGCTGCAATAAACATACGTGTGCATGTGTCTTTATAGCAGCATGATTCATAATCCTTTGGGTATATACCCAGTAATGGGATGGCTGGGTCAAATGCTATTTCTAGTTCTAGATCCCCGAGGAATCACCACACTGACTTCCACAATGGTTGAACCAGGTTACAGTCCCCACCAACAGTGTAAAAGTGTTCCTATTTCTCCATATCCTCTCCAGCACCTGTTGTTTCCTGACTTTTTAATGATTGCCATTCTAACTGGTGTGAGATGGTATCTCATTGTGGTTTTGATTTGCATTTCTCTGATGGCCAGTGATGGTGAGCATTTTTTCATGTGTTTTTTGGCTGCATAAATGTCTTCTTTTGAGAAGTGTCTGTTCATATGCTTTCAATACTTACTTATTTTCTCCCATTTTGTAGGTTGCCTATTCACTCTGATGGTAGTTTCTTTTGCTGTGCAGAAACTATTTAGTTTAATTAGATCCCATTTGTCAATTTTGGCTTTTGTTGCCATTGCTTTTGGTGTTTTAGACATGAAGTCCTTGCCCATGCCTATGTCCTGAATGGTATTACCTAGGTTTTCTTCTAGGGTTTTTATGGTTTTAGGTCTAACATGTAAGTCTTTAATCCATCTTGAATTAATTTTTGTATAAGGTGTAAGGAAGGGATCCAGTTTCAGCTTTCTACATGTGGCTAGCCAGTTTTCCCAGCACCATTTATTAAATAGGGAAGAATCCTTTCCCCATTGCTTGTTTTTGTCAGATTTGTCAAAGATCAGATAGTTGTAGATATGCTTGTTTTATCGTCAATTTTCTCTTTCAGGTCAGGGACATTTTCTCTTTGTTTCAGTCCTGAGTCCCAAGTCTAGGCCATGCAGACACAGAGAAGACACTATTTTTAAATGAGGTATTAAATGAAATGAGTGTGCAAGCACTTGGCAATCTGGTGAGTTTGAATATTTCCTTAATTGTTAAATTCAAGAAATTATAATTCATTCTACTAAGTTAAATTCGTAGCTATTCTTTCATGTGAATCCTAGAATAATTTATGCTTTATTATGAGACCGAGAGTTTAAAAAGTCCTCTTACCTAGTGTTTTCTAAATTCATAAAATATATTAATTTGAGAGATATTTATCTTCAGGATTTGGGAATAAGCCATCAGAATTCCCTGGAATGTTCAGGAGCTCCTAAAATCATTTTGCACTGTATTTTTCATAAGACAATTTCCATATTTTACAGTGATAATTGTTTACAATATTAATAAACAACAAATATTTTTAAAACTAAAATGTTGGTGGCTTTTCTATTATAAAGACGTGATCAAAATAAATGGTTTATCATTATTATGAACCATTATATTATTTTGATAACATGTAAAAATAACTTCAATTTTACACAGACATTTGAAAATAGAAAGCATTAAAAGAAAAAATATTAACACAAAACAAATATCAATAAAAATCATTTAAAATTGAAAGATAGTAGAAAAACATTCATTGTTTAAAGGTAATTCTTAAAATAAAGTTTTAAAATAAAACCTGAGTTGTTCTATCTAATAATTTTGACCTTGCTTTGTGATAAATATTCTAGAACAAAAAGAGGTTTGTTTTCTATTTTGTTTTATTCGTTTATTTTTCAAAGATGAAAATATTTTTGTTTTCTTGCCCTAGTTTTGGTTCTGTCATTGAGAATGATACTGCTCTGTCCAATTCAGATTTTAGATAAGCTTCTGATTTTAAATAGCAGTATTCCACAATAGTCTTTCTGCATGTATTTCCTCTGTTAGATAACTAGTGCCCATGAGGAATGCTCAAACACTGCAAAACACCAGCAAACAGAGCCACATAAAACCCAAGTTGACAAGCACTACTCAGAATCAGAATTGGCAACTTAAGCACGTACTTTGCTTTCAATACTTACTTATTGTAATACAACTCGTAGGATAAAGTCTACAGTGCATATCAACTTATTAATACTTGTTTTATTTTAAGAATGTCCAACCTTAAGAGTGGATCAAGCGCTATGAACAAGACAATCAGAGCAGGGTCATTTTCCTCTGTCCCCTTCCTAAAATATTGTCCTTAACTCTGTGTCCACTTCCAACTCAGTGTCAATGGATCCCTTAACCAACTGATATCTCTATGTTGGTTGCCAAGCATTATTTCTCATAGGATATAATGCTGGTCTTTCCTGTTTTTCGAATTTCTTGTTGTTTTTCAGAATAAGGGACTCTTAAAAACATAAATTTCCCGAGACATACTGGGAATAAATTTCCACCTAGAAAAATTACGCCCACCTCACCATATGTCACTTCATAAAAACCTTGGTATTGTACTTTGAAACAATTACCGGGATGGGGGAGTTCTTTCTATGTAATGAATATTTGTAAGAGGTTATTTTGAAATAAAGTGAAGATGTATGTTCTGTTGAATGAAATTAAATATCTGTTTCATATCTGGTAATTTATTTTCTCTCCAAGCTGCACTTTGGTTTCTAAAGAGATGAGTCAATTTTATGCCTCAATCTTAAATTACTCAGATGTTTGCAAAGATTCAAACATTTCCATATTTTATGTTCACATTTTGTAAGCTCTTACATTGTGAAAATAGGTATTTGCTAGCTATTAAAATATAGGTAAAATAGGTAAACATATCTCCAGCGTCAAACATTGGTAAAGGAAAGGGCTGAAAACAAATTTATCTTATTAATACTTAAACAAAAGATTCTCATTCCATTTAATACAAAAGATAGAACATGACTTTTATAGCTGCTCAAAGAGAGAATATTGTACTTTTATTTCTGGCTTAAAATAAGCCTTTGCTATTCCTTTTAGGTTTGTTTTCTTTTACTCCCTTTTGTTAGTGAATATCTTACCAAAATATCTTTAGGAATTCTTAGATTTTGGGTCATCAGGAATTCTCCCAAATCTGATCATTGCTTTGTTTTTTTTTTTTGTTTTTTTTGGTTTTTTTTTTTCTACTTTATGCAACCTGGCACTTGGAACTATGCAGATACCTGCTTACCCAGAAGCTTGTTCTGACAGCCTTCTCATTTGAAATCCCAGGAAATATAGATAATTCACTCTGATTGCCAAAGAATAGCCAAAGCCAGCAGCAGTGTCTCTTTTATGACATCACGTTCTTAGAGAAAGCATGAAGGAGAGACCCTGCTGGATAAACTAAGGTCAAAGCTGAAATTATTGTTAGAACTCTGTTTAAGAAAAGCCTCTGTAAGTCTTGGTGCGAGTGATTATTAAATCTTCCTGTATCCGTGGATGTTGGAAATGGTGGAGAATGGGAGTGGAGGATTCTTATAGATTCAGAATAGATTCAGAGTAGCTGGCTCTACCAAGAAGCACAAGTTTTACAATACTATAGACTCTTCTGAATATCCATTATTGCGGAACTCCACAAAGCTACCTCCAGCCCCACTGACCTGTATTTGTTCTGCAGTTGTCTATGTTGGACTCTGAACCACCCAGGCTCTTTCTGCACTTCGGGCTGAGTATGCAGACTTGCCGTTATAGTGCCTGGAGCTAGTTACAGTTCTACCCCAGGAAGAGAAGGGCCAAGCCCTGCCTTCCACACCCAGTCTATTCTGACAGCCTAATATTTCATCCTGTATGCTTTACCTGGGCCAGCCTCTGAAGAAGCCATTGGGTTGCTTCTTTAGTTTTATTATCTTCCTGGTTATTGATACTCGTTTTGCCCTGAAGTGGCATCCATTGGATCATTCTCAGCTTCAAACTCAGAAATCCTGTCACCCAAGTAGAATGTCAGTTGTCCCCTTGACCAGAAGGAGATTTCAGACAGCAGGAGCTACTCATCAAGGAATTTGAAGGCTCTGTAACCACCTGTTGCCAACTCCCACTCCACCCCCCTCCATCTCTAAGATAGAGAGGTTAGATTAGGCAAAATCTAATCCACATCATACAACTCTGTATGATGCAATTAATCAGTGATTCTATGATCTCCCTATTAACAAATTTATGCAAATGGGATTCAAAGTAAAAGACTCACCAAAACAATCACAAATGTAGTTTATGAAAATAACATAGGACAAGTACTCTTATATGGAGTCTAGGTGCTTTTTAAAAACAAGTTCGTTAACAAATTTTCATTTTACATTTTCTCCAAACTGTTGTTCAAAGACTAAACTGTAAATGTAAATGTAAACATTTTACATTTTCTCCAAACTGTTGTTCAATATCGGCACCACCATTTTCTGGAAGTCAGGAAGGTGCTAGCCACTACTCATGATCTATATTCTTCTATAACTTTATGTAAATTTGGAGTTTACCCTGAATTTCCCTGCCATCTCATTCCCTGCTTTGGGCCTAGAAAATATAGGTTACCAAAAAGCCTATGGTCTATCCCTCATGACTGTCGGGAAGGCAATGTCAATATTTCCATTGCATATGCTACTCATATCCAATAGCATCTGTTTCACTTTGGATGCTAGGTTGTAGTTATGAAGACTTTAAAATAATAATAAAAGCCTTAACCTGTCCCAAGGGCTTACAGATGTAAGGGCATTTAGCTGAAAGGAGCACACAAGATATGGAACTTGAAAACCAGCTTATTTTGTTTCTCTCCTCGATGGTAAAATGACATGTCTCATTTGTGAAAATATGTTTTTATCGTCTGCCATGTTTTGTGTTCTGTTTAGTTGGTGCTTATACAGTCAGAATCATATTTTTTCCCTTATGGGGGAGAAAGGGTATAAAAACTGAAGTGATGAGTTTTAAATAAATAGTGGTTTGGGAATTTAAGCATGATGCTGGCCCACATTTACAAAAGTACATTGCCTGCATAAGTCAGTAAATGGGATGAATATTTTTAAATGCATCATTAAAAGCCAATATGCAAATAATCTTAGCAATTATAATCGCATCTGTGCCTGGGCCAATGGAAGAAAATAGACACATTTCACCTTATTAAGCATCAGCATAAAGAACTATCTTCACCAGCACCAATATAAAACACACACACAGAGGCATGTACAGACAGGTGAGTCAGTTGTATTCTTCATATGGAGTCTTGCCTCTTCCCTTTTCATCAACAATTTCATTCCTTTGTTTGTGGCTTATTTTCAGGTGACCCAGAGAAGGGAGGATCTGCAAACTGCATGTTAAATCTCATTGTCCTAATGGATACATTGAAATAGACAGAGGAAATTAGTTGCAGAATTTGAACTAAAACCAGATTTTTTTAAAAGGCTAATGTAACTATGCTTAAATCTAGCCTTGCTTAAAATCTTTCAACGGTTCCTTGTTAATCTGATAAAATCCCAAATTCAAAGCCCACCCTTCCAGCCTCATTTTGTTCAGCACTTCTCTGTCTTCTCTATTCTCTAGCCACACAGAATGTTTTCTGTGCTTCACATGTGCTCTTGCATTATCAACAACCTTTCACATGTTGTGTTCTTGGCCTAGAAAGCTGTCTTTTATTTTTGATTGGGTAATACTCATCTCATAAGTCTCTGTTTAAACATTATTTCCTAAATAATGTCTTTACTAACCCTGGAGTGAATTACATTCCCTTGCAATATGCTCTTCTTCTTTGTTAAGACTCATCACATTTGTCATTAGTTATTATTTTTCCCATGTGCATCCTCCCTGCTGGACCATAAGCAACTGGAAAGCTGGAATGACGTCTGTAGTATTATAATTATATCTTCCACTTTATAGGCAGTGCCTCAGATCTATTATATATTAAATTAAAATTGAATAATTGATGGTTAATTGCTTGGTCATGGTATCTTGCTTTCAATGATTTCTGTATTGTATCATACTTCCCCAATATAAAATACATTTTACAAATATATTGCTCTATAAATGTTTACAGTTTGTTGTGACTAAAGATGATTTGAGATGGTCCTTTCAGTAATTAAAATTACTGCATCTTCCAAGTAATGCATGGTGGAGGAAGTTACCGATTTGAAAGGGAAGCATTACTGCAGGGCCAAGCAGTTTTTTAAGAGTTCTTCCTTTACAGTCATCTTTTTGTGGTAGGGATTAGGGCAAATACTGATGATGTCATATTGTAGTATTGCTCCTACTCAGTTCCAAATTAAATCCTACACTTAAGAAAAATTTGTCTAGCAATATTTTAATATCACTATTTAGCAAAGCAATGTTGAGTCTCCTAAGTTCATCAGCTCTCAGTTAAAGCTAAATTTTCATTTGTTTCTCTTATTTTTATAGTCTTTTACTTCTCAGATTAGCTGCCTACATTCTTCCTGATGATGAATCTACCTGCTTTTTACTTTAGTACTTAAGCTCAGAAGAAAGCAAATTCTAACCTGTTCTTCTTGTACAACCAACCCACCTCATACTCTTTTTCCGACAACATTACCTATGACTGCTAAGTTATGGGCGTGTCTGGATATCTAATTGAAGTGCAAAAGGTGCCAGTGTCTAGAAAAAAATAGATCATGTCTAATCTCATTAGCATTTTTCTGGCCTTTAAAAATTTAAGCCTCCTATTCAAATGATATGATGTTCTGACAAGTTCAAATTGTTTATCTCTTACACCAGCTGGGGAAAAAATGAATTCTCAAGTACCTTATATTTTTAAAAAGCCTTAAATAGTTGACATCATCCAAAAAGTTTGGTTGATCTACTTACGGTCATTGTACATACAAAATGGTCTGACTGAGGCACACAGGATGACTCCAGTATAAATAAAAGGTAATGAAGGGAGTGACTTGGGATGTGATGAGTGACTTGAAAATTTTAAATGTGAGACTTCATCATTGCTGTTATCATCATTACTGTTATCATCACTGTCATGACATTCAGGACGCAAAGCGGCTGCTGCCAGCCCCATGATAGGGGGAATTGGAGAAGTGTCAGAGTGTTTTGTGTGATTTGGAAGAATTTCTTTTATAATGGAAAATGGTTTCCAACTTTTTTAGAATTCTATAAGCCTGGTAATAGTGCCTTTTTGATAGGTGTAAGGTCATGGAAATGATAGTCTAACACATTGGCTGATGGCTTTTCCACTTCTCTGGAAGATTTTGCTAGTAGACTTAGAGCCAGGACCAGTGGAGCTGAATTTTTCCTGGTGACTTTTAGAGTAGAATCTGGAATAGAATAAATACATCTTAGTCTTGATTGTCAGTGTTGACAAGATATTCACTTAGAGATATATAAATTGAATTAAAGGAATCAAAAAAGGATCAGTGGTCATGACTAGAGATTAAGATTGGAAGCATCTGCATGTAGATAGTAACTAAGACCATTTAAATTTTTTGTTTGCATATCTGCAGTTAAGCAAATAAATGCTGTTCCTGTATTTTTGAATAAATAATTGCCTATAGGGGAAATACCACTAAATACTGGTCTCATTTGTTGGCTTTTTCATTACTGTCCTTTCTTCCTGGGCTCTTAGTTCCTCAGGTGCCTCAAATCACAGTTTAGTCTTTTTTTTTTTTTTTTTTTTTTTTTCTTTTTTTTGAGATGGAGTCTTGCCCTGTCATCCAGGCTAGAGTACAGTGGGGCAATCTCACCGTACTGCAACCTCCACCTCCTGGGTTCAAGCGATTCTCCTGCCTCAGCCTCCCAAATAGCTGGGACTACAGGCACCCGCCACCACACCTGGCTAATTTTTGTATTTTTAGTAGAGATGGGCTTTCACCATGTTGGCCAGGCTGGTCTTGAACTCTTGACCTCAAGTGATCCGCCCGCCTCAGCCTCCCAAAGTGTTGGGATTACAGGCGTGAGCCACGGCGCCCGGCGGGCAAGACACCCTCAGAGCACAGGGTGCTGCCAAGAGCCCAGCGGAGTGCAGCTCGAGCGCCGAGGTCGCCAACGTTCCACACACTGTTGACGCAGGACACAAGTTCGTCACAGTGGTCCTCCGCCGGCTACGCGGAGTCAGTGGCTTTCAGGCGCTTTCCTGTTGGAATTGGCGACTGCTGCGGGGCTGAGCGCTGGTTTCACGCGTCTCGGGAGCCAGGTTGGTGGCGCGATGAGTTGCAGCAAGGCCTACGGGGAGCGGTACGTCGCCTCCGTGCAGGGCTCCGCCCCGTCGCCTCGAAAGGTGAGTGGATCTCGAAGAGACCGACGGCCTCGACCTGGCCGGGCGGCGGAGGCCTCGACCTGGCCCGGCGGCGGCCTCGATGGCTCAGGCGTCATGGCTCCCGACCGGCGCTGCTCCCTGGCGCGCTCTGTTGAGGCGGCGGCCTCGACCCGGCCCGGCGGCGGCCTCGATGGCTCAGGCGTCATGGCTCCCGACGGGCGCTGCTCCCTGGCGCGCTCTGTTGAGGCGGCGGCCTCGACCCGGCCCGGCGGCGGCCTCGATGGCTCAGGCGTCATGCCTCCCGACGGGCGCTGCTCCCTGGCGCGCTCTGTTGAGGCGGCGGCCTCGACCCGGCCCGGCCGCGGCCGCGATGGCTCAGGCGTCATGGCTCCCGACGGGCGCTGCTCCCTGGCGCGCTCTGTTGAGGCGGAGGCCTCGACCCGGCCCGGTGGCGGCCTCGATGGCTCAGGCGTCATGGCTCCCGACGGGCGCTGCTCCCTGGCGCGCTCTGTTGAGGCGGCGGCCTCGACCTGGCCCGGCGGCGGCCTCGATGGCTCAGGCGTCATGGCTCCCGACGGGCGCTGCTCCCTGGCACGCTCTGTTGAGGCGGCGGCCTCGACCTGGCTGGGCGGCGGCGGCCTGGACCTGGCCCGGCGGCGGCCTCGATGGCTCAGGCGTCATGGCTCCTGACGGGCGCTGCTCCCTGGCGCGCTCTGTTGAGGCGGCGGCCTCGACCCGGCCCGGCGGCGGCCTCGATGGCTCAGGCGTCATGCCTCCCGACCGGCGCTGCTCCCTGGCGCGCTCTGTTGAGGCAGCGGCCTCGACCTGGCCGGGCGGCGGCGGCCTCGACCTGGCCCGGAGGCGGCCTCGATGGCTCAGGCATCATGGCTCCCGACGGGCGCTGCTCCCTGACGCGCTCTGTTGAGGCGGCGGCCTCGACCCGGCCCGGCGGCGGCCGCGATGGCTCAGGCGTCATGGCTCCCGACGGGCGCTGCTCCCTGGCGCGCTCTGTTGAGGCAGCGGCCTCGACCTGGCCGGGCGGCGGCGGCCTCGACCTGGCCCGGCGGCGGCCTCGATGGCTCAGGCATCATGGTTCCCGACGGGCGCTGCTCCCTGGCGCGCTCTGTTGAGGCAGCGGCCTCGACCTGGCCGGGCGGCGGCGGCCTCGACCTGGCCCGGCGGCGGCCTCGATGGCTCAGGCATCATGGCTCCCGACGGGCGCTGCTCCCTGGCGCGCTCTGTTGAGGCGGCGGCCTCGACCCGGCCCGGCGGCGGCCTCGATGGCTCAGGCGTCATGGCTCCCGACCGGCGCTGCTCCCTGGCGTGCTCTGTTGAGGCGGCGGCCTCGACCCGGCCCCGCGGCGGCCTCGATGGCTCAGGCGTCATGGCTCCCGACGGGCGCTGCTCCCTGGCGCGCTCTGTTGAGGCGGCGGCCTCGACCCGGCCCGGCGGCGGCCTCGATGGCTCAGGCGTCATGGCTCCCGACGGGCGCTGCTCCCTGGCGCGCTCTGTTGAGGCAGCGGCCTCGACCTGGCCGGGCGGCGGCGGCCTCGACCTGGCCCGGCGGCGGCCTCGATGGCTCAGGCATCATGGCTCCCGACGGGCGCTGCTCCCTGGCGCGCTCTGTTGAGGCAGCGGCCTCGACCTGGCCGGGCGGCGGCGGCCTCGACCTGGCCCGGCGGCTGCCTCGATGGCTCAGGCATCATGGCTCCTGACGGGCGCTGCTCCCTGGCGCGCTCTGTTGAGGCGGCGGCCTCGACCCGGCCCGGCGGCGGCCTCGATGGCTCAGGCGTCATGGCTCCCGACCGGCGCTGCTCCCTGGCGTGCTCTGTTGAGGCGGCGGCCTCGACCCGGCCCCGCGGCGGCCTCGATGGCTCAGGCGTCATGGCTCCCGACGGGCGCTGCTCCCTGGCGCGCTCTGTTGAGGCGGCGGCCTCTACCCGGCCCGGCGGCGGCCTCGATGGCTCAGGCGTCATGGCTCCCGACGGGCGCTGCTCCCTGGCGCGCTCTGTTGAGGCGGCGGCCTCGACCCGGCCCGGCGGCGGCCTCGATGGCTCAGGCGTCATGGCTCCCGACGGGCGCTGCTCCCTGGCGCGCTCTGTTGAGGCGGCGGCCTCGACCCGGCCCGGCGGCGGCCTCCATGGCTCAGGCGTCATGGCTCCCGACGGGCGCTGCTCCCTGGCGCGCTCTGTTGAGGCGGCGGCCTTGACCCGGCCCGGCGGCGGCCTGGATGGCTCAGGCGTCATGGCTCCCGATGGGCGCTGCTCCCTGGCGCGCTCTGTTGAGGCGGCGGCCTCTACCTGGCCCGGCGGCGGCCTCGATGGCTCAGGCGTCATGGCTACCGACGGGCGCTGCTCCCTGGCGCGCTCTGTTGAGGCGGCGGCCTCTACCTGGCCCGGCGGCGGCCTCGATGGCTCAGGCGTCATGGCTACCGACGGGCGCTGCTCCCTGGCGCGCTCTGTTGAGGCGGCGGCCTCGACCTGGCCCGGCGGCGGCCTCGATGGCTCAGGCGTCATGGCTCCCGACGGGCGCTGCTCCCAGGCGGGCTCTGTTGAGGCGCCGGCCGGCTGGCGCAGTCCTGTGGGCGGCGTGGCACTTGCGAGCGCAGGAAGAGTCCTGGGGGGACCGCGGCGGGCGGGAGACCTTTGGCGCCGGCGCTTCCTCTTTCTCCCGGCTTGTTCCCGACGCTTGTTCCCGACGGTGCTCGCTCCTGGGCCCGTCCTGGCCCGGGCTTTCTGGCCCCGTAGTACCCGCGCAGCCTGGTTCTCGGGGGCTTAGGCACCCGGGTGCTGTATCGGCGGGTTTCTTCCCATCTCCTGGACATTTACTTTATATGCTGCGGCGGAGGTCGTACCTCCTTGGCCTGGAGGAACCCAGTGGGGACTGACGCAGCTCCGGGTGAGCTTTGGCGGCTGCGTCGAGTGACAAGGTAGGCATCTCAGCGCGGACATTTGCAATGGCCGGACGGCGCAAATGACACGGAAAGTCCCCTTGTTTTGAGTATGAGGTGTTTGTCGCTGTCCCTTTGTAAGGGTCCAGCTCCACTCCACTCCTCATACTCACCTCCCTCGCCCCCATCCCCGCCCAGAAGACTTTGGTAGCTGCCTTTGCTTAAAAAAAAAAATTCTAAAGTTCTTACAAATCGTTAGTATGGCTTGCAATTTTTAACCTTTTCCACAGATGTTTTAAGGGTATTTTTCCTCTTTACATGTAAATAATGCTGAGATTACAGGTGTGAGCCACTCTGCTCAGCCTGATTTTTTTTTTTTAAACAAGCTTAAAAAAAAAAAAAAAAGCATGTTTAGAGCCTTTCTGAGATTCTTAGTGGGGACCTTGGCTTCCAAAAGATTAAAAACCACTGGTCTAGACAGAAGTTAGAATGTTCTTTCAACTGCATAACTTCTCCATTAAATAAAGTGGAGTGGTGGCAACATTTTGACGATTGGTTATTATGGCACCTCTCTTACACTTAGAGTCTTTTTTTTCCCCCAAATTGAAAGTCATTTACATTAGAACCTGGGGATTTCAGCGGAATATGGATTAACTAGTGAGTAACTGGAACATGTGAAGCTATTCTGTGAAGTTAGGTTTGAGTGAAATGACAAAACAGGGTGCTTTGGATAGAAGGTAAAGAATGGAGGGAGAAGAGGCAGTGGCTGTGAAGAATATGAAGAGGTTAGTATTCTCCCCCAGTTTGGCAGAGGCTGGCCATCTGTGAACTGCCCATGCTTTCTAGAATGTCGGAGTTTTGGAGTGTGATGATGCGTCTGTATATCATATCTTTCTAGTCTTCCATTGTGCTTTCATTTGTTAGTCTTCTCTTGTTTTGCCATTTTTCTACTCCCTCACATGTGCTTTTGCCCTTCTTAAAAATATTCTTCGTCTGTAATCTGAGCACTTTGGGAGGCCGAGAGACCAGCCTGACCAATATGGTGAAAATCCATCTCTATTAAAAATACAAAAATGAGCCGGGCGTGGTGGCAGCGCCTGTAGTCCCACCTACTCGGTAGGCTGAGACAGGAGAATTGCTTGAACCCTGGAGGCAGAGGTTGTGGTGAGCAGAGATTGTGCCACTGCACTCCAGCCTGTGTGACAGAGCGAGACTCTGTCTCCAAAAAAGAAAAAAAGAAAAAAAATATATAATTCTTTCTCTAGTTTTTCTTTTTCCAGATGGCTTCTGTTTAGTTTTTCTATGTTCTGTCAAGTCGGTTTCTTATTCTGCAGCTGATTCCTACTTCTCAAAGTCTACTTGACAGCTCTTATTTTTATTTATATTTTTTTTAGAATAGGGTCTTGCTATGTTGCTCATCAAATTTTTGGGCATAAATGATCCTCCTACCTCTGTTTCCTGAGTACTTAGGACTACAGGCAGGCACCTTTGACAGCTGTTAGTTGTTTTTTCTGCCCTTTACATCTATACTTCATACTTCTGAGTAACACACATATATACTTTTGTTATTTTTAATTCCCTTTCTCCCATTTTAGACATTTTCTTTTCTTTTCTTTTCTTTTTTTTTTTTTTTTTTTTTGAGACGGAGTCTCGCTCTATCGTCCAGGCTGGAGTGTAGTGGCGCGATCTCGGCTCACTGCAAACTCTGCCTCCCGGGTTCACACCATTCTCCTGCCCCAGCCTGTAGCTGGGACTACAGGCACCCGCCACAACACCCGGCTAATTTTTTAGTGTTTTTAGTAGAGACGGGGTTTCACCGTGTTAGCCAGGATAGTCTCGATCTCCTGACCTCATGATCCGCCCGCCTCAGCCTCCCAAAGTGCCGGGATTACAGGCGTGAGCCACCGGGCCGGGCCCCATTTTAGACATTCTGTACTGGCTATTATGCTCCTCCAAAACTGTCCTCAGACACTTTGGTTTGCCCCTCATTCTTTCAGTACTGTTATTGCAGTTTTTGTTTAAATGAATATTTAACATTTATATAAATATAAGGTAAATATTTTGCATTTGAATTGCCCTTGTTGTGCAGTTTTGTTTTTCCTGGACTGAATAATTGCTTTATTTTTTGGTTTGCTTGTATGTTGTGTTACTACTTGCTTACTTAAACTCAGCAACTTAAACCCTCAAATGTGGTCAAACTGATCACATAATCCGTTCAATTTCAGCTTAAAACATTGATTGATTGATTGATTGTCTACCTGGAATACCCTTACTAACCGACTTCTCCAACCTGGATTGGGTTTTCTTCCTCTTTGCTACACAGCTGTGCTCTTGGGACTTCCCTTTATCACCAGTTTGAGAATTCCCTTCATCTTTTTTCTGAGTTAGACCCTTTGTTTCTTGTATCTCATGTCGTCTTCATTTACTTTCTTTGTTTTGGTGTAGCATAGTCTCACTTGCTTTGAGGAAAAGTGGATGAGAGGTTTTTTTGTTTGTTTTTGTTTTGGGACAGAGTCTTGCTCTGTTGCCCAGGCTGGAGTGCAGTGGCATGGTCTCAGCTCACCACAACCTCCGCCTCCCGGGTTCAAGTGATTCTCCTGCCTCAGCCTCCTGAGTAGTGGGATTACAGGTGTGCGCCAGCATGCCTGGCTAATTTTTTCTATTTTTAGTAGAGATGGGATTTCACCATACTGGTCAGGCTGGTCTGGAAACTAATGGTATGTCTTTAAAACGTCTTTACTTAATTTAGTTGATCATTTGGTTATCGAATTCTGAGTTTGAAATAATTTTTTTCGCAATTTTGAAAGCATTGCTCCATTTTCTAGAAGTTCTGTTGTTAGGAGTCTGATGAGATTCTTGTTCTTGGTAACAAAGGTTTTCTGGAAGTGTCCTTTCAATTGGGAAACTCATTTCTTTCAGTTCTGTAGCATTTCTTGTATTATTTCTTTGACCATTTCTTACCCTTTTTTTTAATGATGTTTACCTGAAAGCTGGAGTTTCTCTAATTTTTCTCTTATTCTCCTCTTTTGTTTGTTCTGCCTTTTGAGAGATTTCCTTACCCTTATGTTCCAGGGGAAGAAGATTGGGGAACTCATGGTTCAGTATCTAGACTTTTCCTCATTGTCCTGTATAATCGCGGCCTTCACCCTTGTTGGGACTCCACAGATTTGTAGCTGATCAGATGGGTTTGTTGAGAACAGCAGCTTTTTTGGAGGATTTTAGGGGGAGGGAGATTCATTTGACTGTGCAAGATGGGTGACAGAGCGAGACTCCGTTTGAATTAAAAAAAAAAAGAGAGAAATTTAGAACTGCATAATGAAAAAGTAGGCCACAAATGTTAAGTTTTGGACAATTACAATTACATCTCTATCTTACTGTGCAAGATAGTGATGATGTGGCATCTCTTGGGGTCTTACTGTTCCTGTTTTCAGCCCTGCATCAGTTCTTGATATTTGGCAGCTTAAGTGAATTCAGGTATTTGCTTATAGTGACATCTGCTGTCATGCAAAGAAGTACTGCTTGAATCAGATATTGTCCTGTTTACATAACATGGGCTGTGCTCCTTCCTAGCTATATATCTTTAAACAAGGCATTTGCCTGCTTGAGCTTCAGTTCCCTTGTAAAGTGAGCAGGTTAGAGGCAAAAGATCATACAGAAGAATAATTTGTAAAGTTGTTTAATTATCTTAAGATTGTCTACTTTAATAACATAGTTGGAAGCAAAGAAGGTAATGGAATTATTTTTCTATTATGTTTTGGCATTGTACCTTGAATCTATTTCTTCATTTTGAAAAGGGGGAACTGGCCGGGCTCCGTGGCTGACGCCTGTAATCCCAGCATTTTGGGAGGTGGAGGAAGTCAGATTACAAGGTCGAGAGAGCGACACCATCTGGCCAACATGGTGAAACCCCATCTCTACTGAAAATACAAAAATTAGCTGGGCATGGTGGCGTGCGCCTGCAGTCCCAGCTTGTACCCGGGACGCAGAGGTTGCAGTGAGCTGAGATCGAGCCACCGCACTCCAGCCTGGTGACAGAGCAAGACTCCATCTCAAAAACAAAAAAAGGAAGGGGGGAACAAGCCTTGTTCCTATACGTGCTGTCCTGACTGTTGTGTATTATTTTTGTTAAGATTGCTATAGTTCTTTTTTTTTTTGAGATGGAGTCTTGCTCTGTTGCCAGAGCTGGGATTGCAGGTGTTAGCCTGGCATTGAGCAACGTTTTGTAATTTAAGCATACAAGTCTCTCACCTCCTTGTTTACATTTATTCCCAGGCATTTTTTTCATTTAGATGCGATTGTAAATGGAATTGCTTTCTTAATTTCCTTTTCTGATTGTTCGTTGCTGGTACAGTAGTCCCTTCTTATCCACAGTATTGCCTTACGTGGTTTTACTTACCTGCGTCACCCGTGGTCCAAAAATATTGAATGGAAGATTATATAAATAAACATTTCATGAGTTTTAAATTGCAAACAGTTCTGAATAACATGATAAAAATCTCACAGCCTCCTGCTCCGTCCTACCCAGGACACGAATCATCCCTTTGTCCAACATATTCATGCTGTATGTGCTCCCCACCCGCTAGTTACATACTAGCCACCTCAGTTATCAGATCAGTTGTTGGAGTATTGCAGTGCTTGTGTTCAAGTAACCCTTATTTTATTTAAAATGGCACCAAAGAGCAAGAGTAGCGATGCTGGCAGTTCACATATGCCAGAGAGAAGCCATATAGTGCTTCCTTTAAGTGAAGAGGTGAGTTTTTGACTTAGGAAAGAAAAAAGATCATATACTGGGGTTGCTAAGATCTATGGTAAGAACAAATCTTTTGTCCATGAAATTGTGAAGAAAGAAAAAGAAATTTGTGCTAGTTTTGTTGTGACACCCCAAACTGCAAAAGTTACAGCCACAGTGTGTGATAAGTGCTTAGTTGAGATGGACAAGACATTAAATTTGTGGGTGGAGGACACAAACAGGAAACATGTTTCGATTGATGGCAACCTGGTTTGGTACTATTCATCGTTTTGGACATTCACTGGGGTCTTGGAATTTCAAAAATAAGATGTTTGAGTAGCTGTATACTCTGTATCACATGGATGGAACATACTCTGGTTGTATCAGCTTTTTTTTTTTTTTTTTTTTTTTTTTGAGATGGAATCATTCTGTTGCCCAGGCTGGAGTGCAGTGGTGCGGTCTTGGCCCACTGCTGCCTCCCGGGTTCAAGCGATTCTTTGCCTCAGCCTCCCAAGCAGCAGGGATTACAGGCGTGTGCCACCATGCCCAGCTAATTTTTGTATTTTTAGTAGAAAGGAGGTTTCTGTATGTTGGCCAGGCTGGTCTCGAACTCTTGGCTTCAAGTGATCCACCTGCCTCAGTCTCCAAAAGTGCTGGGATTACAGGTGTGAGCCACCGCACCCAGCCTGGTGTGCATCAGCATTTTGGACTTTGGAGTTTATGTAACCAAGGAGCCAGGCTGTGGACCTTGTTTATTACTTGAAGAATTCAATATTTATTTCTGCCTTTTTGACTCCTTGACTGTAAAATACTGATCTGATCTGTAGAGAGAACAGTACATGTACTATTGAGGCACAGGGAATCCTCAGTGCCTTAATAGATCCTAAGTACTTAGTTATTCTTTCCCATAGAGGCTTACACATGGTAGGAGAAGAGATTTCTGGAATACCTTTCCTCCCCAAAGAAAGCTGGTTTCTTTTGTTTGTTAAGTGAGAGAGTGGTACCACAGGGTTTCCAAGATTTCCAAGGCTGATGAAAATTCTTAACTTCTGTTGTCTGCTTGTCTTGCTTTCTTGAATTTATTTTTTGTATGTTATGTATTTATTATTTAGAGAGAGGATCTCCCTGTGTCACCCAGGCTGGAGTGCAGTGTCACAGTCATAACTCACGGCAGTGTCAACCTCCTGGGCTCAAGTGATTCTCCTTCCTTGGCCTCCTGAGTAGCTAGGAACACAGGCATGCTCCACTATGCCTGGCTATTTTTTTCCCCCTGGAGACAGGATCTTGTTGTGTTGCACAGGCTGGTTTCAAACTCTTGGCCTCAAAGCTAGCCTCCCACCTTGGTCTCTGAAAGTGCTAGAATTAAATAGAATTAAAGTTGTGACCAACTGCACCCAGCTTATTTATGATGATGATGATGATGATGTTTGGGAGATGGAGTCTCTGTCGCCCAGGCTGGAGTGCAATGGCACAATCTCAGCTGACTGCAACCTCTGGCTCACTGCAACCTCCACCTCCTGGGTTCAACTGATTCTCGTGCCTTAGCCTCCCGAGTAGCTGGGATTACAGGCACCCGCCATCATGCCTGGCTAATTTTTCTATTTTTGTAGAGACGGAGTTTCACCATGTTATAACGCCAGGCTGGTCTCAAACTCCTGACCTCAGGTGATCCACCCACTTCGGCCTCCCAAAGTGCTGGGATTACAGGCATGAGCCGCTGCACCCAGCTCTATTTTTTGTTTTGTGATAGGAAATTATAAAACATGGAATTATGCATTTGTCAGGCTTTAAAAAAAATTTTTAAGTGAATGAAAATGGCATATTTGAACATAAACTTAGGGCAGATTTTTACTACTTTTGAAAAAATGTTGGAAAATATTTCTGTATGAAATGTAAAACAACTTTTAATTTTTTTTAGAAGTCAACGAGAGGATTCTATTTTGCAAAGCTGTATTATGAAGCTAAAGAATATGATCTTGCTAAAAAGTAAGTACAAACTGTAACATGTATTCTTTTTTTAAAATCAATGCCTTTTCTCATTTTCTTCTTTGAAATAGGTAAAAATATATCCTTAGTAGTTCTTCCTAAGTGTATTCTGGAATAAGGGATTTATCACTCAGACTGATGCTAAGGACCAGCCTAGATTCCATTGAGATTGAAACTGTAATTAGTGTTTTCTGCATGCTGCTGCTTTATACCAAGGGCAAGAAATTGTTTGGCTTAAAACGACTTTTTCTAAAAATTGTCTTCTGTTGAAGTAAAAGAGGACCATGCCTATATCTTAATTTGTTTTTGGTTAGATATCTGATACCTTAATCAGATGGAAAATAGCAATGAATAAAAAATTAAACTGTAATTGTAAGGCAGGAGAATAGCTTGTATAAAAGATCTTTAATTGACACAATATGTGATGCTCTAAGGCTCTATCCTAGGGATAAGAAGCTTGGTGATTCTGATTTCCTGACTGGGAGTGGATTAAAGCAGGAAATTAAGAGGGAGGCAGGCTTTTTTTTTTTTTTTTTTTAGGCAGTATCTGTCTCTCTTGCTCAGGCAGGAGTGCAGCAGCTGGCTCCATCTTTGCTCACTGTAACCTCTGCCTTCTGGGCTCAAGAGATCTTTACACCTCAGCGCCCCAAGTAGCTGGGGATACAGATGCGCACCACCACGTGGACCTGGCTAAGGTTTGCATTTTTTGGTAGAGACAGGTGTCACTATGTTGCCCAGGCTAGTCTTGAACTTCTGAGCGCAGCAGTCTGCCTGCCTCGGCCTCCCATAGTGTTGAGACTACAGGTGTGTGTTACTGCTCCCAGCTGGGAGGCAGGCTTTTAAAGGCATCCAAAGGAAGATGGAAATGCTGGTAAGAAAGGAAAATGGTGGTACATAAATTATGTAACTAGCAGCACTGTGACTGTTAACTCTTGTACCTTTTTACCGTGAGACTTTAATCCCTTAGTTTAGGTCTGGCCTCATTTCTCTGATGGTAATACTGTCAAGGAACCTAGAGGATATTTACTTATTTTAGTTGTTACTTGATTTGAGAAATGGAAATTTCCTGTATTTGGTACTGTAATTAGTAATTTTTCTTCTGTTCGATTTTAGCTGGATATATAGTACTGTTAGAAATTACTTTCTTGCTTAAAGGGTAAGTGTATTTCCCTTTGTTGTTTGGGAAATTGTTGCTGTTTAGTATTTTGCATTATGATAACTTTAAAAATGTTTACTATAATCACTTCTAATTTATTTGCAAAACTGTTAGTGCTTTATTAAAATGTGATCAGGAAGAAAAAGCAATTTATATGTTCATTTCTTATGTGTGGATAACACTGGAGAAAAATTTGGTAAATGTGACATTTAATGGTAAAATGAGTATGTGGTCAACTCTATGTATGTGTTTTTAAGTATTACCCATTTCTTTCTATGAATACTTTTGAGTTATCTGTATGAATAGTGGTAGTTTTGAGTAACAATATAAACGAGTTTAGTGGTTGCTTTGGTTTAAGATGTATTCTTCGGTTAGCATTTAAAAGTACAGTTCTAAGTTTAATTTACTTTTGTATTACTTTTAAAAAACAGATACATATGTACTTACATTAATGTGCGAGAGATGGATCCCAGAGCTCACAGATTTCTGGGTCTTCTTTATGAATTGGAAGAAAACACAGAGAAAGCCGTTGAATGTTACAGGGTAAGTTATAGGATTCAAATATAGCCTTTGCATAGCCAAACACATGATGCCCAGAGAAATTTATATAAGTAAGTCAAATATATTTTATGAATATCATAAAACAGGCATTGGTATCATAGTACAGTTACGTGACACAGCTTGGAACAGATTTAGAATTGTTTAACACCTATAAATTGTAAGTCTAACACGGTCAGAAATGGTGTTCTTTTGTGTTTTTTGCATTCAAATGACACAAATATAATTTTTATTTGGTTCATTTCCAGAAAATTCCAAGACACTTTTATTTTAACACCTTTGAAGTAATATGTTTTCTCTAGAAGTAGAATTTTTTAAGAGTTGGAGTGATAATTTTTAACCTTTATATATAAGTATATAAGTATATATACTCCTACATACATACATACAATTTATTTACTAATCTTTAATTTCTTTTCTGATATTAGCGTTCAGTGGAATTAAACCCAACACAAAAAGATCTGGTGTTGAAGATTGCAGAATTGCTTTGTAAAAATGATGTTACTGATGGAAGAGCAAAATACTGGGTGGAAAGAGCAGCAAAACTTTTCCCAGGAAGTCCTGCAATTTATAAACTAAAGGTAAACAAACAAAACATAAAGGGAGAAAACTTAAGACATAACCATTTCTAATATTTGGAGTTTAAATTACTTTTCAATAGCAAACCTTAAGCCCAGGTGTTTGTGTTTCCTTTAACATTTTTCTTTTAAAAAGTGTATTAAAACCTTTCTCAGCATCTACTGTCTTATTAGGCATTGTTATACTTTATAAGTGACATCTCATTTACCCTTCTGGAATAATTAATATTTTAGGGATTTTACAGTTTAGTAGCTGTAAACTAAGTAGAGCTAAGATTTACATTAAGTTCTGTCTAGTATACAATTTTTGCTTCATTAAGTGAAAATTACCTACAGGATGACAATTTAGGGATATTTTAAAGAAGTGTTTTCTAATAACTATTGTCTGAAAGTGGAAGGGATTGTATTTTGAGATAGTAAGGTTTTCAAGCAAAAGATAAAAGGTGGTTTCTCTAGTATATAAGACGTAATTACTAAAAATGGTAGGAAGTTCTTGCTAGTGTGTTGACTGGTCCTGATATTCTTTATAGAGTAAAATATAGTTTACTAAGTAACTGTTCTGGAGAAAATCTACACAAATATGTTTGGCAAACATTTAAAATGTATATTGTAATGTTTTATCTATTAATGTATACTTTATTGTGTATGTACAATATAAAATTATAAATGTATATTTGCCTTTAGCCTCCTCCTACCCCCATTATATATGTTTCTGATAGAAATTTAAAAAATTTTAATTTTGAAATAATTATAGATTTTTTTGCACAGGAAGTTGCAAAGATTGCACAGAAAGATCCTATATGCTACTTCATTTTCCCCCAATGCTTATACAGGTTGAGCATTTAAAATCCGAAATCCTAAACGCTCCAAAATCTGAAATTTTTTGAGCACTGACATGATGCTCAAAGAAATGCTCATTGGAAAATTTTGGATTTCAGATTTTCAGATTTGGGATGCTCTGCCTGCTAAGTATCCTGCAGATATTCCAAAGTCTGAAAAAATTCAAAATCTGAAATACTTCTGGTCTCAAGCATTTTGGATAAGGGATACTCAACCTGTTTAACCCGCCCAAAGCACAATATCAAAATCAGGAATTTTGACATTGGTACAATGTGTATGTATAGTTTTCTTTCATTTTATCACGTGTAGATTCATACCACCACTGCCGTCAAGATACAGAACTACTCTATTACCACAGAGATCTTCCTCATGCTGCCCCTTTTGTAGTCCTGCTATTTACTTCTCTTCACTATGCCTGACCTCTGGCAACATTAATCTGTTCTCCATCTTTATACTTTGGTGATTTCAAAATGTTATGTAAATGTCATCATGAAATGTGTGACTTTTTTTTTCTTTTTTCATTGTTTTTGAGACGGAGTC
The DNA here is from genome assembly GCF_000001405.40 of Homo sapiens. NCBI lineage: Eukaryota > Metazoa > Chordata > Mammalia > Primates > Hominidae > Homo > Homo sapiens. Next base: position 107,840,342 of record NC_000002.12, read on the forward strand.
TCGCTCTGTTGCCCAGGTTGGAGTTCACTGGCGCAATCTCGGCTCACTGCCACCTCCGCCTCCCAGGTTCAAGCAATTCTCCTGCCTCAGCCTTCCGGGTAGCTGGGACTACAGGCACATGTTACCGTGTCCCGCTTATTTTTGTATTTTTAGCAGAAACGGGGTTTCACCATGTTGGCCTGGCTGGTCTCGAACTCCTGACCTCATGTGATCTGCCCACCCCAGCCTCCCAAAGTGCTAGGATTACAGGCGTGAGCCACCGCGCCCAGCCAAGCATGTGACCTTTTGAGGTTGGCTTGTTCAGTCAGCATAATACCATTTGTGATCCATATTAAGTTTTGTATATCCATAGTTGGTTCCTTTACTTCTGAGTAGTATTTCATGGTCCACAATTTAACCTTTCACTTTTTTTATTTCTATTTTTTTGAGACAGAGTCTTGCTCTGTCGCCCATGCTGGAGTGCAGTGGTGCTATCTTGGCTCACTGCCACTTCTGCCTCCCGGATTCTCAGGTGATCCACCCACTTTGGCCTCCCAAAGTGCTGGGATTACAGGTGTGAGCCACTGTGCCCAGCCTTAACCATTCACTTTTGAGGGGCATTTTGGTTATTTCTAGGTTTTGGCTATTGTTCAACTGCTATGAACAATCATGTCCAGATTTTTGAAGCTGAAAAAGCATTGAAGATGCTTCCAAAGATAAATATTACTGCTAAGTTTTTCTCCCCAGTAATAAGCAGCTGGATTTTAAATATTAGTCTAAAACATGAGGTCTAATTGTGCAGATTTCTTTACTCTCTTAGGTGTTATGCCTCAAACATAACTCCCATATTGGGCGTGGCAATCCAGTTAATCTGGTGTCAGTAGTGTTAAAGAACATATGTAATGGTAGGAGATTCTTTTCTTGCAGTGTAACAAGTTAGATACTTTGAAGCATTCTTTAAAGATTTTCTTTAATAACTTGAAGGCACTGTTACACCTTTCCTGTATCAGATTTTTTTTTTTGGAATTGAAATCCATGAGATTTATAACTGTCATGCAAAGTAATTCCATTTCTCCTAAAATTTAAGGCTTGCTAAGGTAAACAGTTTCTGACATTTGTTTAATGAATGAGAGTATTACTGTTGAGAAGGCTTTTTCTCTCAAGTATGAGATAGAACTTTTTAAAAGCACTCATAGTGGTTTTTAAAAAAATGTTTAACATAGAGTCAAAGACTAGGGCTTTTGCAATAGGGAGAGGCCAGGGTTTCATCCATCTCATCCAGAAGAGGAGAAATTGATAAAGGAGAGAGGGGAATGAAATACAGAGTAGTAATGGGCGGCTTGGTCTTGAGAGTTGGGGAAAGACGAGTTTAAGTAGGTAAGGTAAAATGGAATTTATATGTGATAGCATCAGGTTTCTCAGTGAAGGATGAATCTAGGTTATAAGTTGAAAGTGAGGGTCAAAGGAAGGTATGGGGAAGTTGAGGAAATAGGAGGAGGTGTGAAGTGTCAGGGAGTGGAGAAAGTGAGTCTGTTAGTACTAAAATGGTATTTTGTTTTAGGCAGCACCAGTTTGATGGTTGAGATAATGCAAATGAAATCAGTTAGCTTGGGGTTATGATTTCCCAAATCTAAGCACACAGAAACCAGTTGGGAGGGTTCTGAGGAAAAGAGGGAATTAGTTGAAGGGATCTGTAAGCAAACAGTAATTATGGATATAAGGGATTATAGCATTTTTTGCCTGACAGAAGAAAGTGTGTGTATTTATATGTGTTTACAGGTGTTTAAAACTTGATGATGTTATTGTCTTGAAGGGAGCTTGTCATGTGGTATTTCTGAAAGTAAGGGTATGTAGGCCCTCAGTGAGGTGGAAGAATAAGAAGGATGGTATGGTGGTTTCGGTGGTATGACCAAAATGCAGATTTTGAAGACCTGTGTCAGTGGCAAGTGGATGGTTGAGGTTGGAGTGGAGGATAACATCACTGGAGATGAGGTGATTAAGGAACTGAGTAGTCAGCCTGGGCAACACGGCAAGACCCCATCTCTACAGAACGTTAAAAAAAAATTAGCCGGGCATGGTGGTGCATGCCTATGGTCCTAGCTTCTTGAGAGGCTGATGGAAGAGCATCGCAAATGAGAAGTGAGTGGCCACAAACCCTACTTCCTCTCCTTGTATGTAAGTTCAGAGAGAAAAAGCCATCATGGTAGTGGGGGTTATCCTGAGATGATACTGTCTTCATTTAAGGTCAGGAGGTGATGACAGTGCTTTGAGATGATGATGAAGGTAACAGAACAGTGGGAGGAGAGGGGATGCGGGATTGAGTCAGATTTAAGGAGATACAGAGCAGTTTGAGCATAAGGACCTTGTTGCTGAGGATTGACTGGGGAGGTCTAGGCTTCTGATGGTGACTCAGATGGACAGGGATGTGTGGCAATAGTCCTGGTAGTCTCTGAAGAGAGTATGAGCTACCGCAGTAATCACAGATGCTTTTCTTCACATACAGTTCTTGAGGCTTAGTTTCTGGGTTGTAAGCAACTCTCAGAAGGGACGAATAAGGTATATAGGATGGTGTTTTTGGTGGCATCATCATAAAACTAGACATAGTGGAATGGTGCTTTTTGGGAGCATGACTTGTTTAAAATTGCACAAGTGTTACTCTAATAATTTTTCTTTTTCCCCTCTAAATAGGAACAGCTTCTAGATTGTGAAGGTGAAGATGGATGGAATAAACTTTTTGACTTGATTCAGTCAGAACTTTATGTAAGACCTGATGACGTCCATGTGAACATCCGGCTAGTGGAGTTGTATCGCTCAACTAAAAGATTGAAGGATGCTGTGGCCCGCTGCCATGAGGCAGAGAGGAACATAGCTTTGCGTTCAAGTTTAGAGTGGAATTCGTGTGTTGTACAGACCCTTAAGGTAGATAAAAGCTATTGGGTCTTTACATTTCTATGTAGGCAATTAGCATACATCTTTTTGTACTAAAGCAGCAGTGCCCCGCAGGACTTAAATTTCTTTTATTTAGGTAGAACAGTTATAAAACGAAATTTTTACCAGGATCAGTTGAATTTATAATGGGAAAATTGGGGAGATAACTATGATAAATGTGTATATTTTTGGTGTTTTCATTTATAAGGTTGATGTAAAAATCAATGTAGTTTCACAAACGTGGTTGGAGTGAGAAAAGGAATTTGTAGGCATAAAATGGTTAATTTCTTAACACTTGATTAAGTTTTGTAACTTACTATTCATTCCACAAAATAGGAATATCTGGAGTCTTTACAGTGTTTGGAGTCTGATAAAAGTGACTGGCGAGCAACCAATACAGACTTACTGCTGGCCTATGCTAATCTTATGCTTCTTACGCTTTCCACTAGAGATGTGCAGGAAAGTAGAGAATTACTGGAAAGGTGCGTTGACTTTGAGGAGAATGCTTTAGTATAAATTGTAGTTTTTCTTTTTGCAGTAAGTTCATTGCTCTAAATTTCTTTACTGAATCATTATTTCTATAATGTACCTAGGAGTTATAGTTAATACAGTGAACCACTAGGAGGCAATCTTATTTTTCTTCTTTTACGGGGAAGTTCTAATTGGTTTTATATGACTTTCCTTTTTAGAGAACTCTTATAGTTCAAGCTTGATTAAAATTAGCCTTATGGTTAAATACTCAGTTTTGTCATAGTCAAGCTTAAAATGAATGTTCTAACTGCTATTTCATATTTTATTTTTTTATAATAGTATAATCTTGAGTGAAAATTAAGGTTCATCTGTCATCAGATGGCTAGGTTCACATGTACTAGTATAAGCACTTAGCATCACTGGTGTTTCAGAAAATACTGTTTTAGCTAAGAAACAAAATAACTCAACTATGTGATTTACCTTTTTTCCTAAATTTTGATTTTGAAAACCAGTGTCTCCATTTTGAAAATAAATTCCATTGAACAAAAACATCACTTGGATTTGTATAAAGATGTTAGTTTAGAGCAGGGGTTGTTGATTAGAACTTGTGGGCCAAATATGGCCCCTGCCTAATTTTGTTAATATTTATTGGAATGCAGCATGCCTCTGTTTATGTATTGTCTGTGGCTGCTTACATACTACAAGATTGGAGTTGAGTGGTTGCAGCAGAGATTGTATGCCTGTAAAGCCAGATTAGTAATCTCCTCCTTTTTGTAGAAAAAGTTTACTGATTGCTAGTTTAGGCTGTCCATTTGTTTGGAAGTTAATTTATTTCCCCATCTGGTATAAGGAAAGAAGTTCATTTCACTGAGTGCAGGGAGTAGGTAATTTTCTTGAAAAAGTACATAGTGTCCTAAATTGGTAGGGTAAGAACAGTATCTAAAAGAACTAACATAACTTTAAGATTATTTTAGAAAACATGTAGGATGTTTTATTTTGTGTTCTTTGTATACTCAAATTTTTTGGTCACAAGTTCCTTTTACATTTTTCTTAAGGACATCAAAGATGTTTGTATGTGGGTTCCTTTCTTTCTTTCTTTCTTTCTTTTTTGTTTTTTTTTTTTTTTTTTTTTTTTGAGAGGGAGTCTTGCTCTGTCACCAGGCTGGAGTGCAGTGGCACGACCTTGACTCACTGTAACCTCTGCCTCCCGGGTTCAGGCGATTCTCCTGCCTCAGCCTCCTGAGTAGCTGGGACCACAGGCGCACACCACCACGCCCAGCTAATTTTTGTATTTTTAGTAGAGACGGGGTTCAGGATGGTCTCAATCTCTCTTTTTTTTTTTGAGACTGAGTCTTGCTCTCGCCAGGTTGGCATGCAGTGGTGCAGTCTCAGCTCACTGCAACCTCTGCCTCCTGGGTTCAAGTGATTCTCTTGTCTCTGCCTCCTGAATAGGTGGAACTACAGGTGCCCGACACCACACCTGGCTAATTTTTTTTTTTTTTTTTTTTTTTTTTTTTTTTTTTTTTTTTTTTTTTTTGAGACAGAGTCTCGCTCTGTCACCCAGCCTGGAGTACAGTGGCGCAATCTCGGCTCACTGCAAGCTTCACAATTTCCTCTCAATGCTCTGAATAAGAGCTTATCCTCCTGCCTCAGGTTGTTCCCCACCAGGAAGCCCCAGGAGGGCCCTGAGGACAGCCCTTGGCCCTCAGAGGGGGAGGCTCAGGAGGGGAGATGACCATGGGAATGGAGTCACTCGGGAGAATCTGGACCATGAGGGGTTACTTGGGGGCCTGAAGGGAGGACCCTGAGGAAGATAAAAAGCTGGTGCCACCCTAGGCAGTTTCACAGTGTGGCTTAGGGCTGTGGGTGACAGATGGTTTGTCAGATCAGTTAATCAGGACTCATGGGCCCTTTGTTACCCGCCTTGTGAACCTCCCAGGTTCACACCATTCTTCTGCCTCAGCCTCCTGAGTAGCTGGGACTACAGGCGCCCACCACCACGCTCGGCTAATTTTTTTGTATTTTTAGTAGAGACGGAGTGTCACCTTGTTAGCCAGGATGGTCTCGATCTCCTGACCTCGTGATCTGCCCTCCTCGGCCTCCCAAAGTGTTGGGATTACAGGCGTGAGCCACCGCGCCCAGCCCACACCTGGCTAATTTTTGTATTTTTAGTAGAAACAGGGTTTCATCATGTTGGCCAGGATGGTCTCGATCTTTTTTTTTTTGAGACGGAGTCTCGCTCTGTTGCCCAGGCTGGAGTGCAGTGGCGCCATCTCGGCTCACTGCAAGCTGTGTCTCCAGGGTTCACGCCATTCTCCTGCCTCAGCCTCCCGAGTAGCTGGGCCTACAGGTTCCTGCCACCACACCCAGCTAATTTTTTGTATTTTTAGTAGAGATGGGGTTTCACTGTGTTAGCCAGGATGGTCTTGATATCCTGACCTTGTGATCCGCCTGCCTCAGCCTCCCAAAGTGCTGGGATTACAGGCATGAGCCACCGCGCCCGGCTGGTCTCGATCTCTTGACCTCTTGATCTGTCTACCTTGGCCTCCCAAAGTACTGGAAGGTCTCAATCTCTTGACATCGTGATCCGCCTGCCTTGGCCTTCCAAAGTGCTGGGATTGCAGGTCTGAGCCACTGCACCCGGCCGTATGTGGGTTATTTCTGTCAGTGTTTATTACATTAGAAATTAAAACAAATAAAAAATGTAATCCATTAAAAATGTAATAAGCCCTACTGTGTGTTAATAATTATAGCTTTTTTTTTTGAGACGGAGTTTTGCTCTTGTTGCCCAGGCTAGAGTGCAACAGTGTGATCTCGGATCACTGCAACCTCTGCTTCCCAGGTTCAAGCGATTCTCCTGCCTCAGCCTCCCAAGTAGCTGGAATTACAGGTGCCCACCACCACGCCTGGCTAATTTTTTGTATTTTTAGTAGAGATAGGGTTTCACCATGTTGGCTAGGCTGGTCTTGAACTCCTGACCTCAGGTGATCCACCCGCCTCAGCCTCCCAAAGTGCTGGAATTACATGTGTGAGCCACCGCACAGGGCCAATAATAGCATTTTTTATGAAAAATAATTATTTTCCAACAGCAAAAAAGTAGTCAGAAAAGTGTCATTGTTTTTGCATTTTTGTAAATCTTTTTAATGTCTCGCTTAATAGAACATAGCTAGATTCTCATTTACTTCCTCTTTCAGTCTGTAAAACTATTACATGTCATGAAGCCTCTAGAAAACTCAGCTCAGCGGGGCGCGGTGGCTCAGGCCTGTAATCCCAGCACTTTGGGAGGCCAAGGCGGGTGGATCACGAAGTCAGGAGATCGAGACCATCCCAGCTAACAATGGTGAAACCTTGTCTCTACTAAAAATACAAAAAATTAGCCGGGCATGTTGGTACGCGCCTATAGTCCCAGCTGCTCGGGAGGCTGAGGCGGAAGAATCGCTTGAACCTGGGAGTCAGAGGTTGCAGTAAGCCAAGATTGTGCCACTGCACTCCAGCCTTGTGACAGAGTGAGATTCTGTCTCCAAAAACAAAAACAAAAAAACTCAGCTCTACATACATGAGAAAATGAGTATGTAATATATAAATTTTTTTGGTATTATTGTAAAAGTAATTTTAGCTTCATGGATCCCCTGAAGGGGTTTTTGAGCACCCTCAGAGATCTTTAGACCTCACTTGCTCTGGTTGCTTTATTGTAAGCCACTTTAAAATCATGCTTCACGTTTAAGTGTTTGCTTTTTGCTTTTACTTTTCTTCCAAAGTGAGGATTTGGAGAAACATTAGGATTTAGAAGAACTAATTTAGAATATAGATTACAAATAATAGGCCAGGCATAGTGGCTCATGCCTGTAATCCCGGCACATTGGTAAGCTGAGGCGGGCGGATCGTGAGGTCAGGAGTTCGAGACCAGCCTGGCCAATATAGTAAAACCCTGTCTCTACTAAAAATATAAAAAAAGTTTATCGGGGCATGGTGGCAGGTGCCTGTAATCCCAGCTACTCAGGAGGCTGAGTCGGGAGAATCACTTGAACCTGGGAGGTGGAGGTTGCAGTGAGCTTAGATCGTGCCATTGCACTCCAGCCCAGGCGATAGTGAGAGACTCCGTCTCAAAAAAAAAAAAAAAAAAAAAGACAATTTATTTAATGCTGTAATGATCTATATAGTAAAAAGAGCAATTACTGTATTGATACTCAAATACCTGTCAATTATTTACTTATAATTTGGAAATGCTATGTCTAATTTGAGAAATTACAACTGTTAATTAAATAATGAAATTATATGATCAGGAAGAAACTACAAAATAGTCTCCCAACTTTATCCTGGTTTATTTTGAAATGTGCACCTATAATCACTAATCTTATATTTATCCTGTGATTGGAGGGCTGGAAATAACTGGGAATAAGACATCATTTGAGAGGTTAAGCATGAAGTATAGGAAGTATGCAGGATAAAAATAAGCATTAGATGATTCATAATTTATAACACGGGGAATAAGAATTATTAGAAGTTGAATGTGGAAGATGAAGCTTGAAATAAAATTTTTATTTTGTTTTGAATTAAATGAACCATGATTATTCACAGTGCAGTAAGTGTGTATCATCTGTTTGATATTTTCATATTACAGTTTTGATAGTGCTCTTCAGTCTGCGAAATCTTCTTTGGGTGGAAATGATGAACTGTCAGCTACTTTCTTAGAAATGAAAGGACATTTCTACATGCATGCTGGTTCTCTGCTCTTGAAGATGGGTCAGCATGGTAATAATGTTCAATGGCGAGCTCTTTCTGAGCTGGCTGCATTGTGCTATCTCATAGCATTTCAGGTAAGTCTTCCACTTGGAGCAATTGACATTTCACGGAGTCTTGATGTGTTTTAAATGAAGGTGTGCTCTGGTATGTAATGACAATATGTGAACAAACCTGTGGAATTAAAGTTGAAATGAAATAGTCAATTTGATACAGTGGAAAATAACTAAGCATACACAATACTGGTGAGGCTGGTGAAACAGGGATGTTGAGTGCACTCTTGTCGAAAGCCTGCATTGCCATGATTTGTTTGTAGACAAATTTGAAGAGTTTGATCTTTTTACTCTGCCATTTTTGGGAACATGATAAAGATGTAATCTCGTATGATGGGTAAACTTGATTCAAAAAGATGTGTTACTTGGACAAAATCCTAATAAGTAGATGTAGGGCAATGGCTTTATAGCCTATGATAGAAGAATATGATTGCAGTTTAACATGTTAATTGAAACACATGTATATAACATTTATGACTGTATTGTGTATATGTAACAGTATATCTATTAATCTTTGAAAACATAAAACCTTTTCTTATTTTTTATTTTTTTATTTTTTTTGAGACCAAGTCTCTCTCTGTTGCCAGGCTGGAGTGCAGTGGCGTGATCTCGGCTCACTGCAGCCTCCACCTCCTGGGTGCAAGTGATTCTCCTGCCTCAGCCTCCCGAGTAGCTGGGACTACAGGCCCGTGCTACCAAGCCCAGCTAATTTTTTGTATTTTTAATAGAGATGGGGTTTCACCATGTTGGCCAGGATGGTCGCAATCTCTTGACCTCGTGATCTACCTGCCTTGGTCTCCCAAAGTGCTGGGATTACAGGCGCGAGGCACTGCGCCTGGCGCGCCTGGCCTTTTTTTTTTTTTTTTTTTTTTGAGACGGAGTCTCGCTCTGTCGCCCAGGCTGGAGTGCAGTGGCACGATCTCGGCTCACTGCAAGCTCCACCTCCCGAGTTCACGCCATTTTCCTGCCTCAGCCTCCTGAGTAGCTGGGACTACAGGCACCCGCCACCACACCTGGCTAATTTTTTTTTTGTACTTTTAGTAGAGACGGGGTTTCACCATGTTAGCCAGGATGGTCTCAATCTCCAGACCTAGTCATCCACCTGCCTCAGCCTCCCAGAGTGCTGGGATTTACAGGCGTGAGCCACCATGCCCAGCCTTTTTTTTTTTTTTTTTTTAATGAGCCTGCATAACTTTTGAAAGGAAAAGAAATAAGCAGTCTTCCAAAAAAGCATTAAACCAGGCTTAGAAAAATGATTAATTTTAGAGAAGGATTTTTTGCTTAGGGAGGGAAAAAAAAGGATTCATTACTTTTAGAGAAGGCCCCTCCTAATATAAATCTTTTTTTCTTTTTGAGACGGAGTTTTGCTCTTGTTGCCCAGGCTGGAGTGCAATGGCGCCATCTGGCTCACTGCAACCTCCGCCTCCCGGGTTCAAGCGATTGTCCTGCTTCAGCCTCCCGAGTAGCTGGGATTACAGGCACACGCCACCACGCCCATCTAATTTTGTATTTTTAGTAGAGACAAGGTTTCTCCATGTTGGTCAGGCTGGTCTTGAGCTCCTGAACTCAGGTGATCTGCGCGTCTCGGCCTCTCAAAGTGCTGGGATTACAGGCAGTGAGCCACCATGCCCTGCCTAATATAAATCTTTTTATTTTTATTTGAGACGGAGTCTCGCTCTGTCACCAGGCTGGAGTGCAGTGGCGCAATCTCAGCTCACTGCAACCTGTGTCTCCTGGGTTCAAGTGATTCTCCTGCTTCAGTCTGTCACGTATCTGGGATTACAGGCACACACCACCATGCCTGGCTAATCTTTTGTATTTTTTAATAGAGATGGGGTTTCACCATGTTAGCCAGGATGGTCTCGATCTTCTGACCTCGTGATCCACCTGACTCGGCCTCTCGAAGTGCTGGGATTACAGGCATGAGCCATTGAGCCCGGCCTGTAAATCTTTTAAAAACACCGTTGATAGACAGTTCACATGTTAAGTGCTAATATTTGCTCAGTAGAAACTTCTGTGTTCATAAGGAATGGATTAGTGAAAATTAATGGATTTAGTGAGGTTCACTAGGTAATACAAACATTAAAAGGTTCTTATAGAAATTCTCAAGTAACTGATAGTTCTTATTTTTATTTATTTTATTTTTTTTTTTGAGACGGAGTCTCACTCTGTCGCCCAGGCTGGAGCACAGTGGCACGACCTCGGCTCACTGCAAGCTCCGCCTCCTGGGTTCACGCCATTCTCCTGCCTCAGCCTCCCGAGTAGCTGGGACTACAGGCACCCACCACCACGCCTGGCTAATTTTTTTGTATTTTCAGTAGAGATGGGGTTTCACCGTGTTAGCCAGGATGGTCTCGATCTCCTGACCTCATGATCTTGGCCTCCCAAAGTGCTGGCATTACAGGCGTGAGCCACCGCGCCCTGCCAATAGTTCTTATTTTTAATGGAAACTTTAAAATTTATCTGTCTGTGTGTCTATTAGAGTCTTGCTGTGTCACCCAGGCTGGAGTGCAGTTGCGTAATCGTAGCTCACCGTAACATTGAACTGGGCTCGAGCTTCCCAGAGTGCTGGGATTATAGGTGTGAGCTACTGCGCACAGCCTACAATTTTTTGATATGTAGTTTTGGGAGGTGCTGTGGCTGGAGTGCAGTGGCATGATCATAGCTCACTGCATCCTCGAACTCCTGGGCTCAGGTGATCCTCTCCTGCTTCAGCCTCAGCTCGGTAGCTGGGACTACAGGTGCCTGCCACCATGCCTGGCTACATTGTTAAATTTTTTGTAAAGACAAGGTCTTGCTATGTTTCCCAGGCTGGTTGGTCTTGAACTCCTGGCTTCAAGTGATCCTTCTGCCTTGCCCTCCCAAAGTGCTGAGATTACAGGTATGAGCCACCACACCTGACTGTGAACTTTTAATCATAATAAGTTAGTTTCCCTCTTAATCCATTCACTCAGGTCTCCTTTCCTAGATGACAGCTACTGTTAGGAGTTTCTTGGGTGTTCAGAAATATTTTTTGCATATGCAAATGTGCAATACATTCTTTCTCTGCTTTTAAAAAATATTGTGCCTCAATGTGGGTGTGCTTTACCTATTGCCAGATGCCTTGCTTTTCTAAATGTTTCTTCATTGTTCCACTTCAGCACAGAGATACCTACCTCAGTCTTTATTAACTACCACATATTTCTGTAGAATGAATATATAATAGAAACATCTTAGATGCTTGTATTTTATTTTATCAGTTTATTTTAAAGCTTAATGATCAAATGATTATAAGCATAAAATGTAGGTTATGTGCTGGCATTTGGGTATGTAAGAATTGGCTAACTTTTATGGCAAGATTTTCAGACTCTTAATCAGAGGAATACTGTGGTTCTAGTAAGTACATCTGCATTGCAGCTAGGTAGTTGACAAAGTATCTTGAAACCTTTTAGTTAAGATGAGGAAATAGCTAGGCGTGGTGGCTCACGCCTATAATCTTAGCACTTTGGGAGGCTGAGGCGGGCGGATCACTTGAGGTCAGGAGTTTGAGACCATCCTGACCAACATGGTCAAACCCCATCTCTACTAAAAATAGAAAAATTAGCCACGCATGGTGGCGGGTGCCTGTAGTCCCAGCTACTTGAGAGGCCGAGACAGGAGAATTGCTTGAAACCAGGAGGCGGAGGTTGCAGTGAGCCGAGATCGTGCCACTGCAGCACTGCAGCACTGCAGCCTGGCAACAGAGCGAGACTCCATCTCAAAAAAAAAAAAAAAGGAAATAGTGAATTGAGATGATTTGATTGAGTGGATTCACAACTAATTAACTGGTCACAAATTCAACTGTTGAATAATTTTGTAAAAGAGGCCGGGTTTATGAATTGAGGTCAGTTTGAAAACAAAAAGAATGATGTCAACATTTTGTTTCTTATTTTGTGTGCTCTTTTCAACATATAGATGACAAACTTTGACATGATGTTTAGAAAACTTGTGAGTAAAAGGATAGGCGATACGAATATTTCTAAAATTCAAAATCAGAAGCTTTTAGGTTCATAAATCATATATTTTGAAAAATGAGCATATTTGGAAAGAATTATATATACATGGTTTAAAATTCTGGAGGCTCTTAAGAATATGCTATGAAGACTCCTTTCTGTTCCCTAGTTATTTACTTTCTCCACCCCCAAAGAAACTAATGTTATTGCTTTCTTGTGTGTTCTTCAGGAAATGTTTTATGCATCTCCAAGTAAACACACATATATCCCCTGTCTTTAAAAGAAGGAGGAAAACGTTTGAACATTGCATTTACTTTATTTCCATTAACTGTATCTTGGAGATGTTTCCATGTCAGTATATATAAAGGGTATTCTCATTAGTTTGGATGCTTGCATATTATTCCATTGTATGGATGTACTGTAGTTTTGGAGTTTTTAAAACCAGGGTCCTAAAGCCAGGACATTAGCTTGCTTTTACTTTTTTTTTTAAATGCTACTTCAAGTAATTTAGCAATGATTAACTTGTGCCATGAATTCCTGAAAGAATTGCAGTATCAAAGTATATCTGTGCATTTATAATTTTTAGAGCTGTTGCCAAATATCTAACCCTAAAGAGGTTGTATCAAATTACATTTCCACCACCAATTAAGAAAGTGGTGATAGAATTAAAAGCCGATGCTCTAGTCACCCATATAGTTACTTTTGGCATGTTTCTAGTAAGTGGGCATTGCCTATGACTGGACGTTTTCAGTGATGGACATTCATTACTTTTCAAGATAGCCCAGTGCATCTTTAGGTGGTTTGGCTCTTGGTACTTCCTTATATAGAATAAAAATATTCTTCAAGCCTTCTACCTGTTGGTCTTGTTTCTTCTTTTGATGATTTCTTTTATAAAATAATTTTAATATTTGAAGGCAGCTGTCACGTCTTCCCTTCGCCATTCTATTCATCATGCTTTTTTTTTTCCATAGGTTATTGCATGAGGATCTCTTTAATTTCCTGGTTGTCCCATTTATTCCAGTGCTATCCCCTATTATCCATACTCTGAAAATGTGTTATCTACAATGTGGCATTTCCAAGTGTCATTTCACCTGTACTTTTTAAAGTAGGGTGTCATATCTACTCAAATAGGACAACATCTGCTGTTGTCCTATTTATGCAGGGTAGAAAAGTAATGTAATTAAATTTTCCATTTCTCTGAATGTAACATGAATGTGCTTTTAGTAGAAACTAATTTCTCAGAGCTGCTCTGTGTATGCTTTTTTTTTTTTTTCTTTTGTTGGAGATAGGGTCTCACTCTGTCGCCCAAGCTGGAGCACAGTGGCATGATCATGGCTCACTGCAGCCTTGACCTCCTGGATTTAAGTGATCCTCCTGCCTCAGCCTCCTGAGTAGCTGGGACCACAGGTGTGTGCCACCATGCCTGGCTAATTAAAAAAAACTTTTTTTAGAGATAGGGTCTCACCGTGTTGTTCAGGCTGGTCTTGAACTCTGGGCTCAAGTGATCCCCCCACCTTGGCCTCCCAAAGTGCTGGGATTACAGGTGTGAGCCAACATGTCTGGCCCCTCTCTTTTTTTTTTTTTTTTTTGCGATGGAGTCTCGCTCTTTCACCCAGGCCGGAGTGCAATGGCACAGTCTCGGCGCACTACAACCTCTGCCTCCCAGGTTCAAGCTATCCTTGTGCCTCAGCCTCCTGTGTAGCTGGAATTAACAGGTGTGTGCCACCACGCCTGGCTCTTTGTTTTTTTTTTTTATTTTTAGTAGAGACTGGGTTTCACCATGTTGGCCAGGCTGGTCTCGAACTCCTGACCTCAAGTGATCAGCCCACCTTGGCCTCCCAGACAGAGTGTTGGGATTACAGGTGTGAGCCACCACGCCTGTACCTGGCCTATCTTTCATAGGTTATATAAATTCCTTGGTTCCCAGTTTTTGCAGTCTTTTCCAATTCAGTTTAATTAATGGTTAACTGTTCATTCATTATCAAAAAAAGTACAGTGTAATAGATAAGACCATGTTACTATTAGAAGTATGGGTATCATCAAATTAAGATTTTTGATTCTAAAATTATTAGGTTCCAAGACCAAAGATTAAATTAATAAAAGGTGAAGCTGGACAAAATCTGCTGGAAATGATGGCCTGTGACCGACTGAGCCAATCAGGTAATAGTAATATTAAACTAATTTAATTTAAAAAGAAAAAGGAATTTCTGTTAAGGCATATCTTATGATAAAATCTCCATCTGTCCAGGAGATAATTTGTCAAAATTATTTCTTTTCGCCGTATCAGTTAAGAGCAATAGGTATGGAAGAGATGCGAAGAAATAGCACATTCTTTTAAAAAAATGAATATTTGATATTGTTTGTTCCTATGTGGAGAGGATTTCTTAACTCTTTCTTCATCTGGCTGCTAGAGCCTCTATCCTGAATATTTAGTCACTTCCTGAACTAAGTATAATTATTGATTTGCCAACCATTTAACACCAGCTGATTCTAAAAACACTGCTGTGGGGATATAAAGATGAAGAAGATACGCATCTGTCTTAAAGAACTGAGAGCATAGTGAGGAAGATAGAAGATATATACTTACCTTATATTAGGCTCTTGGAATTTGTGGATTTTTTCCCCCATTTTTGGCTTGGGATGAATCCTAAAGGTCTGTTGCGTATTACCTGTGATTTTGCTAAGATACAAACTTTAAGGTAGTTAGATGGCCATTGAATCAAGCAGTGAACTGAAGAAACATAATGCTTTCTATAAGGAGCAGTTCTGATATAAAATTGGATGAATTTTGTAAAGAGCAAGATGTAATATTAATCAAAGTTATTATAAGCTTTGGTGTATAGTTAGGCTGTTGGCCAAAGCTCACATTGCTCTTTTATTCCATAGCCCACTTTTTTTGTGGGAGTTAGGCTTTCAGTCCTTAAAGTGACTTTCTACTTTTTTCCTTTTCTCTTTTCCTTCTACCCTTGCAGGGCTCTCATAAGTGCCTTTGCGTGGTGTCACAGTTAGATAAAAATTGCCTGTATTTTTTTTTATGTCTTTGATCTGGGCATCCCGAGGGTGCCTCTGTAAGTGTGCTGAGACACAACTGTGTAGTGGTAACCAAACCTAATTGCCCAGCAGAATTAACTCGAAGGAGGGTTTTTTTAAAAAGTTCAATTGAAATATAATTCGTATACCATACGCTTCACCCATTTAAAGTGTACAGTTCAGTGGCTTTTACTATGTTCATAGAGTATTATCACTGTCACCACAGTCAGTTTTAGAAGATTTTCATCACTCCATGAGGAATTCCTTACCTATTAGCAGTTACTCCCCATTTTACCCAAACCTCTCAGCCTTGGCAACCGCTAATCTGTCTCTGTAGGTTTGCCTCTTCTGAACATTTCACATAAATGGAATCATATAGTATGTGGTCTTTTGTGACTGGCTTCTTTCATTTAGCAAGGTTTTCAAGGTTCATCTGTGTTATAGCATGTATCAGTACTTTATCCGAGGACTATGATTTTTTGATTGCTTACTGTAAACCTATGGCATAAAAATCTCTGGGAACAAGGCCTGGAAATAATTCTTTTTTTTTTTTTTTTCCTGAGACAGTCTTACTCTGTCGCCCGGGCTGGAGTGCAGTGGCGTGATCTCGGCTCACTGCAAGCTCCGCCTCCCGGGTTCACACCATTCTCCTCCCTCAGCCTCCCCAGTAGCTGGGACTACAGGCACCCGCCACCAGGGCCGGCTAATTTTTTTTGTGTGTGTATTTTTAGTAGAGATGGAGTTTCACTGTGTTAGCCAGGATGGTCTTGATCTCCTGACCTCATTATCCACCCAGCTTGGCCTCCCAAAGTGCTGGGATTACAAGCATGAGCCACCATGCCCAGCTGGAAATAATTCTTAAAAGCTGTTTAAAGGAGGATTCTGATGAGCCAGGTTTAGAAATCAGTGTATCAGATCAGAGAATAAGAGCTTGTCCCTGTTCTCCTATGGCCACTTAAATCCAGACCTTTTCATCTAAAATGCAAATACGTTTGGCATTTTTCATACACATTCCTGTCTTTTTTCCCCCTTCTGCTGTCTTATGTAGATACTGAGAATATTAAACCTGTACTCTTTTCATTTGCTACATAAGCACCCGTTTTGTTGTCCAGCTGTATTTTTTGGGTTGGAGGGTTAGGTCTGCAATAATCATATTATTTCCCCTTTGGGTATACAAATGAGACAACGTGAGCAAATACAATCTGTATTTTTAAAGTGATGGAAATAACTTAAATTTTTTTTTCAGGGCACATGTTGCTAAACTTAAGTCGTGGCAAGCAAGATTTTTTAAAAGTGGTTGTTGAAACTTTTGCCAACAAAAGCGGGCAGTCTGCATTATATGATGCTCTGTTTTCTAGTCAGTCACCTAAGGATACATCTTTTCTTGGTAGCGATGATATTGGAAACATTGATGTACAAGAACCAGAGCTTGAAGATTTGGCTAGATACGATGTTGGTAAGTTATATGTTTCAGAGGAAATGGTCTCCGTCTTAATTCTTATAAATTGCCCATAATCTTATTACCCAGAAATAACGACTTAATATTTTCCTGTATTCCTTTTGTGTGTGGGTTGGGCTGGGGGGAGTTTGAATGTGGTGCTGTGGGGGTGGCATGTATTTTTTGTTGTTGTTGTTGTTTTTGAGACCAAGTTTTGCTCTTGTCGCCCATGCTGGAGTGCAGTGGTGCGATCTCGGCTCACTGTAACCTCTGCCTCCCGGGTTCAAGTGATTCTACTGCCTCAGTCTCCCAAGTAGCGGGATTACAAATGCCCACCACCATGCCCGGCTAATTTTTTTGTAGTTTTAGTAGAGACAGGGTTTCATCATGTTGGTCAGGCTGGTCTCAAACTCCTGACCTCAGGTGATCCACCTGCCTTGGCCTCCCAAAGTGCTGGGATTACAGGTGTGAGCCACCGTGACCAGCCTTGTTGTATTTTGAGACAGGGTCTCGCTGTGTCACCTGGGCTGGAGTGTAGTGGCGTGATCGTAGGTCACTGCTGCCTTGAACTTCTGGGCTCAAGGGATTCTCTTGCCTCAGCCTCCTGAGTAGCTGGTACCATAGGCACATGCCACTCGGCCCAGATAATTTTTTTTTTTAATTGGTAGAGACAGGGTCTCCCTTTGTTGCCCAGGCTAGTCTCCAACTCCTAGGCTCAAGTGATCCTCCTGCCTAAGCCCCCCAAAGTGTTGGGATTAAGCCTGACACAGTGGCTCATATCTGTAATCCCAGCACTTTGGGAGGCCGAGGCGGGCAGATCACCTGAGATCAGGAGTTCAAGACCATCCTGGCCAACATGGTGAAACCCCGTCTCTACTAAAAATACAAAAATTATCCGGGGGTGGTGGCATGTGCCTGTAGTCCCTACTCAGGAGGCTGAGGCAGGAGAATCGCTTCAACCTGGGAGGTGGAGGTTGCAGTGAGCCAAGATGACACTGCTGCACTACAGCCTGGGCGACAGAGCGAGACTTCGTCTCAAAAACAAAAAGTGTTGGAATTATAGGCATGAGCCACTGCATCTGGCCATATTTTTCATCTAAATGGTTATGTATGATTTATCTTGCTTCCTTCATGAATTCTCTCCCATAGTCTCTGTATTAAAACTATAAATATCACTTTTATTGGCAATATAATCTTTTTTATGAAGTAGTCATAATTTGCTTGCTACTTTCTGTTATTGGGCATCCAAGTTTTCTCAACTTTTCCACTGTTAATAATCATACTCTGATAAAAACTTCAACAAAAAGTGTCTTCATGGCAAGTTATTTCCATAGAGATACCTATAAACATAATTACTGAGACAAAGGACATGAACATCTTTAAGTCTTGCAAATTGCCAAAATGACAGAAAGATTATACCTCTTCATGCTTCCAGAAGCACATAACCTTTTCTTTTCTTTTCTTTTCTTTTCTTTTCTTTTCTTTTCTTTTCTTTTCTTTTTTTTGAGACAGAGTCTCACTCTGTCACCCAGGCTGGAGCACAGTGGCGCAATCTTGGCTCACTGCAACTTCCGCCTGCCAGGTTCAAGCAATTGTCTTGCCTCAGCCTCCCACGTAGCTGGGACTATAGGCACGTGACACCGTGCTCGGCTAATTTTTTGTATTTTTAGTAGAGGCGGAGTTTCACCATGCTGGCCAGGCTGGTCTCGAACTCCTGACTGCGCATAACCTTTTCAATATTGACTTTCTTGTAGAAAAACAGATTTCTTTACTGTACTGATGGATTATATAGTGGTGTTCCATTGCTTTAATGACTTAAAGGAAAACCCATTGTTTTGGGGTTTCTTATTAGGTTAGGTGTTCTTTATTTGGCTTTTGTCAGTTGATTTTGGTTTATTGAGTTCTAGTCAGTGTCATTTTTTAAGATGGACTTAAACATTCTTCATCACTACTATTTTTATTAAAATTTCTAGAAATAATCAAGTGAGAATGCATTTAATAAGAACATGAGATTTTGCCTAACATAGAATTCCCTCCAGCTTTGATATAGAAAAGCAGTTATATAATTAAGATATATATAATGTGAATTGTTTATGTTGGCAAAACTAATGGCACAAGGAAAAATTTCAAACCCTTAAGCCAATTTTTTTATTTTATTTCAGGTGCTATTCGAGCACATAATGGTAGTCTTCAGCACCTTACTTGGCTTGGCTTACAGTGGAATTCATTGCCTGCTTTACCTGGAATCCGAAAATGGCTAAAACAGCTTTTCCATCATTTGCCCCAGGAAACCTCAAGGCTTGAAACAAATGCACCTGAATCAATATGTATTTTAGATCTTGAAGTAAGCAAAGATTTTAACAAATTAAATATTCTGAATTTTGTTTAATTTTTTTTTCTAACTTAACTTTTCCTTAAATAAAACAGGTATTTCTCCTTGGAGTAGTATATACCAGCCACTTACAATTAAAGGAGAAATGTAATTCTCACCACAGCTCCTATCAGCCGTTATGCCTGCCCCTTCCTGTATGTAAACAGCTTTGTACAGAAAGACAAAAATCTTGGTGGGATGCGGTTTGTACTCTGATTCACAGAAAAGCAGTGTAAGTAGTAAAACAAAAATATTGCTTTCACTTAGTGCGTAGGTTTTACCAGGGATTTAATCCTCATGTGAAGATTTAATTTGTCATGTGACCCATTAACATATATGTATGTAAGCGCTGAACTGTGTATTTAGAAAGCAATTTTAGTAAATTGAACTATTTTTTAGACCTGGAAACTCAGCAAAATTGAGACTTTTAGTTCAGCATGAAATAAACACTCTAAGAGCCCAGGAAAAACATGGCCTTCAACCTGCTCTGCTTGTACATTGGGCAAAATGCCTTCAGAAAATGGTGAGTTTTAAAGTATAAGCATTTTAAAAGAACATTACCTTAATTTTTTAAAATCATGAACTTTTTATTGAAAGTTTTTTTGTTCTGAAAACAGCAGCTTTGTCATATTATGACAGATGTGTTTTTTATTGCTGCAAAATAGTTAATGTAGTTAAATATAAGCACTTAGAGGAGCAATGCCTGGCACACAGTGAATGTTACATATTAGCTGAGCTGTTACTGTTATTCCTTAATAATTAAGTTCTGATAATTATTTAGCCTGAAAATTAAAAAAAAATTAGCACAAGGCTTTGTAGGTAAGACCATTATAGATCTTTCTAAATATTTAAGGTGTGTTTTGTGTCACCATTAGGTGTAGATGGTCAGCCTTTTGAACAAACTGACACTACAGAAGAGGCAGGTTTCAGCTATCTAAAAATGGCAACTGTTAAAAAGCAGTTGGGATTGCTACGTTAGGGTGGTATCATTAGAAGCATTTAAAAGTTGAGTGTAGAGGCCGGGTGCGGTGGCTCACACCTGTAATCCCAGCACGTTAGGAGGCCGAGGCGGGCAGATCACAAGGTCAGGAGATCGAGATCATTCCTGGCTAACACGGTGAAACCCCGTCTCTACTAAAAATACAAAAAAAACTCTACTAAAACTACAAAATTAGCCAGACATGGTGGCAGGTGCCTGTAATCCCAGCTACTTGGGAAGCTGAGGCAGGAGAATTGCTTGAACCTGCACGGCAGAGGTTGCAGTGAGTTCACTGGTATTAAGGTGGTTTAGTTATTACAGTATTTAGAAGTTGAACAAATGACTATTGAGGTACCATTTGGTTTTGACTTGAAATTTTAGCCAGTTCTTACAACTTGTAAATGAACTTTAGATCTAATCATGCGTGTTCCTTAAAGTTGTGTGCTTTTAACTTTCTTTTTTAGGGCAGTGGTCTTAATTCTTTTTATGATCAACGAGAATACATAGGGAGAAGTGTTCATTATTGGAAGAAAGTTTTGCCATTGTTGAAGATAATAAAAAAGAAGAACAGTATTCCTGAACCTATTGATCCTCTGTTTAAACATTTTCATAGTGTAGACATTCAGGTAACAGAGTTCCTTTATGAATTTATTGGAGATGGGAATTTCCAGTTTATAAACAAAGACATGGAGCTATACACTGCTTAAATTAATTGCCTTGTTATTTAACGGTAATCTTGTTTTCTAAATTCACTAGCTCTCACAGATAAGATATGACAGAGAAGAATAATGAGATGTTTGTCTCTTAAGATCATATAAAATCTTTGGAAAATCATTTGGGTTTTATATTCTGAGTATAAACAATTTGACTAAAAACTATTCTGTGTGTTTAGGCATCAGAAATTGTTGAATATGAAGAAGACGCACACGTAACTTTTGCTATATTGGATGCAGTAAATGGAAATATAGAAGATGCTATGACTGCTTTTGAATCTATAAAAAGTGTTGTTTCTTATTGGAATCTTGCACTGGTAAGTAGATGCAGTACTTGAGCTAAAAGTTTTATTTATTTATTTATTATTTCTTTTAAAAGATGGGGTTTCTCTGCTGGCCAGGCTAGAGTGCAGTGGCACAATCTTGGCTCACTGCAACCTCTGCTTCCCAGGCTCAAGCGATTCTTGTGCCTCAGCTCCCGAGTAGCTGGGATTACAGGCATGAGCCACCATGCGTGGCCAAGCTGAAAGTTTTTTGTTTTAAAAAGCTAATGATTTCATAAAAGCATTATTTGTATAGATTTTTCACAGGAAGGCAGAAGACATTGCAAATGATGCCCTTTCTCCTGAAGAACAAGAAGAATGCAAAAATTATCTGAGAAAGACCAGGGGCTACCTAATAAAGATTTTAGATGACAGTGATTCAAATCTTTCAGTGGTCAAGAAAGTAAGTAGCAGGTTGTTGTATGTACGTTCTTACTGATAACCCACTGGTCAGTGTTTTTGCGTTGGTCTTATATTTTGGTAATTTCAAAAATACTCAGTAATATGTTGTTATTAATGCACAGAAGGGATGTGTGTGTCTAAATGCTTAGATTTGCTTGCTTTGTCTTAGGTTTGGTGTGTCTTTTTAAACTTGGGAATCTAGGTATATGCTCTTAAAAAGTACTTCTTGGGGAATTAGAAAAGATTTCTAAGATAAGACATTGATTTTGTTATCTTAGCAGTGTAATCAAAACAAATATTATAACCTCAGGACTAATTCTTAATGAACTTTGCTGAAATTGAAAGTTGTTGCTGACAACTTAAGAGCATTTCTTCTCATCGTCATCAGCCATTATGAACGCCCTTGTTTTCTTGCTGTCAGCTGTTTGAGATTGTCATGATGATGTTAAATTATGTTCAGTCTTCTGAGTGTTTTGTTGGTTAATTTGTGTTACTACTCTTTTATTAGGATTTATGTTGTCTGGTGTATTGTAGCATCTGTATTTCTGTCACCATTGAAAATCAGTTAGAAAACATCAGTAACTTATTTTGTTCACTTGGAAAAGCTTTCCAAGTTAACATTCCTCTACAATTATCATGGTTAACAGAAGTAATAGAAAGAGCATGGACTTTAGAATCAGAAGATGTTAGATTGTACAACACTTTTCTGTGTTCATGAAGGAAAAAATAGAATAAAGACAAAAAAATAAAAATAATACAAAACAGCAGAAAAACAAAGAAAAAAGATAATTAAAAAACACTTTCACGTGTATTATTATTTAAAGTGTAAAGTGCTTATTAAAGTGACAAAAATGTAAATAAGATAAAATATATCATTTTAGAGTTTTTACTTTTGGAATTTTTTGCAAATGAAAGCCCTTAATTAATGTCTTTTATTTTTAGTTGCCTGTGCCCCTGGAGTCTGTAAAAGAGATGCTTAAGTCAGTCATGCAGGAACTCGAAAACTATAGTGAAGGAGATCCTCTCTATAAAAATGGTTCTTTGCGAAATGCGGATTCAGAAATAAAACATTCTACACCATCTCCTACCAAATATTCACTATCACCAAGTAAAAGTTACAAGGTAAACAGGAAAGAATGGAATCATTTCATTGTGAAATTGTTTCTAAGTGTTTTAAATGCTCTTTTGTGATTTTTATTTTTTTTTTAGTATTCTCCCAAAACACCACCTCGATGGGCAGAAGATCAGAATTCTTTACTGAAAATGATTCGCCAAGAAGTAAAGGCCATTAAGGTAAGTCACTTAATTTCTCTAGCTGTACTTTTTATTCCAAGATTCCTTCCCTGGCCACTCTCTCACTTTTTTTCTGAAGCTGGTCAGAATGTCCCCTTGCCATCCAAATAGTATGGCAAGGGGACATTTTGGTCTTTTTTTTTTTTTTTTTTAAGGCAGGGTCTTGTTGTGCAGGCTGGAGTACAGTGGTATGATCACAGCTTACTGCGGCTTCGACCTCCTAGCTCAAGAGAGCCTCTTGGCTTAGCCTGCCACGAAGCCAGGACTACAGACAGTCACACGCCACTAGGCCCAGCTAATTGTATTTTTTGTAGAGATGGGATTTTTCCATGTTGCCCAGGGTGGCCTTGAACTCCTGGCTCAAACAATCCTCCTGCTTCAGCCTCCCAAAGTGCTGGGATTGCAGGTGTGAGCCACTGTGCCCAGCCTACATACCTTGGTCTTGACCCTTTTCCATATTTTATTTTATTTTATTTTTGAGACAGAGGCTCGCTCTGTTGCCCAGGCTGGAGTGCAGTGGTGCAATCTTGGCTCACTGCAACCTCCACCTCCCAGGTTCAAGCAACTCTCCTGCCTCAGCCTCCCGAGTAGCTGGGATTACAGGCACCCGCCACCAGGCCCAGCTAATTTTTGTATTTTTAGTAGACACAGAGTTTCACCATGTTGGCCAGGCTGGTTTTGAACTTCTGACCTCAGGCGATCTGCCCGCCTTGGCCTCCCAAAGTGCTGGGATTACAGGTGTAAACCACCGCACCCAGCCCTTTACTATATTTTTGAAAGTACTTTATGTGTCTCTCTCCTCATCTTCCACAAAATTTGAGACCTTCAAAGGTAGAAACTGTTTTATTTAAAATATAAGAGTTCCTGACACAGAGAAGGTTCCCGAGTGATTGAACTGCTACAATGTACTAATCATACTCTGGTCTATGAGTTCATTCCCAGATTAGCTGTGGATTACATGTGTTTCAAATGTATAGCTAGGAATTGAAAAGTGGTCTGAGCTTCAAAAAGTCTTACTATATTTTAATACTTCCATATGAATTTGACTTAATTATGTAAGGAAATAGTTATGTATATATATCGTATTTTAACAATAGGGTTCAAAGGAGCTTGACTTTTTTGGAATTGGAAATAAAAGTAGGTTCTTTCATGTTTATCAGGCAAGAACTAAATTATACTGCTAAAGTTACATCAAGGATATGCTGATGTGTGGCGATTATTACAGTGTGATCAGCAGTATTTGCAAATTAAGAGAATACTATTTGGTGGGGAAGACATTTTTGAATTTGCACAAAAATCTTGAATGTTAATTCTGTGTAGTCATGGCCTATGACAATTACATACAATTTTGACTTAACATACAGGTTTCAGGCTCCCAACATTGTATTCTGTGGAAGTATAGTGGAGCACCGGTCCATGAGCTTGAAAAGCTTGGTACTAGTACTGACTCTGCCATTAATTAATGATCTTGGGCCAGTCACTTCCTTTGTGACCGTTTGGCTTCTTATCTTTAAAATGAGAGAATTATCGAAGCCAGTTCTCATCACACTGAATGTTAAAAATTACAGTTACAGCAGTGATTGCAAATTCAAAGCTCTGGTGCAGATACCAGCAGTGACCATAAAGTTTTCTAGGTGATTCCACTAGTTTCTTATTTCTTGGATGTGTATGTGTAGCATCTGGACTAGGCACTGTAGATGGATGAGTGGGGGAAATTTTATTTAGCTTGAAAATTGAGATAGTTTTGGACCTCATGGTTAGGTCTTTCTGGGAAATTTTTATTTGAAACACTTGTAGAAAAAGAAAGCAGACATGCTAGATCTGTCCCTGACCTCACTTGTTAGAACTGGTCGGATTCCTGGGCTGATACAGAGAAGTTTGAAACTTTTCAAAATTTACCTGTTTTCTGATACCACTACAATTTCTTTGGAAAAAGAATTTCCTGTTAAGTGTCTGTTTTGTAAGGGGACATTTTGTAGGTTCTAGGGTGTTGGGTATGGTGCTGTCATTTAGTTTTCTTCAGCAGAGATCAGGTAGCCACATAGCTACACTAGACGGCATTGTATCTATCTGCCATCTTGTCAAGGCAGCAGAGTTGTGTTAAGAAAACATTTTTGGAGTCAGATGTGGTTCAAATTCCAGCTGTTATTCCCTGCATCCCTTTCTCTCATTTTAAGATAGGAGCTAATATTGTTTACCTAACAGTGTAGATAGTATAAAAATTAAGAGTTTAAGTGCATTGGACGTATTATTATATACATAATAAATTCTCTGCAGCTACTACTTTTTTCCCTTTCCTGGTGGAGCATTTGAACATCACCTTGAGAATTAGTTGTATTTTGTTTGAACACAGGGTTAAGTGAAAAGCTAATTTGGGGAGGTGATTTGGAATGTCAGGTAGTCCAGATTGCAGTGTAGAAAGAACACACTGAAAGGATGGTCACTGTAATGTTAGAGGACTGTGAAAGTTGGGGAAAGAAGTTTAGTTTGTAGGTACTTGTTTTTTTGAGCAGGGAATTGTCTTGGCTGGAGGTGAACGTCAGAAAGGTTAATGTAGGCAAGTGTAGAATGGAAATGAAGGTGTGATCATTTAGGAGGTTATTTGTTTAGGTGAGAGAGTTAATGAATTAAGTTTTGTATTAACGAATGAAAATGGGAGCAGATAAATTTTTAACAAATTAAGAATCATATTTTAAAATCAGCACCAGGTACCTAGAACTCATTGGCAAATAGAAACTTTCAAAAGATATAATCAGGTCCGGGCGTGGTGGGTCACACCTATAATCCCAGCACTTTGGGAGGCTGAGGTGGTGGATCACTTGAGGTCAGGAGTTCAAGACTAGCCTGGCAAACATGGTGAAACCGCATCTCTACTATTATACAAAAAATTAGCCTGGCGTGCTGGCTGACACCTGTAATCCCAGCTAGTTGGGAAGCTGAGGTGGGAGAATTGCTTGAGCCCAGGAGGTGGAGGTTGCGGTGAGCCAAGATTGTGCCATTGCACTCCAGCCTGGACGACAGATCGAGACACCATCTCAAAAAAGAAAAAAAGAAAAAATCAGTTATTTAAATTTAAAAGAGTAAGTTTCCCCAGCACTGTTTCTGGCATGATATAATTAAATGATTAAAATTATTTGATTTTTTTTTCTTCCAATAGGAAGAAATGCAGGAGTTGAAACTAAATAGCAGTAAGTCAGCATCCCATCATCGTTGGCCCACAGAGAATTATGGACCAGACTCGGTGCCTGATGGATATCAGGGGTCACAGACATTTCATGGGGCTCCACTAACAGGTGAGCTGGCAAGTGGATAATCGCATATTTTAGTAAAACTACTTTACTTCCCTCTTTTAAGTAGATAACGTGTGAAATCACCTTGTTTATATATGTTTGTTAATATACATGTCAACGTCTGTTTATATGTGACTTCAAAAGCTGTATTTGGTGTTACGGAGATTTTTATAATCCCAAGCAGAAAAAACGAGCCGTATGTGATCACGTGTATATAAAGGCTTAAAGAACACTTAATCCACACCTCAGATGAGCTGAGATGAGATTATTCCTTAAATTGAAAAATGTTATTGAATAGAGTTATGCACTAAGAAATGCTTAATTAAGAACCTACACCTCTGGGGAATTATTTTGATGATAATGATGAGAGGCAGGACGTTATATAGGAAATCTTACTTAATTTGAAATATTATGGTTATATAAAGAAAGAAAAGGAGTTTGGACCTGAATCATACTGGGTTTTTAAGTTCTGCTCTATCACTTACTATAATAGCTGTGTAAGTTAACCTGCCTGAAATGTGGAGATAATACTTGCCTTACATAATTACTATGAGCATTTGTGTATGTGCAGGTGGGCATGGGTGTGTATCAGACATTTATTAGAGTATACAGTAAACAGTTAATGAACTAAGGTTACTAATAGTGTTTACTGTGGGTTGGCTATGTGCAAAAGTGCTTTGTGAATGTAATTTTATTTAATTACAGTAACTTAGAATGGCCGGTACCATTATTAATCCCTTTTTTATAAATAAGGAAATGGATAAAGAAAGGTTAGGTAACTTACTCATTATTATACAGCTAGTTATTGATAGAGCCGAGATTCACACTCCAGTGGTGTAACTCCAAAGCACTTGCCAGTATAATACATTGCTCCCAGGCAGCCAGAAATAACAAAATTGTTCCTTTTATGTACGACAGACTTCTGAAATGGTAGTAGTAGTGCCCTTTTTTTTCTCTCTCTCTTTTTAGCCCAGGAAAGATTTAGAATAAAATCTGGTTTAGATGAGCACATTTGTGTGATGGTCCATATAGTTAAGGCAACCCCACTAGCCTTTTGTGATAGTATCTTCTCAACACAAGCAAAATAACAGAAAATCTTTGTGAAGTCAAGCTTATTAAATGTCGTAAGTCATAGATAAGTATATGAAATGTCTAACGTTCAAACCTTGTTTTCTTAAAACCTTACACATCATATAGGTCCTTGTAAGAGGATAAACAAACCGGCTAGCCTTTCCTGGGGCTTTTTTAGTGATGTGTGCAGTCAGTTATTTGGTGCCTTTTGGGTCATGATTTCCATTTCTTCTGTGTACAGGCATAAAAGGTCTTCTGTTCTTATACAAGCATGTAAATCCAACATTCTCATTGTCTCATTTTATTCTTGCAATGACCCTGTGAAATGTGTAGAAGCAGCACATCGTCATTTTACAATTGAGAAACATGGAGACTCCAAATGGATTATTTACAGGTTCACAAAACAGCTTTGTGGCACTGAAAGGGCGAGAGCCAAGATCTCCTGATTTCTGTTCCTGTGTTCATAGATTCTTTTTCCTTAATAAAAGTAAACATATATCAAGATGGTCCTTGTTTTTTAAAAATAAGATGATTAAAATTAAAGATTAATGAGCTCATAGGAGATACTCAGAAGTACTGAACAGGGTGAAGAAAACTAAAAACTAACCACCTTATTAACATTTCTTATATTTGAGAGCATTTCCTTCTGGTTCTTTCTCTATACATATAGTATTTTTTATGAGATTGTTACCATGTTACTATGTTGTGTGTAGATGAGCTAGCCTGTTTTTTAAATGTTACTTTAGTTCTGAGCATTTTTAAACTTAAATGTTTTTTGAATATTAATGAGTTCATGGTATCCCATCACATGGAAGTACTGTAAATTCTGTTCCTTTATTTATGTTGTTTCTGGTTTATGCCATTACAAATTCTAGGACACTGTCCTAGTTTTGTAGGGTATTCAAAATATTCAGTTTATGCTCTTACCACTAGTATCTGATAGTGCCATTTTCGCACTTTTGCTAATGCTGACTTACTAGTTTATAAAATCCTTTGCCAATTTGTAGGAACAAAAGTGATATCAATTTTTAAGTTTTTTTAATACTAGTCATGCTCACCAATTCATGCAAATGGCAGTTGGTAGTTTTGCCATCTTCAACGTGGGTACCTTCCAGTTGTTTGGTTTCTTGGTAAAACTCACACAAAACAGATGGAGAAGAGTTTTTGTATATCAACATGAATGTTAATGTGATTTTTTTAAAGCCAACGAACACATTTGTGTTCCTTGTGAGATCCTGTGCATGAATTTGTCAGGTAATTTTTTTGACCTGAACATTCTCATAATAGCTTCAATTTGCACAATGCAACCTCGTCATTTTGCAGATTTTCAAGGCTCACTTCAAAAACATGTTCCTTGAGGCCTATTAACATTTCTTTCCTAAATTGTCTATTCATATGGTGCTTTTAAAAGTTAGATTACTTTTAGTAGATTTATTAGAGCCGCACAGTTTAGAGTCAGTAGTCAATTAAAGTCCCTACTTAAACTTCAGACTAAGATTTTTTTTTTATTTAATATTTTATTTTTTTCTTTTTGCTTTCATGCAGACAGACATCTTGCAAGACTTTAAGATTCTTGGGCCATTTCTGTCAGGTTGTTCTGTGTTCTGTGCCTGCTTCCTCCCCATAGTAATTTCAAAATAGCTATCCTCACCTCTGTAAGGTTTCCAAAATCAAACTTGGGCTTCTGGCTAGCCTTTTCTGGGTCTTGATTTTTCAGTGCTTTCCAGAGGCAATTGTTTGGAACCTCTTGGCACAGTTTCTGTTTCTTCTTCCATGTACAGGCATGAAAGATCTTTTGGTTGTTTTCTGGTAAAACTATCATAAAACAGTTGAAGCAAATGACTATTGGTAGTTTTGTCATTAACAGGGGTGCCTTCTAGTTGTTTTGTTTCCTGGTAAAACAGACCAAACAGAGGGAGCAGACAGTTTGTACATCTGTATGAGTGTTGATGTGCTTTTTATTTTAAGCCAGGGAACACATTTTATGTTATTTATGACATCCTTTCCATGAATTTGTCAGGTGATTTTTGAGCTGAACATTCTCAGTAATAGCTTTAGTTTACAAAATACAACCTAGTCTTTCTGCAGATTTTCTAGGCCCACTTCAAATGCATTGACCATCAGATGGCATCTTGGTTCCTTACGTCCTTTCTGTGACTGAATGTCCATAATTCCACATCATACTGATCTTTCTTAGAAAAGGCAACAGTTACTTTCTTCTTTATTCCTTTTTTAATGCTTGTGAGGTAGTTCTTGTTGATCACAGCGATGCTATTCTCTTATTCTTCATGTCATATTTAGCAGTTTTTTTCTAGTTTGTCATTTGATAATCTTGATTGGTGTATTTTGATGTACAGAAATTTAAAATTTATGTAGTTAAATCTTTCTTTAATTTCTATTGCTTTTGTATTTGTAGCTCTTGACTAGATAGTCTTAACTGTAGTATAGACTTTAACAGTGTTTTCTTTCTTTTCTTTTTTTTTTTTTAGTTGCAACTACTGGCCCTTCAGTATATTATAGTCAGTCACCAGCATATAATTCCCAGTATCTTCTCAGACCAGCAGCTAATGTTACTCCCACAAAGGTAACAAAGGAATAATTTATACATTTATAATTATTTCCTTTTTAAATTGTTTAGGGTTCCTTCAAATAAATTCAAGAGAGCAGTTCACTATTAAAACTTTTATGTCCCTTAAAATGTAGATATTTTAAATTTATCTCCAAATACAGAAATTATCCTTCTTAGTCACCTTATTTTTGAGTTAATAAGTGTGAATATTTAGAATATTTTAAAAATGGGAGTGGTGGTGGTGGATCCTTCATCGTTCTGTTTTAACAGAAATAGAACTGTAATGCCCTTGCTGACCCACTATGTGGTAAGTACTTTCAGGCCTGATACAGCTATATATATAACAATTGATTGAAGACTCAATATTACAGTGGTAGTTGAATGTGACAGCTTTGAGGATAGAGTGTTGGGGTGCATTTAGACCCTTGCTCTTCTGCTTATTTTGACCACAGGCAAGTTTCTTAACCTCTCAATGCATCAGTTGCCTCATATGTAAAATGAGGATAATAATAATACCTTAATTCATAGGGTTTTTGAGGATATTAAAATGAGATAATAATGTAAAGTGCTTAGAACAGTGCCCAGCTGGCACATTAATAAATGCTCAATAAATGTTATCATCATCATCATCATCATTATTGTTAACATCATTTGATAAATTGTTTAGGAATGAAGAAGGTATTTATTTCATGACTATTTTGGGCATGTGGATCAAGAAAATTCACCTTCATTTATGTTTCAGGGTTCTTCTAATACAGAATTTAAGTCAACCAAAGAAGGATTTTCCATCCCTGTGTCTGCTGATGGATTTAAATTTGGCATTTCGGAACCAGGAAATCAAGAAAAGGAAAGTGAAAAGCCTCTTGAAAATGATACTGGCTTCCAGGCTCAGGATATTAGTGGCCAGAAGAATGGCCGTGGTGTGATTTTTGGCCAAACAAGTAGCACTTTTACATTTGCAGATGTTGCAAAATCAACTTCAGGAGAAGGATTTCAGTTTGGCAAAAAAGACCCCAATTTCAAGGGATTTTCAGGTGCTGGAGAAAAATTATTCTCATCACAATGCGGTAAAATGGCCAATAAAGCAAACACTTCCGGTGACTTTGAGAAAGATGATGATGCCTATAAGACTGAGGACAGCGATGACATCCATTTTGAACCAGTAGTTCAAATGCCTGAAAAAGTAGAACTTGTAATAGGAGAAGAAGGTGAAAAAGTTCTGTATTCACAGGGGGTAAAACTATTTAGATTTGATGCTGAGGTAAGGCAGTGGAAAGAAAGGGGCTTGGGGAACTTAAAAATTCTCAAAAACGAGGTCAATGGCAAACCAAGAATGCTGATGCGAAGAGAACAAGTACTAAAAGTGTGTGCTAATCATTGGATAACGACTACAATGAACCTGAAGCCCCTGTCTGGATCAGATAGAGCATGGATGTGGTCAGCCAGTGATTTCTCTGATGGTGATGCCAAACTAGAGCGGTTAGCAGCAAAATTTAAAACACCAGAGCTGGCTGAAGAATTCAAGCAGAAATTTGAGGAATGCCAGCAGCTTCTGTTAGACATACCACTTCAAACTCCCCATAAACTTGTAGATACTGGCAGAGCTGCCAAGTTAATACAGAGAGCTGAAGAAATGAAGAGTGGACTGAAAGATTTCAAAACATTTTTGACAAATGATCAAACAAAAGTCACTGAGGAAGAAAATAAGGGTTCAGGTACAGGTGCGGCCGGTGCCTCAGACACAACAATAAAACCCAATCCTGAAAACACTGGGCCCACATTAGAATGGGATAACTGTGATTTAAGGGAAGATGCTTTGGATGATAGTGTCAGTAGTAGCTCAGTACATGCTTCTCCATTGGCAAGTAGCCCTGTGAGAAAAAATCTTTTCCATTTTGGTGAGTCAACAACAGGATCTAACTTCAGTTTTAAATCTGCTTTGAGTCCATCTAAGTCTCCTGCCAAGTTGAATCAGAGTGGGACTTCAGTTGGCACTGATGAAGAATCTGATGTTACTCAAGAAGAAGAGAGAGATGGACAGTACTTTGAACCTGTTGTTCCTTTACCTGATCTAGTTGAAGTATCCAGTGGTGAGGAAAATGAAAAAGTTGTTTTTAGTCACAGGGCAGAACTCTACAGATATGATAAAGATGTTGGTCAATGGAAAGAAAGGGGCATTGGTGATATAAAGATTTTACAGAATTATGATAATAAGCAAGTTCGTATAGTGATGAGAAGGGACCAAGTATTAAAACTTTGTGCCAATCACACAATAACTCCAGACATGAGTTTGCAAAATATGAAAGGGACAGAAAGAGTATGGGTGTGGACTGCATGTGATTTTGCAGATGGAGAAAGAAAAGTAGAGCATTTAGCTGTTCGTTTTAAACTACAGGATGTTGCAGACTCGTTTAAGAAAATTTTTGATGAAGCAAAAACAGCCCAGGAAAAAGATTCTTTGATAACACCTCATGTTTCTCGGTCAAGCACTCCCAGAGAGTCACCATGTGGCAAAATTGCTGTAGCTGTATTAGAAGAAACCACAAGAGAGAGGACAGATGTTATTCAGGGTGATGATGTAGCAGATGCAGCTTCAGAAGTTGAAGTGTCTAGCACATCTGAAACAACAACAAAAGCAGTGGTTTCTCCTCCAAAGTTTGTATTTGGTTCAGAGTCTGTTAAAAGAATTTTTAGTAGTGAAAAATCAAAACCATTTGCATTTGGCAACAGTTCTGCCACTGGGTCTTTGTTTGGATTTAGTTTTAATGCATCTTTGAAAAGTAACAACAGTGAAACTAGTTCAGTAGCCCAGAGTGGATCTGAAAGCAAAGTGGAACCTAAAAAATGTGAACTGTCAAAGAACTCTGATATCGAACAGTCTTCAGATAGCAAAGTCAAAAATCTCTCTGCTTCCTTTCCAATGGAAGAATCTTCAATCAACTACACATTTAAAACACCAGAAAAGGGTAGGTACTTTGTTGTTAAAGTTAAGCACAATTTTTCTTTCTTTTAATGTTTAGCTTGATGCAGACTCTTTGTGGGATACTAATGTTGGGATATAAACGATGCTTTGTGAACACCCCCAAAATATTTGAGCAATTTTTTTTCTCCCTTAATAAGTTCACGGTGAGGTTTCAAAGAGCAAGAGAACTTAGTTAAAGACATTTCAGTAACTGGAAGATACTTCTATCATGCTAGGGCAGAGCAAAAGAACTTGGTACAGTGTACGGACTCATGCTTGAATCATGCGCATTAACGTGAGTCTTTTTTTAAAGTGTTCATTTTCATTTGTTCTGTTTCTTTTGTCACTCAGAAAACATGATATTGAGGCTGGGCACGGTGGCTCACTCCTAGAATGCCAGCACTTTGGGAGGTTGAGGTGGGCAGATCACTTGAGCTCAGGAGTTCGAGACCAGCCTGGCCAGCATGGTGAAACCCTGTTTCTACTGAAAATACAAAAATGAGCCGGGCGTGGTGGTGCGTGCCTATAATTAGCAGCTACTCAGGAGGTTGAGGCAGGAGGATCGCTTGAGCACAGGAGATGGAGGTAGCAGTGAGCTGAAATCATGCCACTGCACTCCAGCCTGACTGAGTGACTGAGACTTTGTCTCCAAAAAAAAAAAAAAAAAAAAAAAAAATATGATATTGAGATGTTCTCATTTTATGTGTTGTATGTCAGTCTTGCTCATGTATTAAAGGAGCAAAGAATGAAACTACAGGGATAAATGAATATGTAAGACAGATTGGTGGTATAAATTGAGGGATTCTGGCTTTTTATGTTTTAAAAGCATATTCATTTTGTTTCCTAAAATGTTAAAAAATGAAATATTCTTTATTTTCTAGGATTTAATTTTAGCCTTTTTAAATCTAATCCCATGGCCTTTTGGACTAGCACCCCTTCCTCACAGCCTGAGAGCAAAGGTATAGAACTAGCATTCTCAGTATGAGATAACAGCAGTTTTTAGCAGCTGGGTAGCCCTTAGCAAAGTATTAATAACTGTGGCTGTATGAAATGAAGTACTTACCACTACAACATGCATGTTAAAGAATGCCAGTTTAAGCAAAGTACCTTTTGACTGGTGGCATGACACCCTTGTTGGTTTGTTTTTTAAAATGTACTGGGATGCTGATTTGTAATGTACTTCATTGCTCTGCTATTTCAGGTCTGCTCAATGAAGACCTATGTTTTATCTAATGTTTATGTTTAGCCACTAACGTCTGCCAGTATTCACATGTAGTGGCAACGGCATGTATACAGTATGGAAGAGTGTCCCTGTAGGGCTGTTCTTTTGTGCATGGTTTAGAAAAATGTTGTATTTGAAAATGGACCCCGTTTTTAACAGCCAGCATTCTACAGCTTGCATATTATATATGTTGCACCGATCAATTTTAGAAGTGTGGCTACTAGAGTGGAACAAGAAGTGGGATCTGTTGAAGGCCTTCAAGAACAGGTTAGGGAAGTGAAATCTCACCCTTAGTGACCAGTAACACATCTTAGCCATGCCAAACAAGTACAATGATAAAGTAACAATCTCTGATTTTTTTTTTTAAGTATACCAGTTTTATTACCAGCTAAGGTAGCTCTTAATCTTTTATTTTAAAGATACGGTCTTTGAGAAATGTGAAAAGTGTTAACTTAAAAGTGAATGTATACTTGCGTACAGTTTCTGTGAGCTCTAGGTTAGGAATCCCTGACCTAAGAACGAATGTGCCTATACACTACTGTAGAACATAGAGCCTTATTCTGTTTTGAATCTGATAATGTCATTGTCCCAAGGGACCTTAGAAATGAAGACTTTAGACATGAGTAAACTGTGGCCAAGAGAGGCTATCTGATTTACCCAAGGGGTCTTTACTGAGTAATAGCAGAAGTGGAACAAGAATCTGTATCTTACGGTGTACTGTTATTTCTCCTAGCTAGGAAATGATACTAAGTTTTTGTTTATAATGAAGGAGAGGGACAGATTTAACATTGTAAAAGGAAGGGCACTGGTTCTGCAGAGCAGTGTCATCCAATAGAAATAAAATATTACCTGTGTATGTAATTTAAAATTGTCATTTGGTGCAATGGCTTGTGCCTATAATCCCAGTTACTTGGGAGGCTGAGGCAGAGGGATCACTTGAGCCCACAAGTTCCAGGCTTCAGTGAACTATGATCACATCACTGCACTCCAGCTCTGGGTGACAAAGGAAGACCGCATCTCAAATAAATACATAACTAAATAAATTTTCTAGTAGCCATATTAAAAAGAATAAAAAGAAACAGTTAAAAAGGGAAACAGATGAAAGTAACTTTATCGATAGATTTGATTTAACTCATTATGTCCAGAATATCATTTTAACTTCTAATTAATACAAAAATTAATGATATTTTACATTATTGTTTTTCACCAAGTCTTCAAAATCCAGTGTGTGTGTTTACACTTACTGTTAGCATGTCTTGATTTGGACTAGCCACCTTGTGAGGTTTTAATAGAATGTGGCTAGGCTACCATATTGGACACCATAGCTCTCAGAATGTTTCCCTGTCACCAGTTGGTATACATGGCATGCTTCATGACTGGCTTACTTTATTAAACTCCTTTAGCCAGAAGTTCTTCTTTACATTAGTAGATCAGAACAGGTTGCATATAGAAGTTTTTTCTGTTTCTAATTTTTTGCGCTTTGCATTAATGGTGGCTGGGGATGGGTTGTTTTCAGCCATATGAATGGTCTTAGATTTTATAGTGTTAGCTACCCATAGAGTAACAGTTTTTATTTAATTTTATCTAGTATCATGCTTGAACACAGGCAAACTAGATGCAACTCTAGTCACCTTCCATTCTTGGCAATTGTTAACTTTCCTTACAGGAACTAATCACAGTTGGCTTTGGATTAGTTTCATATGTATACTAATACTTGCTTATGTTTTAAGATTTTTTTCAATTGCTGCAAATGCATGGATATTTTGGTAAACTATTGTATGCTAAGTATAGTTAGGCAACACTTTAAAATTTTTAACCTTTTTAAATTCTAGAAATTTGTAGTAATTCTTTTCAATGACTATTAAGTAAACACAAGATTTTTTTGTTTTCTTTGGTTTTAAATAGATTCTGTGTTCACTTAGGGTTTTTGGTAGAACACTAAATCAGGATGCTAATTCTAATTCATGATTATCGTACATCTCTGCATCAAAGTATATGTGTTTTTTATCAGTATGCTGTTTTAACCTATAGATAGGTTCCATGGTTTTTATTTTCAGGTAGAGTATTAACGTCAATACTTAATACCTCATCTTTGTCAATTTTTTTGACTGGTGTTACAGCAAAAGAGAAGAAAAAACCTGAAGATTCTCCCTCAGATAGTCTCGGTCTCCTGACCTCGTGATCCACCCGCCTCGGCCTCCCAAAGTGCTGGGATTACAGGCATGAGCCACTGCGCCTGGCTGACACATGTCCTAATTCTGGTATTCACCAGATTTGTTTCTTGTTCTCCGTTGTTAGTCATCAAATTTGTCTACTTTTTAAATAGAAACATTAGCTAGAGCAAGGAACTTAGAAACACTCAAGTGGCACTGAATGTGTAGAACTGCATAACCAATATAGCTTCTTTGCTTTCACATTTACAATTAGTTGGAGTTTTAGTTCAGCCGTACCCAGTATCTTCCATTCTGCTTCCAGGAAGAAATGGAAAAATGTCAGCCATGATGATGCAGTATTTTAGTAGCAAGTTGATGGTGTTTTGGTTTCCCATGGGAAATATTGTCACTGGAGCATTAGCAGCTATCGGTCACTTATTAGGGTAAAAAAGCAACTTCAGAAGAATTTAGTATATGCCAAAGAATCAACAAAGGAAGTAATCAGCCAGGGCAAAGGTCGCACAAGAGATTGTAATCTAGCAATCAGCAGTGGAATAAGCAGTCAGCTTACCAGAAACCCAGGAAAATGCTTCAGAAAGGGCAGTCAGGACTAAGGCAATTTAATGAAATGCAAAATAAATGAAATCTGAAGTTTAAAAATCTAGATTACAATTCTGGTTTCTAACTCAGTTATGAGACCTTGGGCAAAGTCATTAAATTTCTCTGAACTTCAGATTTTTGGGAGTCAATAAACCAATACATGTCAAAGGGCCTGGTAAACTTTACAGTTTAGACCAGGTGTGGTGTCTCACCCCTGCAATCTCAGCACTTTGGGAGGCCAAGGCGGGTGGATCACATGAGGCCAGGAGTTTGAGACCAGTCTGAACAACATGGTGAAATCCCATCTCTATTAAAAGTACAAAAATTATCTGGGCGGGATGGCATGCACCTGGAAGTCCCAGCTACTTGTGGGGCTGAGGTGGGAGGATGGCTTGAGCCTGGGAGGCAGAGGTTGCTGTGAGCCAAGATCGTGCCACTGCACTCCAACCTGTGTGACAGAGTGAGACCCTGTCTCAGAAAAAATAACACTTTACAGTTTATCAGCAAACAGGAAAGTCTTGCTAGGCAATGTAATTGATTAGTTCCGTGCCCTGGATTCTGGGCTCTTAACTGTATGAGCACTGTAGGTGTGAGCAGCAACAATTAAGAAGCTGCAGAGGTAAAGGTATAAGGGCAGTGATTGAGGATGTCTACCAAGCAGATTTCAGCAAGTGTGTTTCAAGAAGTATGCAGCAATCTGAAATACCTAATCCTGAAAAATTGCTAGAATCTAGTCTTTTAATTTTGGCCAGTATTTAGCAGTAGTTTGGCCCTCTACTCTAAATTAATAAAAAATAAGTAGTACTATATTATGAGCTGTGTTATCTAACAGTTTATCTTAGCTAGTAGCAATTAATTTATAGCTGCTATTAAAATGACTAACGTAGTTAAAAGTTTGATGACTAAGGTTTTTTTTGTTTGTTTTTTTGTTTTGAGCTGGAATCTCGCTCTGTCGCCAGGCTGAAGTGCAGTGGCGTGATCTTGGCTCACTACAACCTCCGCCTCCTGGCTTCCAGCAATTCTCTGCCTCAGCCTCCCCAGCAGCTGGGATTACAGGCACCTGCCACCGTGCCTGGCTAATTTTTGCATTTTTAGTAGAGATAGGGTTTCACCATCTTGGCCAGGCTGGTCTTGAACTTGCTGACCTCGTGATCCACCCACCTTAGCCTCCCAAACTGCTAGGATTACAGATTTGAGCCACCACGCCCGGCCTTGATGACTAAATTTTAAGAAATGTTTTAGCAATTCCTCATACACCTTTCACTTATCTTATAGTTACTTAATTCCTCTACTCTTATCATTTGATATTTTCATTTTATTGTGTACCTCTGTAAGGCCGAATCAATAGATTTTGAACAATCTCACACTTAACCTTTAAAAAAAATCTAATAGGCCCAGTTTCCTCTCAACAATCTTTGAAGAACCTTCGAGAAAGGAGAAACACAGACCTCCCACTTCTAGACATGCACACTGTAACCCGGGAAGAGGGAGAAGGCATGGGACAACTGATACGGAGTCTGTGTCTTCCGCCAGCACATACACACAGTCTTTAGAGCAGCTGCTTAATTCTCCCGAAACTAAACTTGGTCTGTTACTCTGTCTAAATATGTTCTTCTTTAATTTCACTGTCTTATTTAATTACTATTACTCTAAGGTACATATGCTTTTTTGGGCTGCTCCAATAAAATTTCTTTCAATATTCCACTACCTGTTTGCATTAGGGTTCTCTAGAGGGACAGAGCTAATTGGATGGTTGGATGGATGGATGAGATGGATGGATGGATGCTTATTAAGTATTACCTTACACGATCACTAGGCCATCTGCAGACTGAGGAGCAACGAGAGCCAGTCCAAGTTCCAAAACTGAAGAACTAGGAGTCTGATGTTCAAGGGCAGGAAGCATCCAGCACAGGAGAAAGATGTAGGTTGGGAGGCTAGGCCAGTCTCGCCTTTTCAGGTTTTTCTGCCTGCTTTATATTCACTGGCAGCTGATTAGATGGCACCTACCAGGTTAAGGGTGGGTCTGCCTTCCCCAGCCCACTGACTCAAATGTTAATCTCCTTTGGCAACACCCTCACAGACAACACTCAGGATTAATACTTTGCATCCTTTAATCCAATCAAGTTGACACCCAGTATTAACCATCACACTGTCCAAATGGAAAAATTATTAAACAAATCTTTTTTAAAATAAAATGCTAGCTCTTGCCCTAGGCTTGAACCATAAATAAGTGGTGGGAAGTTTATAGTCACAAATAGGTGGTGGGTATTAGAAAGCAGGATAAACTATCCTCTCACCCTTCCAAGAAACTGACAGTTTCAGTTTATTCCTCTTGATGAAGTAATGCTAAATTTTTGTAGTGATGTTTTGGTATATTTTATTACCTGTAATTAATATTACTGTTCAAAATTTAGGGGGAATCTGTCATCTTCCTGAAACTTCAGAATCACCTGGAGTAAGGGTCATTTGTATTCATGGTCACTGACCACGTGGGGTAGAAACAGCAAGTCATGGTTCCTTCAGGCAAAGTTAATAGTGGTGACATGGAGGCATCATGATAGAGCAGCAGACTCCAGAAGCCAATTTGACTTTGTGATTTCTGCAAAAATTACCTGTCAACTGTGAGCCTGTTTCATCGTCTGTAAAGTTTGAATAATGATACCTACCCCGCCTGATAGAAGATTCTTATGAGGGAACATGATACGTGACCAGTAAATGTTAATGCTTTCCTTATACGTGAAATGACATAAAATCTTGGAATATTAATAGATGGGAAGAAGATGTGTAATAAAACTGTCTATAAACACAATTCTGACAAATTTCAGAACTGGGACTCATAGGGCTTGTATTCAGTTAGATGACATGCTTTACAACAGAGATACTGTTTTATTTGTGTCACCTACAACATATAATCTGTTGATTGAGGTATGCCGAATAGATGAATGGCAAAGAAAGCAGACCTATAAAATATCACATAGTAAGATATTTATATTTAGATTTTTCTTATTTAGAATCTTCATCTGTAATGTATGATTTTGAAAATTAATTCTTGGAACAACATGTTGCAGAGCCTCCATTATGGCATGCTGAATTTACCAAAGAAGAATTGGTTCAGAAGCTCAGTTCCACCACAAAAAGTGCAGATCACTTAAACGGCCTGCTTCGGGAAGCAGAGGCAACCAGTGCAGTCCTTATGGAGCAAATTAAGGTGAGATCAGAAAACCTGGCCACCATGAAAACTGCCAATTTGGTTTTCTGGACCCTCCATACACATGTACCCAAGTTTAAAAATTCACATTGCAGATGCATCTATAACGTCTTGATCTTTATATTAGATTCCTGATGGTGAGAAATATTGCCTTTTTTTTTTTTTTTTTTTTTTTTGAGACAGTCTTGCTTTGTCACGCAGGCTGGAGTGCAGTGGCACGATCCCGGCTCACTACAAGCTCCACCTCCCAGGTTCACGCCATTCTCCTGCCTCAGCCTCCCAAGTAGCTGGGACTACAGGTGCCCGCCAACATGCCTGGCTAATTTCTTTGTATTTTTAGTAGAGACAGGTTTTACCATGTTATCCAGGATGGTCTCGATCTCCTGACCTCATGATCCACCTGCCTTGGCCTCCCAAAGTGCTGGTATTACAGGCGTGAGCCACTGCATCCAGCCAAAATACTTCTTTTACACCTATTACATAAAGATTATTTCTTAATTCCTACTTTTCCTAAGAAACCGTAATAGATTTAGAAACTAGAGAGATGTTCACAAATCATTGTTCACATATGCTTAAATAAAAAATGGGTGTGAGTCTTTGAATTCTAAAGATAACCAGTGAATTTAAATTATTCAACTGATATTTATAGTACTGAACTACTAAACAGTTTTCAGGTGGAGATGGCAAAGTGGCATGGGAAGTTTTTCCTGTTTAAAGTAGACACCAGAAACATCTAGGAATGTTGCAGAACAGTTGAGGATTACTCAAATGAGGTATTTCCACCCTGGCTCACTGATAAATCACCCCTCAGAATATAGTCATACTGCTTGTTGAGGAGTTCTTATGACCCAGGCCCTGGGCTCTACATACATTATTTAATCTCATCACTGGTTAAGAGAAAAATTGAAGCTGGTAAATGGTGGAACAAAATTCAAACTCATAGCTGTCTGAAAAGTACATGCTTTTCCCCTGTACTTTGCTGCTCCTAATAGATCTGTCCTGCCACTGTGCAAGGCCACTAGCTATCCTTGTCAGATTATTTTAAAGCCGAATTCAGTTATTTTCAGTAAATTGTATATATCATGACATTCCACCATTAAATACTTCAGTATGCATCTCTATAAAATAACATTTTCCCACTAATAA
This sequence comes from Homo sapiens, assembly GCF_000001405.40. NCBI lineage: Eukaryota > Metazoa > Chordata > Mammalia > Primates > Hominidae > Homo > Homo sapiens. Next base: position 107,881,254 of record NC_000002.12, read on the forward strand.
AAACATTATCATAGCTAACAAATCACTAACTAGCCCAGTAAACCTAAATGACTTATTTAAATGTTATATTTTCTTTTTTTTTTTGAGATAGTCTCGCTCTGTCACTAGGTTTGGAGTGCAGTGGTGCAATCTCAGCTCACTGCAATCTCCGCCTCCCAGGTTCAAGCGATTCCCCTGCCTCAGCCTCCCGAGTAGCTGAGACTGCAGGCACGCACCACCATGCCCGGCTAATTTTTTTTATTTTACTAGAGGCATGGTTTCACCATGTTGGCCAGGATGGTCTGAATCTCCTGACCTCGTGATCTGCCTGCCTCAGCCTCCCAAAGTGTTGGGATTACAGGCATGAGCCACCACGCCTGGCCAAATGTTATATTTTCATAAATTTATACTCTCTTCATGATTTCTTCGTCTTCTTTATTGTCACTTTTTTAAATGGTCCTAGGTTTGAGGACAAAGTTCGCTAACTTTCTTGCCTAACCTAAAATGAAAATATACTAAAAGCTATGGCTTGGTTTCAACCTGGAAATCTTCCTCAAAGACTTGAACATGATATTACCTTTTTTATATCATTCTTTGCCTCATTTCTCTGATAGTGTTTTACATTGTCTTATATTCCTGAATTTTCACTGTGTCTGAACTTTTGATTAAGTGCCGTTCACTGTGGACGTCTTAACTGCCTGGGACTTCAGGAACAGCGTAGGGGCAGGGGGTTAGTGGAGGCTACCAATGTTCCCCTCAGCCCATTTTCAGAGCCCCATGCCATACTGGCTTAGTTTCTATCGAAAGTAGAAGGCAGAGGGAACATCTTGGTACCAACCCATGGCTCCAGTTATTTGCTCCTCATGGAGACGTTCCATCAGTTCCCCAGCTTTCAACTCCAATTTCCATGATACCCTGTGCTTCTGAGACAAGAACTCCAGTATTTACACAGGATGCATCCTCTCCTCTTGTCAGTGATACTTGGTAAGCTGCTGGACTGACTCATTTCCACCTCTTCATCTGTTTCTCGTGAGAATTTCTTGATGTGTCTCATCTACTTTTTCTCCTCTTGTATTAGCTTGTTGCCTTTCTACTTCACCCCTCTTCCTTCCAACCCAAATAGCTTAGGACAGTGGAGTCCTATAGCCCAACACTTGGTTCATATGCAGCAATCCACTTTCTAGGCAAATGCAGCTTTGAAACTATCTCATAGTTGGAGTTCCGGTTTTCATGTCAAATGGATTTTATACGGTGATGTCATAAACTCCTTTGAAATGCTTCACATGCAGCTGCTGTAGTTAACTGAATTCCTTCCTTTATTGCCATATGGAGGGAAGGGGGAAATTTGGGGGGAAGAGAAGAAAAATACATGAGTTCAGTCTGCCATATTTAATCAGAAGCTCCTAAAGCCCATTTTTAACTCATTTCTCTAACACCAGCTTCTCAAAAGTGAAATAAGAAGATTGGAAAGGAATCAAGAGCAAGAGGAGTCTGCAGCTAACGTGGAACACTTGAAGAACGTCTTGCTGCAGTTCATTTTCTTGAAGCCAGGTAGTGAAAGAGAGAGACTTCTTCCTGTTATAAATACGATGTTGCAGCTCAGCCCTGAAGAAAAGGGAAAACTTGCTGCGGTTGCTCAAGGTGGGTAAAAGGAGAGTCTCAGAACTTCTGACTTCTAACTTAAACTAAACAGCCTGGTGGTTGAGAAGTTGTCTGTATGTGTAACTTTTCAATTTTGCTCATTTGAATTGGGTCTGTCATATGAGTAGGCCGTGACTAGATTTGAAAAGCTGACTTTTTAACATCTTGGGGCAACTGTAGTACATTTATATAATTTTAACGTTCAGCAAAATACAATAAGTGCTTAGCTTGATCTTCTAGCTCTTTGAAAATTGGATTTTTATCCTGGTGTTGCGTTCTGGTGTTCAGCTGAACGTGGTTTTGTTTTAAATTCTACTTTTTAAAAAACATTTATTAGCTTGTTCCTTTTCTACTTCACCCCTCTTCCTTCCTCCAACCCCAAATAGCCTAAGACAATGGAGTCATATAGCCCAACACTTGGTCTATATACAGCAGTCCACTTTCTAGGCAAATGCAGTTTTAAAACTGTGCCATAGGCCAGGCGCTGGTGGTTCATGCCTATAATCCCACCACTTTGGGAGGCCGAGGCAGGCGGATCACAAGATCAAGATACTGAGACCATCCTGGCCAACATGGTGAAATCTCGTCTCTACTAAAAATACAAAAATTAGCTGGACGTGGTGGCATGCGCCTGTAGTCCCAGCTACTCAGGAGGCTGAGGCAGGAGAGTCACTTGAACTCACGAGGCGGAGGTTGCAGTGATCTGTCACACCACTGTACTCCAGCCTGACGGCAGAGCGAGACTCCATCTCAAAAAAAAAAAAAACAAAAACAAAAAACTATGATGTAGTTAGAGTTGGTTTCCATGTCAGATGGATTTAATACTGTGATGTCATTAACTTCTTTGAAATGCTTCATATACAACTGCTATAGTTAACTGAATTCAAGCTGTATCTTAAGAATTATGGTTTCATTTTTGTTTTAGTTTTAAATTACTTTTATTTTTGACATTTACAAGCACAAGGAAGGCGCTATAATCTCTCTTGAGTTGTCACCCATCTCTAACAGTTTTCAACTCATGGACAATCTTTTGGCATAAATAGGGGAGAGTTAGAGACTTAAATCCCACACATCATTTCTTTCCCCAGTGAATAATTCAATGTTTATTGAATTTCTCTGTCACCTATACCTAGTTTATGTTCATTTTGCCTGTGTTATTGTGAATGTCTTTTTATAGTATCCTAAATAGGGCTCATATATTGCATTTGGTTGATGTTCCTTAAGCTTTATTTTGTTGTTGTGTTTTTGTTTGTTTGAGATGTAGTGTTGCTCTGTCACCCTGGCTGGAGTGCAGTGGTCCGATCATGGCTCACTGCAACCTCCGCCTCCCGGATTCAAGCGATTCTCCTGCCTCGGCCTCCCAAGTAGCTGGGACTACAGATGCACGCCAGCTAATTTTTCTATTTTTAGTAGAGACGAGGTTTCACCATGTTGGCCAGGATGGTCTCAATCTCCTGACCTTGTGATCTGCCCACCTTGGCCTCCCAAAGTGCTGGGATTACAGGTGTGAGACACCACGCCCGGCCATTTTGTTGTTTTTTTATCTATAACAATTATATATATAAATATATTTTTAATGTGCCACTTATTAATTGAAGAAAGTGGTCATTTATGCTATAGCAGTTCTATATTTGGGTTTTAATCATTACAGGGTAACACTGAGCTTGTTCCAATTGCCTATAAATAGGAAGATCCAGGTGCAATTAGGTGGGATGGTGGACAAAAATACATCATAGATGGTATTGTGTGCTTTCTAAGACATCAGGAGGCCCAGAATGTCCAGACATCTTACTTTTGACTGATTGACCTTATCTAGTTGGTGTTCTTTAACATGTTCCCCATCCCCTGTAAACCCTAATAACTAAACTGATAAGAGTCATCCTCAAAATTGAGCAGGCATCTGAATCATCTGGTATACTTACTAAAATTCCAATTGCTGGTCCCCAATTTCTGACCCAAGATTCTGCATTTTTAGCAATTTGTTGCTGATACTTCTGGTCTGGGGCCCATACCTTGAAAACCCCTGGTCTAGAGGCCTGATAAGATTCAGGCTTAATTTTTTTTACAGACATACTTCATAAGTAGTATTGATAGTTTCTTTGAATCTGGTTTTTTATAATCTTTCTAATGATGAAGGAGGAATGTTCTCAATACTGACAGTAATCTCAGTTCTTCAAACTACAGGATAGGTTTCTATAGCCACAATAGTATTTTTGTCACAAGGGCCCAAATAAGAATACATCATGTATATTTTTAGTAGTTATTCAGATTACAAATTCACTGTCTTTAATTTATTCTAACAAAAGTAAACCTAATTTTATAGTTATAAAAAAGAAGAAATCTACTTCTAGTCACCTAAGAGTAAAACTGCCCCTATAAAAAACAAGACAGAAATCTCAAAATTATAACTAATTTTATAGTTATAAAATTAACCAGGACTTTAAGAACGTTTGCATTTTAAAATTAAAGTTTTCAATAGTTTTCAATACAACAATGATATTATCTCAAAATACTGAGCATGTCTAACAGCCCTCTTTTAAAAGCTCAGCATGTTTAATGTAGATGTTGCTAATGTCCAGGTGGCTCCTATAAGTTAAGGGTCCATTGATTTAGAAGTTCTAAAAGAGACTAACCTAAGGGATACCAAGAACAGATATTTTTAAAGAATTTCATAGAGGAGATACACATTGGAAACCCAGAACTCTAAGATGTGCATTTGGTAAGTCCTGTAAACAGACAGGAAAACACATTTAAATTAGTTTGCCCTTTAAAGATTATTTACTACTTGTCTCTTATCAATGTGAGTACATAAAAGAGACCTTATTACAATTAAAAACAATGATGGTTTAGCAGCAGATTTAGATACCTTACATTCTCTCTTTAAGAGAGAGAATGTAAGGCCTGGCACGGTGGCTCACACCTGTAATCCAGCACTTTGGGAGGCTGAGGAGGGTAGATCACCTGAGGTCAGGAGTTCAAGACCAGCCTGGCCAACATGGTGAAACCCCGTCTCTACTCAGAATACAAAAATTAGCTGGGCGTGGTGGTGCATGCCTGTAATCCCAGCTACTTGGGAGGCTGAGGTAGGAGAACTGCTTGAACCCAGGAGGCAGAGGTTGCAGTGAGCCGAGATGGTGCCATTGCACTCCAGCCCGAGCAACAAGATCAAAACTCTTATCTCAAAAAAAAAAAAAAAAGTAAACTACAAGATAGTTCAAAAGAAATTACACAGAATTCAGCATGGGAGAAACAAAAAACAAGAGTGGGAAAAGACATCAAACATGTTTTTACTAATCGAAGTTCTAAAAGGAGAGACAAGAATACAGCACAGATAATATATGAAGAGAATGGCTGGAAATCTTTCAGAACTGTTGAAGGATATCTATCCACAGATTCAAAAACCCAATAAAATCTCAAGCAGTATTAAAAAAAAAAAGAAGAAATCTACTTCTAGTCACATAAGAGTAAAACTGCCCCTAAAAAAGACAGACAGAAATCTCAAAAGCAGCCAGAGAAAGAAGACACATTGCCTCACAATAGACTTCTCAACAGCATTGGTGTAATACTATCTCATGTACTAAAAGAAATAACTGCCAACCTTTTATATTTTCCAAGATCTCTTCTGGAAAACAAAAACTTTAAGAATCTGCCTTCACTGAAAATTCTTAATGATGTACTTCAAGCAAAAAGAAAATTTCCTAGGTAAAAGGTCTAAGATGCCAGAAAGAAAGACATGCAAAGGAAACTTACCACCATATTACAGATATGGACTGTCAGTCTGACTGGTCACACTAGGGGGGCATTTTGTTACCAAGGCCTTGAAAATAATAACCAACACTGCATACATGAGGGATGCTAGAAGAAAGGTCTGAGAGCCACTCTTCCTGGCACTGAAGGAAACAGGGCCCATCAGAGCAAACAAGTACCTTTTACCTCTCTCATCTCCTTGGAAGCAAATGTTTATAATCTCTGGTTTTGTGTAAAGTTTATAATAGTATTTTTCATTCAGGTTGCTACCTATTAGTGGATGGTGAAATTAATTTGGTGGATCACATTCAGAATATTTTTTTAAAATCAAAAGAATACAAGCTGGGCTCAGTGACTCACACCTGTAAGCCCAACAGTTTGAGAAGACCAGGCAGGAGGATTGCTTGAGAACAGGAGTTCAGAATCAGCCTGGGCAACATGGCGAGACCCTATGTCTACAAAAATTTTAAAATATGCCAGTTCTGGTGGCATGTGCCCATAGTCCTAGCTACTCGGGAGGCTAAGGCAGCAGGATTCTTTGTTATAAGGAGTTCGAGGCTGCAGTCGAACTTCTGGTCGAAATCCTGGTCACGCCACTGCATTTCAGCCTGGGCAACAGAGTAAAACCCCATCTTTAAAAAAAATTAAGAAATAAAAATAATATGTGAAACATTAGAATATGTTGAATCTAGTAAGGCTAATGTTGAATCTAGTAAGGATAAGCAATTATTTCTTGACACTCTACATATATACATGAGTGTTGGTAAATACCTGACTGTATCATCAGCTCTAGATATAAAATGTTTATGATGTTGGCTGTGAGTTAATGATGAATAGTTTTCCTTTCTGTGGGTTTGGGTGTATTTGGGAAACATTAGCTTAGGGGGTAAAGTAGGTTACCCAACTCTGAAAAGCAGCATCAAAATCTTTATAATAAACACATACTAGGGGCCCAACTTAAATTTCAAGCAGATGTCATGAGCTGCTCAGAGTAGCGTGTTACAACTCTGCGTTATAAGGTAAAATGACTTAGAGTGTAGCAGTAGTCCCCAAACAATGTCAAATAGACAGTGGTAAGTATAGATTGCTCTTCTCCTTGCATCACAAATGTTAATTCACCCTGCCCCCACACGCATTAAAACTCAGCATATTTCACAAATTGAGTGTTTCATTTCTATTTGAGATAGACTTATGGTAAGTCAGCTTTGCTCCCCAAATAAGTTAGCCATATAGTACTTCTATATGCAAAATTTGAATCTCAATTTTACTACTCAAGCCGGAAGTAAAAGTCATTTTTCTATATCTTCTTTGCTCCCAGACTGGGTTACAGTTTACAGATCTGAATATTGTCACTTGTACACCATACATACACAGAGGTCTAAAACTCTCTACAAGTAAATAAAGAAAAAAAGCCCAGCAACCCAATAGGAAAATAGGCCAAGCCTGTTATAGGCTTTTTGATCATCTCCAGACTGGCAGGAAGAGAATGCATACTCACACTGTAAGTGCCTGATTTGATTTGCAGAGGATATAGAACCTTATCAGAAAACAACCTTCCAAGGCAAGAGCAAATGCACCCTATCTAAGCACAGCTTTTCTCCAATTCTTATTTACCTAAGGAGATGAATAGTTACCAGGAACATTGTTTGCACAAGGGCAGGAGCCTGCCAGATCTGAGAACACAGCAAAATTTTTATTTTGTCAAAAATCTTATATTCAGCTTACACCATTCATTGCAGGTGAACATACAACAGTGCATTTCAGTTTAGGGAAATGTTTACAGTCATCTGGTTCTCTTTATTCCTGGGAACAAGGTTACCTCACTTGGAACACATAACCAGTGCCAAGTTGTCCATCCCTAAGCAATATCGCTTCCTTCTACTTTCTAGAAGTTCTTCAGATTGTGGAAGAGAGACTTTTCAGAGTTCTTTGCCCTCATTCCCTCCTCCAGAAATTCATGCCTTTGTATAATCTCTTCCCCTTCAGAGCCAGTAGGCTAACCTAATGAGTTATTTTTAACCAGTAGAATACAGCAAAAATGATAGATTACAAGAGATTGTGGCTTCTATCTTGCTAGTGGACTCTCTCTGTCTTCTCTGCTTGCACACTTTGTTGAAGCAAGCTACCATCCCAGAGGCAAGGAACACAGGCCATCAGTTTAGCAGCCTTGAGGAACTAAACTCTTCCAACTACCACATAAGTTTGGAAGTAGATTCTCCAGTCCAGCCTTCAGATGAGACCCCAGCCATGCCAACATCTTGATTGCAGCCCTGTGAGAGACCTTGAAATAGAACCATTTCTGATCTCCTGACCCACAGAAACTGTGAAATAAATATGTGTTAAGGTACTAAGTTTGTAGTAATTTGTTACGCAGCAGATTGTAAATAACACGCAGATAAAACCAGACAGAACAGAAAAATAAAATGACTTTAACTCTAGAAAGTTTCCCCATGTAAAATTTTGAAAATGCTACTCTGCGTAAGGTCAAACTGTCATACATATATACGTATGAAAACACAGAATGGTGTCTGGAAGGGTAATGCCAAATTAAATCTTTATCCAAGAGGAATGAAAACCAGTATTCACACAAAATCCTATGCACAAACCTTGTGAATATATTAAAAACCAGTGAATTATGCACTTTAAAAAGGTGAATTATGTGGTATATGAATTATATCTCCAAAACATTTAATTAAAAACCTGTACACAATTATTCGTAGAAACTTTCTTTAAAATTGCTAAAAACGAGGAAGATCTCAGTTATCCTTCAACTGGCAAATGAATAAACAAACTGGTACAGCCATGCAATTGAATACTGCTCAGCAATAAAAAAGAATGCACTGCCAGTACAGCAACATGGATAATTCTCAAATGCATTATGCCAGTTGACAGAGGTCAGACTCAAAATACTATGTACAGTGTGATTCTACTTATATGACACTGAAAAAAGCAGAACTATAAGGACAGAAAACAGGTTAGCGGTTGCCAAGGAGTGGGAGAAGCAGCCAGGGAGAACTTTGAGGAGGTGAAAATGTGCCAGGCCTTGGTCGGTGGTGGTACGTAACTGTGCATTTGTCAAGACTCAGTGCTATACGCTGAAAAGGGCAGGTTTTACTATAAGTAAGTTGTACCTCAATAAACATGATTTTTAAATGATTAAAACTTTGGTTTTTGTTTGTTTTGGTTCAGTTTTAAGGTTTACCATAAATCTATTGGTTTTAGATTCTAAGTTGTATATAAGCTTCTGTTTTAAAAGAATTTTTTTTAAAATCCTCTTATCATCAACAATATTTAGTTGTGCTGGAAATTTTATTTTGGAATTGTTTAATAGAGAAAGACAATAAATAATGTTCAAGAACAGACATTGATTCATAACATCAAAGTATATTGTGAGAAGATGGTATTTCAGAATAGAGGAAGAATTTCTTATGTGCTGGTAAGATTGTAGATAATCATTTCTGCATAATTTTCATAGCTGGATTGCTTTAATAAAGCCATTTAAAGGTTAAGTTCTAGATTGCTTCATGTTGCTTATCAATGTTTTAAAGCTAAAATAGAAAATTAGCTGTTAAGTTGGCTCAACCGGAAATTCAGTATATCCTTTAAAAAGAGAAATTTAGTAAGCAGTGTGTCTAAAGAATGACATATGGTTGGGTACAGTGGCTCGTGACTGTAATCCCAACACTGTAAGGCTGAAGTGGGAGGATCACTTGAGCCCAGGAATTTGAGACCAGCCTGGAAAACAGTGAGACCTGCATCTCTACAAAAAAACAAAAAATTACCCAGGCATGGTGGCACACACCTTGTGGTCCCAGTTGCTTGGGAGGCTGAGGTGGGAGAATCACTTGAGCCTGGGAGATCAAGGCTGCACTGAAGTCTCATCACGCCACTGCACTCCAGCCTGGGTGACAGAGCAAGACCCTGTCTCAAAAAAAAAAAAAAAAAAAAAAAAAGAACCCCCCCCCCCCAACAAAAAAGGCATGTGATCAGTAAAAAAGACATTATTTGCTTATATTGTAGAGTGGTTCTAAAATATAGATTTTACATTGAGAAATTTTAATACTCTCTTTTTTCTTTTTTTTTTGTTTTACTTTCCAAAGGTGAGGAATAAAATGCTTCCCGTTCTTCTGGATGGGCATCCTATCTTCGTAGTTGGTTTGGACTTCGATAGGTTGATGGAAGGAATATTTTTATTAACCAAATAAAATCTATTTACAAAAATGGTTCATGTGTATTACCATCATTCTTTTGTCAAAAAGTGTGTATATGTTTGCATTTACATATATTTGTACATCTATATGACAGATGTATTTTAAAAGTTTCAACTTGAAGTAAAAGTACAACAGCTTGAAGTATTGATACCAGGCCACAGCCCTCTAACTCATGTGATCTCCCATGCATGCTGCCAGAATAAAACCACCAGGAATGAATTCACTCCCCACTTCTCTGGAACCTCAGGACCCGCCCATTTCTCGGCAGTACTGTGAATTTTGAAGTTAAACTAAATTTTGGTACCATACCAACTGGAATTTAGGCTTTAAAAATAATGTTTCAAGGCCAGGTGTGGTGATTCATGCCTGAAATCCCACTACTTTGGGAGGCTGAGGCTGGAGAATCGTTTGAGGCTAGTGAGCTGTGATTGTACCACTGCACTCCAGCTCGGGGAACAGAGCGAGACCTTGTCTCTAAAAATAATAATAGTAATAAAAATAACATTTTATGACTATTTATTGCAAGGTCAGATTTACAGATTGTTATAAATTGTTGAGAAATTTTTGTGATTAGAATATGAAGGAAAAAGCTTTGTTGGTAAAAGTGACATGTTAAGGGGCTATGAAGTAAATATGCTGCAGTTAATTGTGCTAAGTTAAAATACAGTTTAGTTATTTGCTTTAAAATAAACTCTTCTTTTTTTCTTTAAAGTATACTATCTCAAAACTCATTATGTTGTCAGAGCCCTAGAGCTGGCTAATGTAACACTGACTATGAGTAGGTGGGCCCACCACTTGAGTTGAGGTGATTTCATGGTGTCTTTCCAGGCTCTTGATAGGGTGTCACTGCATGCAAGCCATGAATCTGTTTTGAGAATCCTCTCCATTTTCCCAAATAAAAACCTATCCCAACAGTGACTATATCACTCAGCATTGGATCTAAATATAAAAGTGGTGCTTTCAGTGTTTTTGGCAGATAGTGTTCCATAAGCTTTCCATCAGAAGGGATTTTAGACACCTTAGAGGTCCGTGCTACATCTTCACAGTTCCTCTGAATAACCTTAGGTGGTAGTGTTACTTGCCTTTGACACCTCTGCATATGTTTTAATGACTAGATCCAAACTGTGTTGTTCTTAAATCAAAAATTGGATAATTTTTAATATTTATGTATTAATCACATAGTATGCTCTCTGAAGTTCTCTTAAGCCTTCAGTTTATACTCTTAATTTTCTTTCTGAGCTGGGGAACTGACTTTGCACTTTGGTTACACAGAACATTGGTTTCCAATTTAGTTTAACTGAAATTTGCTGCTGATATGTTGAGTTTGTTCTTTAAAAAATATCTCATATGTCTCGTCTTTCCTCCTTAGAAGAACAGACCTAACTAGCGAATGTATGAATGAAAATGCATCTATTTCAGAGCCGACATGAAGAGTTTAGTTTTTTTACTTTATAAACTGTGAATATGAGTATGCCAGCTGCATTAGATGTAACTAATCATATTTAAATATATTTCACTTTCTCTTTGACTTGAGACCTTTTGAAGTCTGTATAAACTTGTTTTGAAATATAGTCTCCACTTACAAATGTCATAACAAAATACTTTTTTGCATGATAAAAAATTGATTACAAAAGGCATATTCTTTCATGGTTTCTGCAATGAGAGGAAGTGTAATGATTATTTTAATATTTCTATTAAATATGTTTAACTGTATATTTTTATGGCAGCTCTTTTATGTTACACACTGTCTCTTTGGGGTTGTTAATTGGTTTCTGAAAGGGAACTTCAAACTCCTTTACTACTGGCCTTCCATGGTTGGTCCCTATTAGGTTGTTGTGAGAACGTCGACCAACTCTTTGATACCCGCCACGTAGACCGTAGTACCTGCCATGTCTGACACCCTGCATCCAGCTAAAACCAGAAACAGCGCTGGGCCTCCCTGTGGACAAGACATTGATTTGACCAGAAGCAGATGTCTGGCTAAGGCTGCCAACCAAAGGGTGGCCTTAGATGAAGGGCTTTGTTCAGTTAGGGGCAGAGGTCATTAATTTTTTTTTTTTTTTTTTTGAGACAGAGTCTTGCTCTGTCGCCCAGGCGTGAGTGCAATGGCGCGATTTCGGGTCACTGCAAGCTCTGCCTCCCAGGTTCACGCCATTCTCCTGCCTCAGCCTCCTAAGTAGCTGGGACTACAGGCGCCCGCCACCATGCCCGGCTAATTTTTTGTATTTTTAGTAGAGACGGGGTTTCACCGTGTTAGCCAGGATGGTCTCGATCTCCTGGAGGTAATTAATTTCTTTGGATGTTTGGACTAGGAGATGGGGAGAGGCAGAGCAGAAAGAGAAACACAGATGCCGCAAGAAGGAGGAACAGAGCTAACCCTGGATAGGACTGGACACAGCAGCCAGACCAAGAGAGGCATCTAGTGAGAAGCAGCTCTTCAGCCCTGGGCCTGGTGCACACATCACTCCTTGGTTTCTAAGAACCAAATTTGGCCCAGCACAGTGGCTCATGCCTGTAATCCCAGCACCTTGGGAGGCCAAAGCGGGTAGATCATGAGGTCAAGAGATCGAGACCATCCTGGCCAACATGGTGAAACCCCGTCTCTACTAAAAACACACAAAAAATCAGCTGGGCATGGTGGTGTGCACCTGTAGTCCCAGCTACTTGGGAGGCTGAGGCAGGAGAATCACTTGAACCCGGGTGGCAGAGTCCAGTGAGCTGAGATCACACTACTGCACTCCAGCCTGGTGACAGAGTGAGACTCCGTCAAAAAAATAAATAAAAATAAAGCCAAATTCATACAGTCCCTGAGGAGTGGGAACTGATGCACATCTCTTGTATACAATAAGCTATGCTTGTGCTCTGAACAGTGTAAGATTGAGAATTGTATTCCTTTAAAGAAAGTTCAGCAGAACTGTAACTGAATTACTAACAAGGCACTGAGAAGGCATACCGTACTTTGTATTCTTTTTAAAGTCCCTGTTAGGTGGTGGTGTAGCTGGAAGTGTATAGTATTGAGGATGTAAAGTTTCCCCTAAAAAATTTTTGGTATTTGGCGAATGGCATAACACATCAAAAAATTGGTTGTATCACATGATTAAATTGCAACGTGATGATTTCAACTTGGTGGAAGACTTCTGCTTCGTCTTGGTATGTGAAAATCCCCTTTGCTTCAAACTTAATACACACCAAGGAAAACAACCTGATACAAGTTTGCAAGTGTCTTTGAGCTAATGGCTTTTCATGGGTATTAAAAAGCATTGAGTTATTTATGTATAATTACGTAGAAAGAAAATGTTTGTTCCATTCAAGATACGGTTACACGAAAAGGCATCTAGTTGTGACCTTCAAATTATTACTTATATACCTACAGAAAATTCCTATAAATAGTCTGGGTGCGATGGTTCACACCTGTCATCCCGGCACTTAGGGAGGCCAGGGTGGGCAGATCACCTGAGGTCAGGAGTCCAAGACCAGCCTGGCCAATATGGTGAAAACTTGTCTCTACGAAAAATACAAAAATTAGCCAGGCATGTTGGCCCATGCCTGTAGTCCCAGCTACTCAGCAGGCTGAGGTAGGAGAATCGCTTGAACTCGGGAGGGGAGGCTGCAGTGAGCCAAGATCACACACCACTGCACTCCAGCCTGGGCAACAAAGTGAGACCCCCATCTCAAATAAAGAAAGAAAATTCCTATGAAGAAACACTATACCTCTGAGTTTCAATAATATAGATGATTAACCCAGTTTCCCTGCAAGGATGTGCTCACTGTGAACAGATGTAGTGGTTACCACTCCAGATGTCTGCCTAGCATTTGAGACAACCTGTCACCCCTGCCTCTCTCTGGGAACTTTTGCCCCACCACCATACAGAGGGGCAGTAGGCCCAGCCATAATCAACTGAAACAGATACAGAGTTATGACCTGAGCCTAGGCAATTAGGTTTTCTCAGGAATATGGATCTGGGACTAAAGAACTCAGCATCTTCCTGTGACTGGAATTGTAGCATGTAAGTACAGAAGCTTTGGAGTGCCCAGAAAGAGCAGAGAAAGCCAGCCAAGAGAGTGCCAGGTTTAAGTTGACAGAAGAGGTCAACAAAATCGTGAAGTGAGTGTTCTGGGGACCTGAGAGTCAAGGGACTGGATTCTGTACAATGTCTCTGCATCATCATAGTAAACTTTCTACACATGCTTTGAAAGTAAATATCAGATAATTTGGAGCACAGTATAATGGTAAAGTATAAACTGTGAACTTACACAAGGACACCACAATTTCCGCCTCACTGACGAATAACTTGGGGCATGTTCTTGACTGCTCTGAGCCCCCATTTCTTTATCTGTAAAAAGGAAATAAATTACATAGTTGTGAGTTATTGGACGACATAAAACCCAGCACAGAGGGCTGGGCGCGGTGGCTCACGCCTGTAATCCCAGCACTTTGGGAGGCCAAGGTGGGCGTATCACAAGGTCAGGAGATCGGGAGCATCCTGGCTAACACGGTGAAACCCCGTCTCTACTAAAAATACAAAAAATCAGCCAGGCATGGTGGCGGATGCCTGTAGTCCCAGCTACTTGGGAGGCTGAGGCAGAAGAGCAGAAGAATGGCGTGAACCCAGGAGGTGGAGCTTGCAGTGAGCCGAGATTGCGCCACTGCACTCCAGCCTGGGCGATAGAGCAAGACCCCATCTCAAAAAAAAAAAAAAAAAAAAAAACCCAGCACAGAGTAGGCATGCCAGCATTCTCTCACTTCTCAGCCTGCAAAAAGATTTACCAATTTACCTCATTTTCTTCTGTTCCTTGTTCTGACCTCAGTGCATGACCCATAGCACCAAGTGTTACTGTCGTTTATGAGTGAACAATTGTGTTAATAAGGAAATAAATTGAATGTTTTCCAGCATTTTGACCTTATTTTTTAAAACTTTGTACCTCCCAGAGCTGGGAAGAGATTCCAGATTTCCAGACTTAGTCCAGAGTCATGACTAATGCTGGACTTCGTCTATAGCTCTTATTGAAATGTCAGAAAACATTTTTTGCCCCAAAAACTATTAACTGATAAATTTATAGCATCAAACTGCATTTTTTAAAGGAGGCTTTTTGTTTTTTCTTTTTTGAGAGAGAGAGTCTTGCTCTGTCGCCCAGGCTGGAGTGCCTTGGCATAGTCTCAGTTCTCTGCAATCTCTGCCTCCCGGTCTCAGGTGATTCTCCTGCCTCAGCCTCCCAAGTAGCTGGGACTACAGGTGTGTACCACCACATCCGGCTGATTTTTGTTTGTTTGTTTTTGGTAGAGACGAGGTTTTGCCATGTTACCTAGGCTGATCTTGAACTCCTGGACTCAAGTGATCCACCCACCTTGGCTTCCCAAAGTGCTGAGATTTCAGGTGTGAGCCACCACACCTGGCCAAAAGAGACTTTTTTTTTTTTTTTTTTTTTTTGAGACGAGTGTCGCTCTGTTGCCAGGCTGGAGTACAGTGGCATGGTCTCAGCTCACTGCAACCTCCACCTCCTGGGTTCAAGTGATTCCCCTGCCTCAGCCTCCCGAGTAGCTGGGACTACAGGCACGCGCCACCACGCCCGGCTAATTTTTTGTATTTTTAGTAGAGATGGAGTTTCACTGTGTTAGCCAGGATGGTCTCGATCTCCTGACCTCGTGATCTGCCCACCTTGGCCTCCCAAAGTGCTGGGATTACAGGCGTGAGCCACCGCGCCCAGCCCATGCCTGGCTAATTTTTTTTTTTTTTTTTTTTTTTTTTTTGGATTTTAGTAGAGACAAGTTTTCACCATGTTGCCCAGCTGGTCTTGAACTCCTGAGTGCAGGCAATCCACCCACCTCACCCTCCCAAAGTGCTAGGATTACAGGTATTTGGTTTTTTGTTTGGTTTTCAAGCAACCTTTCTCAATTTTGCTATGCTCACTCTTTCTTCACATGTTGGTACTGGCTAGATACAGATTTTGCTTTCCTATTGGAGACTCTTTTGAGAGCTGGCTATTCCCTCTTGCTCCTTTTCTTTTTTCTCTTCCCTACTTTCAAGTTTCTTGCTCTTTTTCTTACCCCATAAGTTACCAGAAATTCATACCCCCTTGAGAGGGCTTTTTGTTTGAACTTGTCTTTAGTTTCATCAACTTTTCTAAGGAAATTGATCTGTTAATGAAAGTTGGCTTGCTTGACTTCAGAATATCTGTATTATTCAGTGATATGTGTTTTTCTGGTTGCTTTGTTTGAGCATAGTGTAAATATCACCCATTGCATAGCTATGGCAGTGACATAAATCTAGCAGCGTAAGATAGAGAAAAGCTAGAAGTCCCACCACAGATTGTATTTCAGTGAAAGGGATTCATTTTAACTGCTTATAAAACTAAAGAAAACTTATAAACATGGAAAACAATTATTAAACCCACCATATGCTCATACTGATATTAAATGGTGTGCCGGATTCTAGAAAGAGTTACCTTTTGGTAAGAGCACTGCATGTTAACTATGGTTGGTTGCTTTAGATGTCTAGTGTGTACACAAAAGCATGAATTTTATTCCTTATAACCAAAGTAGAAACCTACTCTGAGCAATTTGACAAAAGGTTTACATTATTTATTTTAGTGTAGTTTAAGATTACAGTAAGATGCAATTCCCAAAGAGTGAAATATAAGGCTGGGCGTGGTGGATCACACCTGTAATCCTAACACTTTGGGAGGCTGAGGCGGGTGGAGCACCTGAGATCAGGAGTTCGAGACCAGCCTGGCCAACATGATGAAACCCCATCTCTACTAAAAATACAACAATTAGCCAGACGTGGTGGTGCCCACCTGTAATCCCAGCTACTAGGGAGGCTGAGGCAGGAGAATCCCTTGAACCTGGGGGGGTGGAGGCTGGAGTGAGCTGAGATCATGCCATTGCACTCCAGCCTGGGCACACTCTCAAAAAAAAAAAAGTGCAATATAACTTTTCACAAAATATGGAACTGTGGTAGTCTAGAACAATGTCTCAATATACCTCCTACACGAAGTATAATAGTAAATATCTGTATTTGGTGGCATAATATGCTCTTAGTATAAACCAAAAACATATGCTGAGCATTGGACATTGTCCAATGTTTAATTCATATGATTCATTCTGAGTTTCTGACTGAGATCATTCTTTCAGACTATGTGTATTTTTCCTGGGATCCATAAAATATGCAGCCCTAACATGATTTCATTTTTGTTTCCTTTCCTGGAAAAGGAGAAATCATTCAGATCAGCTTTCATATTGCCTTATAGACGATGACTTCAAAATAGTTTTAAAGGGACTCCTTTGTTCTAGAACTGCTCTAACACAGTATCCACTAGCCACATGTGGCTATTGAAAGATTGAAATGTGGTTATTCCAAATCAGGATGTACAGTAAATATAAAATACCCACCAGATTTCAAAGGCTTACATGAAAAAAGTAATGTGAAATATCTCACTAGTAGTTTTTATAGTGATTACATGTTGAAATTTTAACATTGTGAACATATTAGTTTAAATAAAATGTATTGTGAAAATTAATTTCACGTTTCTATTTACTTTTGATAAAAGTACTACTAGAGGCTGGGTGTGGTGGCTCACTCCTGTAATCCCAGCACTTTGGGAGGCTGAGGTGGGAGGATCACGAGGTCAGGAGACCGAGACCATCCTGGCTAACACGGTGAAACCCCGTCTCTACTAAAAACACAAAAAATTAGCCAGGCGTGTTGGCAGGCGCCTGTAGTCCCAGCTACTAGGGAGGCTGAGGCAGGAGAATGGCGCGAACCTGGGAGGCGGAGCTTGCAGTGAGCTGAGATCGTGCCACTGCACTCCAGCCTGGGCTTCAGAGCGAGACTCCGTCTCAGAAAAAAAAAACACTACTAGCACATTTTTAAATTACTTGTAGTGATCTCATTTGTACCACATTACATTTCAATCGTATACTGCTTTTCTAAAGAGTCACTGCTAAGCCCTGAAATTAACTCCAAATACCTCCCTGGAATACAGTGCCAAGGCAGGGGCTTCCTTGAACTTCAACCTCTAAAACTAAGCAAGAATTGAGAAATATCTTCTGCTTTGAAAAATATTCACTCCCCAACGCTAATACATCAATTACATATTATTTGGGGGCTAACTAAGCTCCTATTTTAAAATGTAAATTGAAGAAATTAGGCCAGAGTCATTCCCATCTTAGTGCCAATCATATAATCAGATAATTAGATTGCTCTTTCCTTAAAGCCTGTTTAGTTTTTTTGTTTGCTGGTTTTGTTGTTGTTGGGTTTTTAAATTTGTTTTTGTTTTTGTTGTTGTTGTTGTTTTGAGATGGATACTCACTGTGTCACCCAGGCTAGAGTGCAGCGGCATGATCTCTGCTCAGTGCAACCTCCAACTCCTGGGTTCAAGCGATTCTCCTGCCTCAGCCTCCTGAGTAGCTGGGACTGTAGGTGCATGCCACCACGCCCATCTAATTTTTTTGTTTTTTGGTTTTTTTGTTTGTTTTGAGACAGTCTCGCTGTTTCCCAGGCTGGAGTGCAGTGGCACGATCTCGGCTCACTGCAACCTCCACTTCTGAGGTTCAAGAGATTCTCCTGCCTCAGCCTCCCAAGTAGCTGGGACTACAGGTGCATGGCATTATGCCTGGCTAATTTTTTGTATTTTTAGCAGAGATGGGGTTTTGCCATGCTGGCAAAACTGGTCTCAAACTTCTGGCCTCAGGTGATCCAGCCGTCTCAGATCAAAGTGCTGGGATTACAGGCATGATCCACCATTCACAGCTCGCTAAGGCCTTTTGCCAAGACAAATTAGCTCTTAGAGAACCACAGGATTCCTTTTGTAATGTATTACAAACTAAAGTCTTACCTACTCTTGAAGAGTAGAAAACATGAAAAAGTTCTATGTTAGCCCTTAGAATAATTAAAAATTCATAAGCTCTGAAATAAAGACAGGTAATAAAATCATTGCATATGACAAAACAAAAGTTTAAATTGGCGTTTGTAAACTCTGCATGAAAGCCAGGTTTCTCACTACTAGAAAAAGAAAAAAAGTTATAAATAAGCCAAAGAGAATTCCAGAATGAATCCTGTGGTGCCAAATATATGTTAACTACAAGGAATAACAGTGACCTTACACTGGAAACACCTTAACCATGGGCCAAGGTTAAAGATATAACAGCATTCTCACACCCCTTGCACAGCTACCCCCAATGTTAACATAACTGTTAACAAATTATCAAAACTAAGAAATTCGTCTTGGTATAGTATCACTAACTACACTCCAGACCTCAGTCAGGTTTTCCCAGTCTTTCCTTCAGTGTCCTTCCTCTGTTTCAGGATTCAATCCATGATCCTTGACACTTGGTACTTTGTCAGATGTCCCGCTGTATGGGTTTGTTTGATGTTTTCCCATGATTAGGGATAGACACTGCAAGACTCAGAGCTACTTTACAAAGAAGCCTCTAGGGAGCTCCCCAGAGAAGACAGGGGAGACAACACAGGGACACTAGAGGAAATTTTAGCCTCTGACATCCATGACTATATAGCAAAGAGTAAACAAAGCCTAACTCCTAGCCAGAGAAACACAAAATCTCATACTAAAGCCTTATTTAACTCAGTTCCTTTCACCCAGTACATCATATACAGCCTCAAACAAAAAATTACAAAGCATACTAAAAGACAAGAAACCCCACACTTTGAAGAGATAAAGCAAGCATCAGAACCAGACTCAGATATGAAAGAAATATTGGAAGTATCCAACCAGGAATTTAAAATAACTAAGATTAACATGCTAGGGGCTCTAATGTAAAAATGGCATAACATGCAAGAACAGATGGGTAATGTAAGCAAAGAGATAAAAACACTAAGAAGAAATAAAAATGAAATACTAGAAATAAAAAACACCATAACAGAAATGAAGAATGCCTTTGATGGGTTCATCAAAAGAATGGATATGGCCAATGAAAGAATCAGTGAGCTCAAAGAGATGCCAATAGATACTTCAAAAGCTGACACACAATGAGAAAAAAGAATGAAAAAGAAAAAACAGAACAAGAGTCAAGAACTGTGAGACAATTACAAAAGGTGGAACATGGAGACTTTTTGGAAATACCAGAAAGAGAAGAAAAAGAGAAAGAAAGCCAGGCGTGGTGGCTTACACCTATAATCCCAGCAATTTGGGAGGCCGAGGCGGGCAGATCGCAAGGTCAGGAGATCGAGACCATCCTGGCTAACACGGTGAAACCCTGTCTCTACTAAAAATACAAAAAATTAGCAGGGCGTGGTGGCAGGCGCCTGTAGTCCCAGCTACTTGGGAGACTGAGGCAGGAGAATGGCGTGAACCTGGGAGGAGGAGCTTGCAGTGAGCTGAGATCATGCCACTGCACTCCAGCCTGGGCAACAGAACAAGACTCTGTCTCAAAAAAAAAAAAAAAAAAAAAGAGAAAGAAACAGAAGAAACATTTGAAGCAACAGTGACTGAAAATTTCCCCAAATTCATGATAGATAAAGCTATGGTCTGAATGTTTGTGTCTCCTCAAAAGTTATATTGAAACTTAATCCTCAATGTGATAGTACTGAGGTGGGGCTTTTGGGAGTCAATCAGGTTACGAGGGCTCTACCCTCAGGACAGAGATTAGTGCACTTATGAAAGAAGCCCCAGGGAATTAGCTAGCCCCTGACACCATGTGAGGACAAAGCCAGAATGTGTCATCTATGAGGAAGCAGGGCCTCACCAGACACTGCTAGTGCCTTGGTCTTGAACATCACAGCCCCTAGAACGGTGAGAAATAAATTTCTGTTGTTTATAAACTCTCCAGTTTATGATATTTTTGTCACAGCAGCCCAAATGAACTAAGGTAGACATAAAGGAACAGATCCAGGAAGCTCAAAATACATCATTTCAATAATGATCTTTAAAACTTTGTTTGAAATTATACTCATCATTCTGCTGACTGCTGAATGACCTGGCACCGTCTCAGGGTTTTAGTCTGGAGTTTTTGTTTATGCTCATGGCCTCACGGAGAACAATATTCACCTGAAGTGATGGTGCTTCTCTTTTTATGTTGTTGAGAAGCATGATTGGCTCTTTTTTTGCAAAATTATTCACAAACTTAAACTTTGATTCAGAATTATTGAAGTAACATGGTGAGGCAGAGTAATATGTGACTTAAATTTTATGGAGTACTAAGGAAAATGGGCAGACTTAATATAAAAGTGATGCATTGGTGGTGCTTAAGGGCAAATACCGATAACATGGTGTACAAATAAAGGAGCCCGATGATTCAAACAGGTGGAAGTGATGGGAGAACTGAGTTGTCACACAGTACCATATCCACACTGTCACACACATCTCACCTTTATTTATTCCCTTTTGCACTAACGTAGCCAGAAATGTGAAACGATGACAGTTTTTTCAGTAGGAATTTTTTTTTTAGTTTTTAGCATTGACCTTTGAGGTGCACTATTAAATTGCTCAGTCCATTAAAATAACGGATTGCTGATTTAAAAACTGGTTCCTTGCTTAGCTTCAGCAAAACAGCAAAGTCTACCACATTAAATGTATATTGTTTATTTGATTTTTATTGACTTTGTTGTTTTATTTTAACTACTTAATTGCAAATCTGTCTTGGGGTTAACACTGTGTAAGAGTTTTAAGCATAAGAAGTTTGTACTTAGAGTTTAGATGTAGTTTTATATTTGTACATGTTGATGTAACATTTTAATAATAATAATAATTCAGGTCTGCTGGGCATGGTGGCTCACGCCTGTAATCCCAGCACTTTGGGAGGCTGAGGCGGGTGGCTCACCTGAGGTCGAGAGTTCAAGACCAGCCTGGCCAACATGGAGAAACCCTGTCTCTACTAAAAATGTAAAATTAGCCAGGCATGGTGGCACATGCATGTAATTCCAGCTACTTGGGAGGCTGAGGTAGGAGAATCGCTTGAACCCGGAGGCGGAGGTTGTGGTGAGCCGAGATCGCACCATTGCACTCTAGCCTGGGCAATGAGAGCAAAATTCTGTCTCAGAAAAAAAAAAATCAGGTTAATTCTGGGATCTGAGCAAAGTTTTGCTCCTTTCCGAGAGGTGAACACGTTACGCAATTATTAATAATATCCCTGTGGGAAGGGGCTTTACAACAAATTATTTTACAGGTGAAGAGCAGAAATGAAAACATTTTCTAGAGCCACTCCTGCCCTTCACACTCAGGAATGTCGCAGTAGTCATATCTCTGTTCTGGATCAGTAGTATAGCACCAGGGCCCCTGCGCATCGTTGTCTGGATTCCTCCAGTCCCTCTGAGGGGTGTGTAGCAGGTGAGAATCTGGAGAGGATGGAAGAGAAGCACTTAGACTATATTCTAAAAATCAGCTCAATCATGTTTAACTTCATGTTAAATTCATGTTTAACTTTTTAAGAAATCACCGAACTGTTTTCCAAATAGCCTGTATCATTTTATATTCCCACCAGCAAAATATGAAGGTTAATGTCTCTTTATCCTTGACAGGATTGGATATCATCACACTCTTTGATTGTAGCTATTTTCCAGTGGTTGTGAAGTGGCTTTAATTTGCTTTTCTCTAATGCATTCTGATGTTGATCATCTCATGAAGTTATTAGCCATTCATTTATCTTCTTAGGAAAAATATCTATTCAGATCTTTTGCCCATTTATTTACCTTCATATTTTGAAATACGATAGATCACAGGAAGTTACAAAATAGTAAATAAGTCCTGTGTACCTTGCATTCTTTTTCCCTCACAGGTAACCTCTTATATAACTATAATACATTATCATAACCAGGAAATAGATGATCTACACACGTTATTTCAAATTTCATCAATTTGACATGTACTCATTTATGTGTATGTATGGTTCTATGCAGTTTTTTCACATATGTAGATGTGTGTAAATACCACCACAATCAAGATACAAAACATCTTTATCTGTCTTACGTTAACTCCTTATAGTCACATACACCATTACCCACTGATGCTGGTAACCACTAATTCTCCATCTTGATAATTTGGCATTTGTGAAGGTTTTATAAATGGTCTCATACAGTATGTAAACTTTTGAGATTGTCTTTTTCTGTTCAGCATAATACTTTTAATACCCATACAGGTTATTGCATGTATCAAGTTTCTTTTTTATTTTATTATTTAGCTGTGTAAAGTTTCAAGAGAGTAATGATAAAACCCAGCTCATCTTTGATTCAGTGACCAACATACCAGCAAAGGATGCAGCACCAGTGGAGGTAATGTAGGCACATTTGAGAAGTTGACAATTACGCTTCATCAGATTTTTCAGTCAAAAAATCTGTTAATTTGCTCAGATTGGGAAATAAATTTTTTGTCTTTTTTTTTTTTTTTTTTAAGAAAATAGACACCATGCTGGTCTTGGAAGGCAGTGGAAACCTGGTGCTATACACAGGAGTGGTTCGGGTAAGCAATAAGTAGCACTTCATGCCTTTAGTAGGACTTCAGGCTGCCTGCATGAATATTCGTAATGTTACTTTAGATTGATATTTTAAATTTGTTATGTTCCTGTCTGCACAATTTGGCAGAAGAATTTTGTTAATAATTCTCAGTGAAGCTTCCCATTTAGGTGGGTCCTAATATGGAGGGCTATGGCTCACTGCTATTAAATGCATTGGTACTCTAAACCTGTCACAGATGGGAAACCTTCAATGAGTATAGTTAGATTTTTTTTTTTAAAGTTAAACTAGTTTTGAAATTGAAGCATGGGTCCCTTTGGTAAGTACTAAAGTTTTGGTAAAGTTTCACTATATTAAATGTGGTATATGTTAGCTGTATTTTTTTTTTTTTTTTTGAGATGGAGTCTCACTCTGTTGCCCAGGGTGATGTCGGCTCACTGCAAGCTCCGCCTCCCGGGTTCACACTATTTTCCTGCCTCAGCCTCCCGGGTAGCTGGGACTACAGGCGCCCGCCACCAAGCCTGGCTAATTTTTTGTATTTTTAGTAGAGATGGGGTTTCACCATGCTGGCCAGGCTGGTCTCGACCTCCTGACCTCGTGATCCACCCGCCTTGGCCTCCCAAAATGCTGGGATTACGGGCATTAGCCACCGCGCCCGGCCTATTTGAACGTTCTTATGCCTGTTACAAGTGCAGCAGCGGAATCTCCACACATCTTGCGTGCGAAAGTTTCCTGTAGTTCCTTTAGCATGGAGAGGCTGGGGAAGGTTACAGACTGATTTGTACTCTTTAGACATATAGTTGATCATTGAACAACACACGTCTGAACTGTTACACACAGATTTTTTTTCAATAAATGTGTTAGAAAATGTTTTGGAGTTTTGCAACAATTTGAAAAAACTCAAAGACAAACCATGCAGCTAGAAATATTAACAAAAATAGAAAAAGTTAAGTATGTCATGAATGCATAAAATGTATGTAGATACCTAGTCTATTTTATTATTTACTGCCATAAAATATAACAAAACTATTGCAAAAGTTAAAATTTAGTAAAGCTTATGTACACACTCACAGATCGTATATGGTGCTATTCTCAGTTGAGAGAAGTGTATACAAACATCAAGATGCAGTATTAAATTGTAACTGCATAAATTTAACCGTAGTGCATACCACAGTACGGTAATAATTTCATAGCCTCCTCCTGTTGCTGTTGCAATGAGCTCAGGTGTTGCAAGTATCCACTTAAAACGTTCTGTGATACTCAACATTCCATCATAAGCAGGTCATCTCCAGTGAATTGCGCATCACAGTAAAAAGTGCCCTCTCCCTGTTCACATGTATTTTTTGTCCTGTTTCGTGCTGTACTGTAAACCTTGAATAACACCATGGGATCCACATGAAGTGGCACTAGTGATGCTGGAAGTGCTCCCAAGAAGCACCCAGGTATATGAAGCAAATATTATTGTAGCTAAAGAGAGAGATAGACCCCCAATACAATAATAGCTGGCGACTTCAACAACCCCCTTTCAGCATTGGACAGATCTCCCAGACAGAAAATCAACAAAGAAACATCAAACTTAATCTGCCCTATAGAAAAATGGACCTAATAGATATTTACAGAACATTTCACCCAATGGCTGCAGAATACACATTTTTCTCCTCAGCACATGGATCATTCTCAAGGATAGATCATATTTTAGGTCACAAAATGAGCCTTAAAACATTCAAAAAAGTGAAATAATATCAAGCATCTTCTCTGACCACAATGAAAGGAAACAATAACAAGAAGAATTTTGCAAAACTATACAAGCATATGGAAATTTAAAAATACACTCCTGAAGGACTAGTGGATCAGTGAAGAAACCAAGAAAGAAACTGAAAAAATTTTTTTTGAAACAAATGATAATGAAAACACAACATACCAAAACCTACAGTGAAAGCAGTTATAAGAGGGAAATTTATAGCTGTAAGTGCCTACTTCAAAAAATACGAACAACTTCACATAAATAACCTAATGATACATCTTAAAGAATTAGAAAAGCAAGAGAAAACTGATCCCAAAATTAGTAGAAGAAAGGAAATAATAAAGATCAGAGCAGAAATAAATGAATTTGAAATGAAGAAAACAATACAAGGCTGGGCACAGTGGCTCATGCCTGTAATCCTAGCACTTTGAGAGGTTGAGGCAGGTGGATCACCTGAGGTTGGGAGTTCAAGACCAGCTTGACCAACATAGAGAAACCCCATCTCTACTAAAAATACAAAATTAGCTGGGCGTGGTGGCACATGCCTGTAATCCCAGCTACTCAGGAGGCTGAGGCAGGAGCATCACTTGAACTCGGGAGATGGAGGTTGCAGTGATCTGAGATCACGCCATTGCACTCCAGCCTGGGCAACAAGAGTGAAACTCCGTCTCAAAAACAAACAAAGAAACAAACAAACAAACCAAAAGGAAACAATACAAAAAATCAATAAAACAAAGAGTTGTTTTTTGCAAAGATAAATACAATTGACAAACATTTAGGCAGACTAAGAAAAAAAGAGAAAACACGCATAAATAAAATCAGAGATGAAAAATAAGCCATTATAACTCTGAAATTCAAAGGATCATTAGTGGCTACTATAAGCAACTATATGCCAATATATTGGAAAATCTAGAAGAAACAGATAAATTCCTAGACACATACAACTTACTGATATTGAACCATGAAGAAACCCAAAACCTGAACAGATCAATAACAAGTAACAAGAGCAAAGCCATAATAATAAGTCTCCCAGTAAAGAAAAGCCTGGGACTTAATGACTTAACTGCTGAATTCTACCAAAAATTTAAAGAAGAATTAATACTAATCCTACTCAACTATTCCAAGAAATAGAGGAAGAGGGAATACTTCCAAACTCATTCTTTAAGGCCAATATTACCCTGATAACAAAACTAGACATAGACACATCAAAAAAAGGCAACTACAGGCCAATATCTCTTATGGATATTGGTACAAAAATCCTCAACAGAATTCTACATTAAAAAGATCGTTCATCAGCCAGGCATGGTGGCTCATGCCTGTAATCCCAGCACATTGGGAGGCCAAGGCAGGAGGATCACGTGAGGTCAGGAGTTCAAGACCAGCCTGGCCAACATGGCGAAACCTCATCTCTACTAAAAATATAAAAATTAGCTGGATGCGGTGGCACATGCCTGTAGTCCCAGCTACTCAGGAGGCTGAGGCTGGAGAGTTGCTTGAACCTGGGATGCAGAAGTTTCAGTGAGCTGAGATCACGCCACTGCACTCCAGCCCGGGCGACAGAGCGAGACTCTGTCTCAAAAAATAAAATAAAATAAAATAAAATAAGATTCTATCATTTGATGTTCATGGAACTGGAAGTCATTATGTTAAGTGAAATAAGCCAGGCAGAGAAAGACAAACATTGCATGTTCTCACTTAACTGTGGGATCTAAAAATCAAAATAATTGAACTCATGAAGATAGAGAATACAAGGATTGTTCCCAGAACCTAGGAAGGGAAGTGGGTGGGCAGAGGGGAGGTAGGCATGGTTAGTGGATACTAAAAAAATGTTAGAAAGAATGAATAAGACCTACTATCTGATGGCACAGCAGGGGAACTGTAGTCAGTTATAACTAAACTGTACATGTTAACATAACTAAAAAAGATATAACTGGATTGTTTGTAACACAAAGGATAAATGCTTGAGGGGATAGACGCCTACAGCAAAATGTCTCATGTAAACCATAAACATATACACCTACTATGTACCCACAAAACTTGTTTTTAATTATTTTATTTTATTTTTGAGACGGAGTCTTGCACCGTCGCTGGGGCTGGAATGCAATGGCGCGATCTCAGCTCACTGCAACCTCTGCCTCCCGGATTCAAGCAATTCTCCTGCCTCAGCCTCCCAAGTAGCTGAGATTACAGGTGCCCACCACCACACCCAGCTAATTTTTTGTATTTTTAGTAGAGAGAGGGTTTCACTATGTTGGCCATGCTGGTCTTGAACTTCTGACCTTGTGATTTGCCTGCCTCAGCCTTCCAAAGTGCTGGGATTACAGGCGTGAGCTTTTTTTTTTTTTTAAAGAAACACACACAGACTGAAAGTAAAG
The DNA here is from genome assembly GCF_000001405.40 of Homo sapiens. Taxonomy (NCBI): domain Eukaryota; kingdom Metazoa; phylum Chordata; class Mammalia; order Primates; family Hominidae; genus Homo; species Homo sapiens. Next base: position 107,908,354 of record NC_000002.12, read on the forward strand.
AGATGGAAAAAGATATTCCAGGAAAACACAAACCTACAGAAAACATGGTTGGGTATACTTAGATAATGTAGACTTTAATTTAAAAACTATAAAAAGAGTCAAAGAAGATCATTACATAATGATAAAGGGCACAGTTTAGCAAAAGGATATAATAAGTATAAATATATTTGCACCCAACACTGGAGAAATCAGATATATAAAGCAAATATTATTAGACCTAAAGGGAGAGATAGATCCCAGTACAGTAATAGTAGAGGACTTCAACACACCACGTCAGCATTGGACAGATCATCTAGACAGTAAATCAACATAGAAACATCAGATTTAAACTGCACTTTAGACCAAATAGACCTAACAGACACAGAGCATTTCATCCAACAGCTGTAGAACACATATTCTTTTCATCAGCACATGGAACACTCTTCAGGATAGACCATATGTGCAGACACAAAACAAGTCTCAACAATTTTTTCAAAATTGAAACTATATCAAGTATCTTTCCTGATCACAGTGAAATAAAACTATAAATCAATAACAAAAGGAACTTTGGAAACTGTATGAATACATGGAAATTAAACAACATGATTCTGAAGGACCAATGAGTCAATGAATTAAGAATAAAATTTAAAAATTTCTTGAAACAAATGAAATTAGAAACACAACATACCGGCAGGGTGCGGTGGCTCACACCTGTAATCCCAGCACTTTGGGAGGCCAAGGTGGGCAGATCACAAGATCAGGAAATCAAGACCATCCTGGCCAACATGGTAAAACCACATCTCTACTAAAAATACAAAAAAATTAGCTGGGTGTGTGTTGGGGTGATCAGATCCAACACCAGGCCGTGAGGGCTACAAAGTCTTGTGGAGCCAAAGGAACAAGACAAGACAAGCGTACATAAAGTGGGACCAGGGGGCCAATGCTGGTATGGAGGCTGCGAAGGTCCTGAGCTCTGGAAGCCTGCGGTATTTATTGGTGATCAAACAAAGAAGCAGGTAGTGAGGATGTGGGGGTTGAAAGAAAGCAGTGCATCAAGTGCATAATCTACAGCTGTGACAGTTTAGCATTTTCTTTGAAGCATATGGAACATGTTCTGCTACTTGAGATAATGGGAAACATGTTCTTCTAGTTTAAGATACAATCGATCTATGAGCCTGGGAATGCTAGAAGCAAGAAGCCAGCAAGCCTAGACACATTCCAGAGACCACGAGGGGTTTTATACCCTGAGTCCTGGATTCCATCCAAGCCACGAGGGGTTTTATGCCCTGGGCTTAGATTATGGTGTGACAGGGCAGCCTTCCACCCTTTAGCACAGAGCTTGGTGTTCCAAAGGCCGTGAGGGGTTTTAGACCCTGGACCTCGGACATACTCCAAGACTCTTTTACATTATATCAGTCATGCAAGCCCTGACTCAGCTTTTTTCCCAACACTCAGCTTTTCCCCAACAGGTGTGGTGGCGCGCACCTGTAATCCCAGCTACTCGGGAGGCTGAGGCAGGAGAATTGCTTGAATCCTCAAGGCAGAGATTGCAGTGAGCCAAGATCACGCCACTTTACTCCAGCCTGGTGACAGAGCTAGACTCCATCTAAAAAAAAAAGAAAAAAAGAAACACAGCATACCAAAAGCTATGGGATAAAGCAAAAGCAGTACTAAGAGGGAAATTTATAGCAATAAATGCTGACATCAAAAACAAAAGAAAGATTTTAAATAAACAACCTAATGATGCACTTCAAGGAACTAGAAAAGATAGAACAAACCAAATTAGTAGAAGGAAATTAGTAGAAGGAAAAAAATAAAGATCAGAGCAAAAACAAAACAAAATAGAGACTAAAATATATATATGAAAGATCAATAAGGCCGGGTGCAGTGGCTTACACCTGTAATCCCAGCACTTTGGGAGGCCGAGGCAGGCAGATCACCTGAGGTCAGGAGTTCAAGACCAGCCTGAGCAGCATGGAGAAACCCCATCTCTACTAAAAATACAAAATTAGCTGGGCATGGTGGTACATGCCTGTAATCCCAGCTACTTGGGAGGCTGAGGCAGAAGAATTGCTTGAACCCAGGAGGCAAAGGTTGTGGTGAGCTGAGATTGTGCCAGCCTGGGCAACAAGAGTGAAACTCCATCTCAAAAAAAAAAAAAAAATCAATAAAAAGAAAAGTTGGTTTTTTGAAAAGATAAACTAAATTACAAAACCATTAGCTAGGCTAATTTAAAAAAGGACAGAAAACCCAAATAAATAAATCAGAAGTGAAAAGGGAGACATTACAACTGATACCACAGAAATACAATGAATCATTAGAGATTATGAAGAACTATATGCCAAGAAATTGACAAACCTAAAATAAATGGACATAATTCTAGACACATATAACCCACCAGAATTATACCAAAAGAAATAAAAAGCATGACCAGACCAATAATAGGCAATTAAATTAAATCAGTAATAAATAAAAGTCTCACAAAAAGAAAAGCTCAGGGCCAGATAGTTTCACCGCTGAATTCTACCAAACTTTTAAAGAGCTCGCTCCAATTCTTCTTAAACTCTTCCCAAAAATTGAAAGACAGGGAATTCCAAATTCATTTCACAAAGCCAGTATAAACCAAAAAAGTGTCTGAGACAGGCCTCAATCGATTTAGAAGTTTATTTTGCTAAGGTCGAGGATATACCCAGGAAAAAGAGACACAGTCACAGTAGAATTTGGGGCCTACACTTTTTCCAAAGTGGGTTTTGAGGGCTTCAATATTTAAAGTGGAAAAACTAGGCAGGAGGAAAAAGATGAAAGCAAAAGAAGAGGGAGGATATACAGTGAAGTAAGTGGTCACATTCTTATGAGGCTTTGACCAGCACTCACTGAATCCACATGTTGCACATAATAGGAGGGAGTAAAGGAACAGTCAATTATGTATTTGTCTTGTGCTCAGTAAATCTTCATTTTACATAAGATAAAGTAAACATAGAGAAAGAAGTCAAATATGCATTTATCTCAGAGTAGGTAGGGGGATGATTTCTAGCCTTGCCTTATCCTATACTCATAAAGATAAGCTGTTAATTTACATTATCAGGGTGAGGGAGGCCACCTGAGGAGATGCATGCCCTTCTATCTTTCAGCTGTTGCTTTAAGAACAAGAAGAAAGGCAGTTTTTTGCTTGACTCAGTTTCCAAGCTTAACTCTTCCCTTTGGCATAGTGAGTTTGAGGTCTCAAGATTTTATTTTCTTGTCACACCAGCATTACCCTGACACCAAAACCAGAAAAAGACACAGCAAAAAAGAAAAGTACAGGCAACCCTCAATAAAATACTAGCATATCAAATCCAACAGAACATCAAAAAGATTATACACCATGGCCTACAGGGATTTATTCTAAGGATGCAAGAATATTTCAAAACATACCAGTCAATAAATGTGACATATCACATCAATAGAAACAATAACATAACAAAGACGATAACTTGGCTGGGCATGGTGGCTCATGCCTGTAAACCCCGCACTTTGGGAGGCCAAGGCAGGTGGATTGCTTGAGCTCAAGAGTTGGAGACCAGCCTGGCAATAGGGTAAAAACCCATTTCTAAAAAAAAAAAAAAATACAAGAATTGGCCAGGTGTGGTGGTGCATGCCTGTAGTCCCAGCTGTTTGGGAGGCTGAGGAGGGAGGATCACTTAAGCCTTCAGTGAGCCGAGATTGCACCACTGCACTCCAGCCTGGACGACAGAGCCAGACCCTGACTCAAAAAAACAAAGTAACAAAAAAAGGTAATTCAATATTCAATATATGCAGTAAAAGCATGTGATAAAATTCAATATCCCTTCATGATAAAAACTCTCAACAAATTACTATAGAAGAAACATACCTCAACATAATAAAAGCCATAGATGACAAACCCCCACAGCCAATGTCATACCGAAGAGCAAAAAGCTGAAAACCTCTCCTCTAAGAACTGGAACAAGACAAGGATGCCCACTTTTACCACTCTTACTCAGGTAGCACCGTAAGTCTTAGCCAGAGCAATTAGACAAGAGAAAGAAATCAATGCATCCAAGTTGGAAAAGAGGAAGTCAAATTGTCCCTGTTTGGTTTTCATCCACTGTTTCTGGATCATAATTCCCATACTCCTTGATACAGTCTTTTGTTATAAGGTTGGGGGCATTAGGCCTCAAGGACAGGCCTCTGACATTCTCCTGCCCTCCTTTCACTCTAATGTTCCCCTGCCTTTCTGATTGTGAGTCTCCAGGGGGTCTCACCCTATACCTCTGGGGGAAGAATGCTGCTGCCTTGAAACTTCCATAAAAATCCAAGAGGACAGGGTTCAGTGAGCTTCCTGATAGCCGAACACATGGAAGCCGACAGGAAGGTGAAGAAAAACTCGCCCACGTGCTGGGAGGGTGGCGCACTCCAGCTCCACAGGATCAGAAGCTCCTGCATTTGGGACCCTTGCAGATCTCATCCTATATATCTCTTCATCTGGTTATCTGCATCCTTTAAAATATACATCTTAGTATAACAGTAAATGTAAGCGTTTGAGTTCTGGGAGCCACTTAACAAATTAATTAAATCCAAAGAGGGTGTTGTGGGAACCCCAACTTGAAGGCAATCAGTCAGAAGTTCCAGAGGCCTGGACTTGGGACCGGTGGGTTAGGGGAAGGAGAGAATAGGCTTGGGGACTGAGTCCTTAACCTGTGGGATCTGGCACTCTCTCCATGTAAATAGTGTTAGAATGGAATTGAAGAACATTCAGCTGGTGTCTGCTGCTTGGTTGTGGGAAAGATCCCCATACATCTGGTCATAGAAGTTTTCTTCTGTGTAGATGATTGTTGAGATGGGAGAGTAGAGGAAAACATGATTTGAGGAGAGATTTTTCCCCATGCATATGAAGAAAAACTTTCTCTGCTGAATTCTACCAAATTTTCAAAGAACTCACTCCGATTCTTCTCAAACTCCTCCAAAAAATTGAAAGAGAAGGAATTCTAAATTCATTTCACAAAGCAAGCATACACCAAAAAAGTGTCTGAGACAGGTCTCAATCAATTTAGAAGTTTATTTTGCCAAGGTCGAAGATGTACCTAGGAAAAAGAGACGCAGTCATGGTAGGATTTGGAGCCTACACTACTTTTTGGTAGTCTTAGAACTGATAAACAAATTCAGTAAAGTTGAGAATGTAAAATCAGCATACAAAAATTAGTAGCATTTCTATGCACCAATAACAAACTTTCTGAAAATGAAATCAAGAAAGCAATTGTATTTTAAAAGGCGACCAAAAAAAAAATGCCTAGGAATAAATTTAACCAAGGAGGTGAAAGACCTCTACAATGAAAACAATAAAAGACTGATGAAAAAAATTGAAGAGGACCTAAAAATGAAAAGACATTCCATGTTCATGGGTTGGAAGAATTAATATTGTTAAAATGACCACACTATTCCAAATGATCTACAGATTAAGTACAATCTCTATCAAAATATCAATGATATTCTTTGCAGAAATAAAAACAATCCTAAAATTCATATGGAACCACAAAAGACTTGGACTAGCCAAAGCAAACCTGAGAAAAAGAACCAAGCTGGAGGCATCACACTACCTGACCTCAAAATATAGTGCAAGATAGTAACCAGAAAAGCACAGTACTGGCATAAAAACAGGTACATAGACTACTGAAACAGAATAGAGAACCCAGAAATAAATACATGTATCTACAGCCAACTGATTTTCAACAAAGACATCAAGAATATACATTGGCAAAAGGACAGCCTCTTCAATAAGTGGTAATGAGAAAACTGGATATCCATATGCAGAAGAATAAAACTAGACCCCTATCTCTCACCATATACAAAAATAAACTCAAATGGATTACAGACTTAAATGCAAGACCCAAAACTATAAAACTACCAGAAGAAAACATAAGGAAAATGCTTAGGTCATTGATCTAGGCAAATATTTTATGGATGAGAACACAAAAGCACAGGCAACAACGAAAAAATAGACAAATGGGATTATATCAAACTCAAAAGCCTCTGCACAGCAAAGGAAACAACAGAGTAAAGAGTCAACTTGCAGAATGGAAGAAACTGTTTACAAACTACTCATTTGACAAGGGATTAACATCCAGAATAAACAAAGAACTCAAATAACTCAACAGCAAATAAAACACAACAAAAAATAACCCTATTTTTTTTAAATGGGCAAATGATCTAAGTAGGCATTTTTCAAAAGATCTACAAATGGCCAACAAGTATAAGAAAAAAATGCTTAATATCACTAACCATCAGGGAAATGAAAATCTAAACTGCAATGAGATTTCATTTCATCCCAATCAGAATAGCTATTATCAAAAAGACAAAAAATAACAAATACTGGAGAGGATGCAGATTAAAGGGAATTCTTACACACTGTTGGTGGATATGTAAATTAGTACAGCCGCTATGGAAAACAGTATGGAGGTTCCTCAAAAAACTAAAAATTAAGCTACCATATGATCCAGCAATCCCATCACTGGATATACATCCAAAGGAAAGAAAATCAGTACGTTAAAGAGATATCTGGCTTTCTGCCTCCGCTGCTGCCATGGTGCCCGTGAGAAAGCTTGTGGAGAAGGCGGGCAAAAAACAAAGCAGGTTCTGAGGTTCACTCTTGGTTGCACCCACCCCATAGAAGATGGAATCATAGATGCTGCCAATTTTGAGCAGTTTTTGCAAGAAAGGATCAAAGTGAACGGAAAAGTTGGGAACCTTGGTGGAGGGGTGGTGACCATCGAAAAGAGCAAGAGCAAGATCACCGTGACATCCAAGGTACCTTTTTCCAAAAGGTATTTGATATATCTCACTAAAAAATATTTGAAGAAGAATAATCTTCATGATTGGTTGTGCATAGTTGCTAACAGTAAAGAGAGTTACAAATTATGTTACTTCCAAATTAACCAGGATGAAGAAGAGGAGGAAGACGAGGATTAAATTTCATTTATCTGAAATATTTTGTATGAGTTCTTGAATAAAACTTGGGAACCAAATTGGTGGTTTATCGTTTTGTCTCTGCAGTGTAGATTGAACAGAGAACTGGAAATCATAGTCAAAGGGCTTCCCTTGGGCCTCCACTCACTTATTTGTAACATGATTTTTTTTATTTTTTATTTTTTTCTGCTTGAAATTTTCAGTTCTTGTGGTAATACTAGAGTAGAAGGAGAGGGTAACTTTACGGAACTGACAGACATTGGGCAGACAGATGAGGGCGTGGAGGTATGGACTGAAGGGAGTGACTGTTTTATTTTAAAAAGTGTGACTGTCAATTGTTTCTGTTGCTTTCCCCAAAGAATGATTCAGGGATACAAGTGGGCTCCTCTCATTCATTAAAAGAAAAGATGGCCAGGTGCGGTGGCTCACACCTGTAATCCCAGCACTTTGGGAGGCTAAGGCTGGCGGATCATGAGGTCAGGAGTTTGAGACCAGCCTGGCTAACATGGTAAAAGCCCGTCTCTACTAAAAATACAAAAATTAGCCAGGCGTGATGGCAGGTGCCTGTAATCCCAGCTATTCGGGAGACTGAGGCAGGAGAATTACTTGAACGTGGGAGGTGGATGTTGCAGTGAGTCGAGATTGCACCACTGCAGACTCCGTCACAAAAAAAAAAAAAAAAAGTGACATCTTTCTAAGATTCTCTGTCTGCAAAAATGACAGTGTCAATAAAATGCAGGTTTCTGGGGCATTAATCTTACTTTGATTTTTTTATTACAAATTTCTCTTGATGCACACAATTATGTCTACTAATCCTCTTCTTCCTAGAGAGAGAAACTGCTCCTTCAGCATTGCTGAGTAGTCTGTCACTCTCCATAAAGGGGTTTGGGGAATCTATTGTAAAAGTCCCAGGTTCTAAATTAACTAAATGTGTACAAAAATGAATGTGTAAGTAATCTGTTTCTACACATCTTTGCAACAATCTGTCACTTTGGTCTCCAGCAGAGGGAGCTGGAGGAATAGTGCTTCCAGATGTGGCCTCCTGTGTGGGGCCTGAAGTGGTTGGGAAGCCTCCCATGCCAAGGAGAAGGGAGGTGCCTGGGAAATAGCTGCCTCATGCGACTTAGGCCATGACTGGATTTAATGTCAGAAGTCATTCTACAGTGGTGAGGCGCAGTGTGTGCAGAGGCTAGAGAACTGTGGAAGGGGGCTACCAAGGCTGGAATAAAAAGACAGAATTGTTGCCGTGGGTGACTTTGAAAGACCCTGGTGACTTGGGGTACCCTTCTGAAATTTGAACAATAATGCAGAAGTGTGTGTTTTAGAATTTACGGTGTATGAAATTCATGTTTTTAAAAGAACTTGCCTACAGATGGCTTCCACACCTGAAATTGTGCTCTGTGAGTTGCATAGCTGGAAATTCAATGTTCAATCCTACTTTGGCTCCAATTTAACATTTGGTGCTCTGTGGATTGAGCTGAACATGTTGAGGCTTTGCAATTTCACTTGTCTTAAAGGCTTTAGCATTTTCCATTCCTAGCAGATTTCTTTGAAGCAGAATTGCCTGCATATTTCTTCTCTGCCTTCACAGAAGGCAGAGTTTCTTTCAAACTTCACTGAGGCATCAGTTGCTCTGTGGCAATGTCCCTTACCATGATTATTAACTGTAAGTTTGTGGCTTGAGTTTACAAATTTTCCTTGTTTGTTGCATTGATGTTCCCACGTAGTAAGTAATTTTTAGTTTGGTTGTGAAAAAACCCAGAGCTGAAGTTAGCATTTAAGTTAAAAAACAAAACAAAACAAAAACATAAAGACTAGTTCCAGATTTAAAAACTTGTAATGAAATTGAAACTCACTGGTTTTTCTCTGAACTCTTGTAGTCAGGTTTTGACCACATTTTCTATTAAAGTGACTAACACATGGCTACAAAAAAAAAAAAAGAGATCTGCATTCCTGTGTTTATTGCAGCACTATTCATGATGGCCAAGATATGATATCAACCTAAGTGCTCACCAACAAATTAATGGATAAATAAAATGTGGTCTATAACCACAATGAAAAATAAAAATAAAAAATAAAATTCTGTCATTTACAGCAACATGAATGAACCTAGAGGATTTTGTGTTAACTGAAATAAGCCAGGCACAGAAAGATAAATACCACATGTTCTCACTTATATGTGGAAGAATAAAAAGTTGAGCTCATAGAAGCAAAGAGAAGAATAGTGGTTACTAAAGGCTGGGAAAGGCAGGGAGGTGGGGAGAATGGGGGAGGTTAGCTAATGGACAAAAAATTACAGCTGGATAGGAGGAAAAAGTTCTAATGTTCTGTAGCATTGTAGGGTGACTATAGTTAACAATAATTTATTATATATTTTTAATAGCTAGAACAGAGGATTTTGAATGTTCCTACCACAAGGAAATTATAAATGTTTGAGGTGATTGATATGTTAATTATCCTGATTTGAGCATCACACTTTGTATACATGTATCAAAATATCACACTGTGCCTCATAAATCTGTGCAATTATTATGTGTCAGTTAAAAATAAAAAAAGAAAAAATCCATTCACCATATATATGAGACCTTTTTCTGACTCTCGATTCTATTTCATTGGATATGTCTGTCCTTATGCCAGTGCCATTCTGTTTTAATTACTGTAGCTTTGTAGTAAGTTTTGAAATCAGAAAGTGTGAGTCTTCCAACTCTATTCTTCCTTATCAAGATTGTTTTGGCTCTTCAGGGTCACTTTCAATTCTATGTAAATTTGAGGATCAGCTTCCTCATTTGTGGAAAAGAAAAGGCTGTTGGAATTTTAGAAGAGATTGTGTTGAATTTGCTGATCATTTTCAGTAGTATTGACATCTTAACAGTGGTAAGTCTTCCTATCCACAGACACAGAATGTATTTTCAATTACTTTGATCTTTTTAATTTTTTTGTAGTTTTTATCTTTTATAGTTTTCAGTGTATCAATCTTTCACCTCTTCAGTTAGATTTATTTCTAAGTATATTTAATTTTTTAGATGCTATTGTAAATGGAATTTTTTCTTAATTTCCTTCTAGTGTATAGAAAACAATTTGTTTTTGTGTGCTGATTTTGTACACTGCAACTTTGCTGAATTCATTCATTAGCTCTGAGTTTTCTTGTGGATTCTGTGGTGTTTTGTTTACAAGGAATTATGTCATCTATACACAGAAATAGTTTCATCTATTCCTTTAGATTTGGATCACTTTTTTTTTTTTGAGATGGAGTCTCACTCTGTTGCCCTGACTGGAGTGTAATGGCACGATCTTGGCTTACTGCAACCTCCACCTTCTAGGTTCAAGCGATTCTCCCACCTCAGTCTCCCGAGTAGCTGGGATTACAGGCACCCAACATCATGGGGGGCTAATTTTTGCATTTTTTGTAGAGGCAGGGTTTTACCACATTGGCCAGGCTGGTCTTGAACTCCTGATCTCAGGTGATTCACCTGCCTCAGCCTCGCAAAGTGCTGGGATTACAGGTGTGAGCCATCGCGCCCGGCCACTTTGTTTTTTGTATTTTTTGTAGAGACAGGGTGTCACTATGTTGCTGAGGCTGGGCTCAAACTCCTGCGCTCAAAGGACCTGCCCACCTCGGCCTCCCAAAGTGCTGGGATTACAGGCATGAGCCACCACACCCGGTCTATTTGCTTTTCTTGTCTAGCTAGAACTTTCAATTCAGTGTCAAACAGCACTGGGAAACTTTTTCTTGTGCCTTATCTTAAGGGGAACTTATTCAGTTTTTTTTACCATTGAATATAATGTTAGCTGTAAGTTTTCCAGAAACACACTCTATCATGTTGAGAAATTTTCCCTCTGTTCCTAATTTGCTGAGAGTTTTTTGTTTGTTTGTTTGTTTGCTTGTTTTTGTTTTTTGTTTTTTGAGATGGAGTCTCACTCTGTTGCCGAGGCTGGAGTGCAGTGGCACCATCTCAGCTCACTGCAACCTCTGCCTCCCTGGTTCAAGCAATTCTCCCTGCCTCAGCCTCCCAAGAAGCTGGGATTACAGGTGCCCACCACCATGCACGGCTAATTTTTGTATTATTTAGTAGAGACGGGGTTTCACCATGTTGGCGAGGCTGGTCTTGAACTCCTGACTTCAGCTGATCCACCCATCAAGGCCTCCCAAAGTGCTGGGATTACTGGTGTGAGCCGCTGCACCCAGCCGAGAGTTTTTATTATGAAAGGATGTTAAAATTCCTCAAATGCTTTTTCCATGTCAATTGAGATGATAATGTGATTTTTTTTCTTTTGTTCAAATAATGTGATGTACTACATTGATTAATTTTCTTCTGTTGAAACGTCCTTGCATTCATGGTAAAATCCCATTCAATTGTGAATAATCCTTATAGTATACTGATGGAGTCAATTTGCTAATTTTTTTTTTTTTTGAGCTGGATTCTCACTCTGTCACCCAGGCTGGAGTGCAGTGGCATGATCTCAGCTCACTGCAACCTCCGCCTCCTGGGTTCAAGCAATTCTCCTGCCTCAGCCTCCGAGTAGCTGGGATTACAGGCACCTACCACCATGCCAGGCTAATTTTTGTATTTTTAGTAGAGGCAGGATTTCACCATGTTGGCCAGGCTGGTCTTGAACCCCTGACCTCAGGTTATCTGCCTGCCTCGGCCTCCCCAAGTGCTGGGATTACAGGCGTGAGCCACCGTGCCCGGCCTTGCTAATATTTGTTAAGGATTTTCCATCTATATTTATAAGCAATGTTAGTCTGCAATTTTCTTTTCTTGCAATATCATCTGGCTTTAATAGCAAGGTAATGCTGGTTTCACAGAATGCATAGCAAGTGTTCCTTGCTATCCCCAAAACTTCAATTTTTTGGATTATTTGAGAAATAATTTCTGTCAATTTTTCTTTCTTTAGTAGAATTCACCTGTGAAGCCATCTGATTCAGGACTTTTCTTTTGGGGAAGTTTTTTCTTAATTATGTTTACAATCACTTTGTTATAGAACTGTTGAGATTTTCTATTTCTTCTGTCAACCTACATAATTTCTATGTTTCAATAAATTTCTTCATTTCATCTAGGTTGTCTATTTTTTCATCTATTTTTCTATTCTCTTTTAATCCGTTATTTCTGTAAAATCAGTGGTAGTGTCTCCATTTTTACTTTTATTATTATTTTTTGCATGTTTAGAGCTTTATTATCAGTCTATGCATAACTAAAGTTCAAGGCAAATTTAATTTTGCTTAAGGGAACATTGTAAAGTAACAATTCTTGGTATTACATGCCTCACATGATCCATTTCAAACCATAGAGAATTATACCTTTGTGTCACTGTTTCAAGAGACAAACACATATGAACAGCTAAAACATCTTAAAAATGCACCAAGCTTATGAAGTCTCAAACAAAACTTGAATTTTCTGTACATACTCCTGTCAAATGAAGTAATTTCTTGTACACCACTTCTCTTGCCAACTGGTCTTCTTTGTTTTTTTTTTTTTTTTTTTGACCTAGATCGGCTACGAGACCTAGAGAAGGATCTGGACGGCTTGTGATTTCTCTCCCGAGACAGAGATCTCTCTCTTCTATCTCTAGAAAGGGACCTGCTCCAGCTGCGAGAGAGGCTTCTTCTTGGAAATCTGCGACGAGGTGGAAGACTCCTCCTATGATAATCATCTCAAGGACGAGGACCCCAAGAGGGAGGTGGGCTACGATTTCTACTTCTTTTATCACCATTCGACAGTTCCACTCTTACACAGCGGCCACATGGTGTTCTTCCATCTAGTTCTCAGACCACATCAGCTGCATCTCGGGGATCTTCAAATTCAACAAAAGCAAAGCCGCGAGGGTTTCTAGCAACCCACACGCTTTGGAGTGGTCCATACTAGCCAAAAGCCCGTTCCAGTTCGGTCTTGTTGCCATTGTTTCCAAGATTGCCTACATAAACCTTACAGTCCAATGGACAGGAATCACGATGCATTTCGACATCTAGGGTAAAAAATGCGGAGGCTCAAATCCATACGCTCCGATGGGTCTTCCCGCTTTCCTCCGGCCCAGTACCCAGCGATGCTCTCGCTCACCCGGCGTCCACAAAATGGCAGTCCATTTTTATTTTTATTTAAGTCATTTGCATCTTTTCTCTTTTGTTTTTTGTCAGTCTAGATAGAAGTTTGTCAATTTTGTTTCTCTTTCCCAATAAATTATTTATTGATTTTTTCTATCGTTTATTGTCTCTACTTTTTAAAAATCTCTGCTCTAATCTTTATTACTGTCTTATTTCTGCTATCTTTGGGTTTCATTTGCTCTTCATTTTCTAGTTCCTTACGATATAAAGTTGAGTTATTGATTTGAGATCTTTTGTAATATAGACATTTACAGCTGTCAACTTCCCTCTTAGCCCTGCTTTTTTGTTGCATCTCATAAGTTTTGATATGTTGTGTTTTTATTTTCATTTATCTCAAGATACAAATATTCTTTGTGGTTTCTTCTTTGATGCATTAGTTTTGTGAGAGTGCATTGTTTAATTTCCACGTATTTGTGAATTTTCTGGTGTTTCTTCAGTTATTGATTTCTGACTTCATACCATTGTGGTTAGAGAGGATACTTTGTGTGATATCTATACTTTTTAATCTATTAAAACATGTTTATGGTGGTCTATCCTAGAGAACATCCCGTGTGTGCTTCAGAACAATGTGTATTCTATTGTTATTGGGCTGAGTGTTCTGTATGTGTCTGTTAGGGCTAGTTGGTTTATTTTGTTGTTCAAGTCCTCTAATTTCTTATCTTCTCTCTGGTTGTTTTATCCATTATTGAAAGTGGAATATTGAATTCTCAAACTATTACTCTAGGATTGCCTATTACAATTCTGTCGTGTTTTTGCTTCATATATTTTTGTTATTAGGTATGTAAATATTTATACTTGCTATATTTTTTTTCTGTTTTAAACCTCTTATTAATGTCCTTCTTTGTCTCTTGTAACCTTTTTGGATTTAGAATCTATTTTATCTGATATTACTATAGCCACCTCAGCTCTCTTTTGGTTACTATTTGCATGAAATATTTTTTACCATCCTTTCACTTTCAACCTATTAGTGTCTTTTGTCCTAAAGTGAGTCTCCTGTAGATAATAATTAGATCCTGTTTTTCTGTATCCATTTTCCGCATCTCTGTCTTTCAATTAGAGAACTTAATCCATTTATACTTAAAGTATTTACTGATAAGGAGTAAATATTATTGCCATTTTGTTATTTTTTTTCTATCTGCCATTTCTTTATTGTCCCCTTTTTCTTCCATCATTGCCTGTTTTGTGTTTAGCTGATTTTTTTCAGGGAAAAATTTTTATTTTCTTCTTATTTCCTTTTGAGTATATTGTATAGATATTTTCTTTCTAGTTACCATGAGGATTCTATTTAACTTATTAAAGCTACAACATTCTATTTTGAATCTATACCAACTTAACTTCAGTAGCATACAAAAACTCTGCTCCATGCATCTTTGTCTTCTGCTTTTTGTTATTGATGTCCCAAATTACATCGCTATATATTATGTGCCCAATAAATAGGTTAATACTTGTTTTTTGCATTTGTCTTTTTAAAGTGCAGAAAATTATTAATAAAAATGGAATTATAAGTGAAAATTACAATAATACTACCTTATAATTGCCCATGTATTTATCTTTACCAGAGATCTTCATTTTTTTCATATGGCTTCGAGTTAATTCAAATATAGATGTATTTATTTAAGGCATGTTTCCTACCACCAGCACTGGGCACATGTTCAGATTGGCAATCAGATCCATAAGTCTCAATGGCTTTAATTTAGCACTGCATTTACTTAGCTGTACAGAGAATGAAGAACAGAAAATACAGTATACCCAACATCTTACAGCTCACTGGGAGGCCCAGCAGTACCCATGCACATAGTTTCTCATCCCTTCACTCACCCACATGCAGAGCGTGCACAGTGACTAGAGATGAGACGAAGAGCCAGGCGTGGTGGCTCACACCTTTAATCCCAGCTCTTTGGGAGGTCAAGGAGGGCAGATCATGAGGCCAGGAGTTTGAGACCAGCCTGGCCAACATGACGAAGCCTCGTCTCTACTAAAAACCAAAAATTAGCCGGGTGCGGTAGCACGCGCCTGTAGTCCCAGCTACTTAGGAGGCTGAGACAGGATAATCACTTGAAACCGGGAGGCGGAGGTTGCAGTGAACGGAGACCACGCCATTGCACTTCAGCCTGGGCTACAGAGCAAGACTCCATCTCAAAAACAAAAACAAAAACAAAAACAAAAGAGGTGAAGGTGTATGTGGTTCATATTGACAGAGGGAAGTCCCCGCCTTGGTTTCCCATGAGTCTTTTATATTCTCCTTGTGATGAAGGCTCCAGGCTTGTGTGCATTCCCAGGGCAGGAACAGTCCCACAGACCAAGGGCTTCACAGTAAACAAAGTAGGTGACCAGTTCCCAACATACATTATTCCACATTGAACTTGATACATTTCCAAGGAAACAGTGTTGTGAGAAGGCGGCCTAGGTCTGTTCAGGATCTAGGCCCACAATTAATTAATACTTTACTCACAGCATTCAGAAGGGAAAAAAGAATAATATATACACGTATGGCCAGGCATGCTGGTTCACGCCTGTAATCCCAACACTTTGGGAGGCTGAGGCGGGTAAATCTCTTAAGCCCAGGAGTTTGAGACCAGCCTGGGCAACGTGGCAAAACCCTGTCTCTACAACAAATAAATACATAAATAAAATTAGCTGGGCATGGTGGTGTGAGCCTGTGGTCCCAGCTACTCGGGAAGCCAAGGTGGCTTCAACCCAGGCTGGGTTGAAGACGATGTAGAAATGTCTGCCTGACAATCATATATACTTAAGATAAATGGGAGGATACTCTTGATATAGACTCCCCCTTAGGCAACATTATATTGTGATCATTCTTTGTATCTGTCTCTGGATGATATTTGATGACACGGATTTTAATGGCAGCTTGTATTCCTTTGTCTAATGTTTCATAATTTACTTGGCTAATCTCTACTATGACATCTTAAGTATTACAATTTCAACTACTATAAATGCATAAAATAACGTCAATAAATATTCTTGAATATAAATCTTGTTTTGTGTCTCTAACTATTTCCTTAGGATATATAATTCAAAACAGAATTACCGGGTAAGATGGTCTAAAATGTTTTAGGTCTTTTCATACATATTGCCAAAATGCCCTCTAGAAAGATGGTTCCATTTATATTTATAATCCCACCCTTGCTACCACTTAGTATTAGAATTATTTTATTTTAAATTTAGAAATAATATATGCATATGATTAAGAAATTTAGAGTCCCATTATTTGATTTAGAGTCCCATTATTTTGATAAATTCTGCTTTCAGTGCATCTGCTGATTAACACTGTAAATCTATGTAACATGTTTTTAACTCCATTTCCTGATTTATCAAATTTCAATTTCAATTGTCTTTATTAATGTCTGTGCTATAAAATAAGTAAAGTAGCTGAATTAGTCACGGTTGAATTCTCCAGAGATACAGAACCAATAAGATGTATAGATAAGGGAGATAGATACATAGATAGGTGGATAGATGATAGATAGATAGATAGATAGATGATAGATAGATAGATAGATAGATAGATAGATAGATAGATAGAGGAGAGACAATTTATTAGAGAAATGGTTTACCTGATTGTCAGACTGAGAAGTTGCACAACAGGCTGTCTGCAAGCTGGAAAATCAGGGAAGCTCGTAGTGTGGCTCAGGACAGTTCTGAAGGCCTCAGAACCAGGGAAGCCAATAGTGTAACTCTCAGTCCAAGGTTGAAGGCCCAAGAAACTGAGAAGCCCACTGGAGCAAATTCCAGAGTCCAAAGGCCAGTTTTGATATTTAAAGGCAGGAAAAGAAGGGTATTCCAGGTATAGAAAAGACAGAGAGCAAATTTGCCATTATTCTATCTTTCTGTTCTATTCAGGCCTCAGCTGATCCGATGTGAGGGTGGGTCTTCTTTACTTAGTCCACTGATTCATATGCCAGTCACCTCTAGAAGCCCCCTTGCAGACACCCGGAACTAATGCTTTACCAGCTGTCTGCATATCTCTTCATCAGTCAAGATGGTACCTAAAATTAACCATGTGGTAGTTTGGCATACCTATATTACCTCCTCCCCACAACTTTTTCTCATTTTTTTAAAATGTTATTATATCATTATAATTTGATCTTCTAAAATGAAAAGTTTTTACTTTTATTTTTTTGAATTTTATCAAATTTAGGCAGAATCCTTGATCTTTGAGTAAGTTTGTTCACAATCACTTCTCCAACTCTTCCCTACCATAAGTCCTTTTACTTTTCTCTCTTTCTTCTGTCAACTACAGCATCGCTTCTACTCCAGAGAGGCCATGAAAGTGAATAGAATCTATCAGACCAATATGGCAGATGCTGCAACTTGGATATAGTGAAAAATCACAAGAACAAGGCATGAAAAGCATAATGTAACATTACTAAAATAATATTGAAAGTCTCATTTTATTGGTAGGAGGGTTTCTCCACCTCAATACTATTGGCATTTTGGACCATATAATTATTTGTTGTCAGGGACTGCGTTGTGCATTGTAGGATATTTTGCAGTGTCCCTAGCCCCTGCTCAGGGACCCTCCCAGCTGTGACAACCAAGCATATCTCCAGGCACTGCCCAGTGTCCCTGTGCATATTGCCCCAGTGGAGAGCCGCTGTTCTATAGGTGTTCCCCAGTAGAACTTCGTCTGCACTGCCGTTTTAATTTCAGTGGGAAGAGTGGTCTGACCTGAAAGCACAATGGGAGCATATTCTCATTTGCAGGGCAAGTACAGATGATACGGTTACACAGCGGGTGATCTAGCAGGGATCTTCTTGTAGTGATGAGATTGTGAGCTTTAATCTTAAGGGGCAGATTTGTGCTTTTCCTTTTGAGGCAGAACAGATTGTTTTTGTTGTTTGTTTGCGTGTGTGTGTTTTTCTTTCCCCATGCATGTTGTGGATACTTAAGTTCTCCATTTCCCTAAGGAATATTCCAACCCAAAGCCCTAAGCAGCAGTTCTCGCATATTTAAGTTCCCTTTCAGTTTATCTGCGATATTTACTTCTTAATGCTTTGGTCTTTCCTTATAGAGTCCAGCGCCACTTTCAGCATTTTGAATAATTCAAGCACATTTCTTTAAAATTGCTTTTAGATCGCTCTGAAGTTAGAGCTCATTGGTTAGGAATTCAGATGGTGTTGCATTTTTGCTTTTAATTTTTGACTCTGAGCTTATCTTCCATGTGAATCATTTTTTGCAGAGTCTTGCTAGGGTCTGGTGATGAAGATATTTGAGTAGGGAAGTTTTTGCCTCTCACTGGGCACTGTGAGTTAAATCAGTTTTAATAATCAAGTATTTAAGGTTAATTTCTCAGCTTATGGTGTTCTCACCCTGTACAAAATTAAAGACTAAATCCTAAGATCATGCAGAACACAAATTTGAGTGTCTGGGTTTTGTTGCCGTTGGCACTCTTTCCAAACCTGTGGTCCAAGGCTGGCAGCATGCTACATATGGCACCTCTGGACTGGTGAAAACAGTTTTGTTTTAGTCCTCCTTTCATGGGCATGACTCCTCTTTCCAGCTGCTTCTTACTCAGGGGCCTCAGTTACATTTAATTTAGAATCCGGGGAATACAGCCTTAACTCTTCTACAGAGTGAATATGAAAACTCTACCTCAAGACATAGGAAAAATTCCAGTGTCTTTTTTAGGTAATGGGTAATTTCTGGCACCTGGGGATTTTCTTTTCTTATCTTCCAGCTCAGCTATGCTTCTTATTTTGCTTTTATTTTGCTTATTACTTTTTGCTGTCATAAATTATGCAGCTCGTCTCTATGTTTAGAATGGAGGTGGGAGGCCAGTGTTGCACAAGAATCGAGTCTGGCATGTTGACTCAGAGACTCTGGCCAGCACCACTTTGCCTGGTGGGGAAGGGTGCCCTCAGTGCAGATTGAGACCAGGTGCACGAAGAGTGAGACAGGCAGAGCAGGGACAGTGAGAGGGAAAATAAGCAGGTGTGAAGGTCTTCACATGGCAACAAAAAACTCATGCCTTTGTTTCTTTGTAGGACCAGAGGTCAATGGAAATTTTTAAGTATTAGCAGTGCATGGCCAGAATTATTTTTGAAGATATTCTGGCAGTCTGTAAGATAATTGATGATAAGGAGTGTAAAACATCTAGTGAGAAAAACAAATTAGAAGGCAGATGGTAGGTTAAGCTGAGATTATATGATAAGGAAGATCATTAATGCAGTAGTAGTTATAATGGATAGCAGGCTAAATTTAGGAAAAGTTCCTGACGTAGACTTGCAGTATTTGGTCACTAATGAAGAATGAGGAAAAATAGAGCTTGGGAGGATACTGAAGTTGCCATTTAGCAGGTCTCTTAGTCCATGCAGACTGCTATCAAAGAATATCATACAATGGGTGGCTTATAAACAACATATATTTATTTCTCAAGTTGTGGAGTCTGAGAAGTCCAGGATCAAGGCATGAACAGGTTATATATCTGGGGAGGGCCTTCCTCCTGGTCACAGGAAGCCATCTTCTCCCCATAGCCTCACAAGGCGGAGAAAGTAAACAAACTATCTGGGCCTCCTTTATTAGGTACAGATCCTATTCTGAAGGCTCTGACCCCATAATTTAATTACCTCCCAAAGGCCCAACCTCCTAATACCATCAACTTGGAGATTAGGTTTCGCCATGTAAATCTGGAGGTACACAAATATTTGGTCCATGGAAAAGGTACAATACATGAAGTCATGAAAAACTAGCAGGTCAGATTTGGATGAGGCTGTACCATACCCAGAAATCTGTCTAGTGGTCACATGAAAATGGTGCTCAAATAAAATAGTCAAAGCTAGAAACATACATTGAGGAAATGTGAGGCACACAGAAATAAAGTGGGACAGGTGGACCACATCTCTAGATTATGGTAAAGCAACAAGACATCAGAGCCAAGATAAAACATGTGAGGATCCCAACTGTTAAGGAGCAAGTGAGGAAGGAAGAACAAACAAACACAAATGAAAAGTAACAGCTAGAAAGTACAGAAAGAGAATACAGGAGACATGGCAGCGTTGAGGAGAAGCTGCATGTTCTAAAGAGAGAATCGATCATCAGCACGCACTGCAGAAAGTGTAATAGGAAAGATACTGCAAGTAAGGAACACATGGTCAGCATTTAGATGTACTGAACCATTTTATTCCTTAAGTGGGGGAGTACTGAAGAAAATATGATAAAATATTCACACAAGTTATACTCTGGATGGTTCACTTGTGGATATATTATGTTGTATGCTTCCTGTACTTCCTATGTGTCTAGAAATATGCAATGTGTCGTTATTAAAATTTAGTAGAAATTTAAAGTGAGAAAATTCAGCTCCTGATTAAGTTGGGCAATTAAAAGAGCTTAGCTACCTTATTAAACGTCTCTCTGCAGTAGTAGTAGGCACACATCTCAGGTCACATTGGATGGAAGGAACACGCTGGGGAGGAGGTGAGGACCAAGAAGACAGTCTATTCCTCTAGAAAGTCTGGAAGTGCAGGAATGACTGCAATTAGAGTAGTTGCCTGAGGTGGCAACAGGATTGAAGGAAGAGTTTTTAAAATGTTTAGCATGGGTCACCGGTTTGTGGACTCATAACAGAAAAAGAGAGATTTAAGATTTAGGAAGAGGCACAGGAATAGTCACTGATGAGTCCTGGAAAACATAAGCCTTATTCAGGTTAATAATTATAAGCCACTTGGGAAATTTTTAAGTGCAGTATTCAAATTATCAGTTACTACTGAGCAACGGTTCAAATCTAAACACCAGTTTTCCTGGACACAGAATGTGTCTTAAATAGAGATTTCCTATCCAAGCTTTACAAGGGCAAACTCCACAAAACTCACTCTCAGAAAATGCCCAACTTGCCCTAGGGGTGGACCGGTGAGAGCACCTTATTGTTTCCCAAATCTCAAAGAGCCAGGGAGATAGCAGGCAGCAGGCTGATGCTATGTGCAGTAGTGATTGATTGCTGTTTAGTAAACCCTTCTGTAAATACAGACATCCAAATTTCTAATAATCTCAGAAAACAGATAAGCAAAATGGATCTTTAAGACCTCTTTCAACTGTAATTTCATCAACATGTAAATTTTTATTAAATCTAAGATACAGTAAAAAGAGTCTAGTTTTAATAATTAGTTTAATTGGTTTCAAATTGTTTGTATGTTTGGCATAAAATTTTCAACTCAACAAATGGAAGGAAGCTAGATATAGCTTAGCATCCAGAGAACATTAGCTTTATCTTAGCTTTTTCTGCATTATCAATGACAAACATTTTTGAACATCAACTATACGTATATGAAGCACTGATCTAGGCATAGCAAGGATTAAGATAATAATACATCTGCATTCTAGGAATTCACATGCCAGCAGAGGAGACAAGCAGATGCAAAGCCATCTCAATAAGAGCAGAATGTGGGCTGAGTGTGGAACTAGTTTGGTAAAATTTTAAAATGGAAATTTTGTACTCATTTTACATTTTGCCCCAATAACAAATAGGTAATTTTAGATATAGAAGTGAGGAAAAAGTAAGAATACATGGGCTACCTGTAAATCTGCATATCATCCTTGAGATGAGAAAGCTTCAAAAGGCAATGGCATTTGCAGGGGCCGAAGTGCACCAGACTCAAAACCTGGACCTGAATTTGTGATTCGTGTCCCACTCTGCCACTTTCTACCCTGTGTAAGCTTAGCAAGGAAATTTAATCTCTCCAAGTCCCTGCTTCCTCATCTGTAAAATGTGGCTAGTGATTCCTACCTCAAAGCTATGCTAAAGATGAAATGAGATAATGCATTTTGAAACTGTCTTACAAATGTAAAGCTTTATATAAATGTTAGTTACACATACACATGAAGGGAGTCATAAAAAGAAGAATGTTGTTAAATATTGAATAACCTAAATACATCTGCAGAGAATATGTATCCTACGTGTAATGTAAATACTCTCAGGAATAAAATATTCATTAGTTTAATAAAAGCAATGAAATCTATGCCCTAGTATTCCTCCTCATTAGTAACCCCAGAAATGATACATGACTTTTGATTTGATATGATTCCATATAGGAGATAGTATGTTTAATCATCTACATTTTAAATTTCAGTTTTAGATTATTAGGATGGGGGAAAGGGTTTTTTTTTCAAATATGTTTCACATTTTTATAAACCTAGACATAGCCAATAAAACTACAAAGCTTCTAGCAAAGAAAACACATTTTCCGCTATGAGATCATAAAAATAAAATATTGATTACACTGGGTAGTATTTTAAATTAACTCACAGTGCTAGATTTAATCACATTTTATGATTATATGAATTACTGTTTCTCTTTGCTTGCTTTTTTTTTTCTCACTAAAGACTACACGTTTTAAAGTTTCTATCTATCATTTCTGCACAGAAGCCACAATTAGTTTACTTGTATTTTAAGTGAACTCCACCTCCTGTGCCTAAGAAAGATAACAGTATATCAAACCAATAAGCCACAGTGGTAGAGTCAACAGAAAATTCAAACCAGAATGGGTCAAACATGAAGGGATACATGGAGGACAGTTGTGTGGATCTGGCTATGGGTTCTGATTTATAATAATGGCTTACTCATTTCTGCAATGTACTAAATAGGCTTATGGCTTTTCATGGTTGAAATGAAAGGATTTGTTACATATTACTTGGAAAATGTAAAACATCTAGAAAGAGTATTAGGAATGCATACATTTGCTTTCTAGATCATAAAACCAACATAAATAATTTAGGCCAGACTGGAAAACTGTAACTCACTGTTCCCTAGCAAGGCCCATTGCTTATCCATATTTGATGGAACGTACATATTTAATGAAAGAGGAACAGTATTCCATTGCACACTGAAATGAAATGCTGGTTGTTCTGTAATTAAAGGGAAAGGAGAAAACACCAGGTTTGCTTTTCACAATTCAGCTTCCAGGTGGTGACTCTTGCCTGAGGGAGAGGCCTGCCATTTTCTCC
The DNA here is from genome assembly GCF_000001405.40 of Homo sapiens. NCBI lineage: Eukaryota > Metazoa > Chordata > Mammalia > Primates > Hominidae > Homo > Homo sapiens. The sequence goes on from NC_000002.12 coordinate 107,931,347, forward strand.
TGCCTCAGTTCTTTCCATTTCCTCTTAAAGCTGAGAGGCAGAGGGCAGGAACCGTGTTCGCTTGCTCACAGTCTTTCTTTAAACAGAACTCTCTGCAGATATTTAAAGCCCATTCCAGATGTGTTTGCCTCACTACCCCAGGGAGATTAAAGAAGAGGCCCAGAGGACTTTTTAATCTATGGGCCAGTTTTGTATACTTTCGTAGAAGGCTTTGGCCTATATCTGAGACAGAACTGGGCAAGGCTTTGCAGTGCCGGGATGTGAAAGGAAAGAAGAGCACATTTCATCCAGACTACTCATTTCTGTATTCGCATAGAGAGAGACACACTGAGATCATGCATTTTGCCTGAGTTTGAACACAGAGAGAAGAGATGCACAGGGAGAAGCCTGAGAAACAAAGCAAAGAACAAGGAACATTGCTTTGTGGCTTGCTCATGCTCAGAATTTAACTGTCCAACATGTAGCCCTCTGGGTAAAAATGCCTATGTAGCCAGAAAGATCCCACAAACCTACAAAACCCCTAAAAAGTCATATGTCAAGGCTTGATGAATCATTTATACCTTGACATGTATTAACATAAGGCTGCTTGCTGTGTTTTAGGAGAAATGAGCTACAGAACAGATGAGTCTTTCTGGGAAAACTTACACAGATCCAGGGCAAGGAATAATACTCCAAAAAGAACAATCAGTGATCACAGTATATATTGGCTGGTATCCCAGTACTTACAGATCCGTACTGGGGACACAGGCCCTAGGAATGTGGGGTGGAAGGAGCTCTGATTGAAGGGGTCACAGAGTAAAACTTTAGAACCAACTCAATATACGTTTATTTCATACATAATGGCCTTCCTGTTACAATGCAGGCTATCAAATCAATATGTCTAAATGATTCAAGAGTAATGCAGACTGGAATATTGGATTGCAGAGGGCAAACCTAGAGCTATTAGGATGAGAGAGAGAGAGAGAGAGAGGGAGAGATATTTCTCTCTGTGGGTACCTAGGAGAGGAAAAGAAAGGAGATACATTGAAGAGAAATATCACCTTCTCAGAATCTTGCCTAAAGTCAACCATGTCACTACATTCAGAGTAAGTACAGTCATTGCTATTTATTTGTTTATTTTTTGAGAAACAGAGCCACCCTACCATTTTCAGATTCCTTTTCAGAGAGACAGAGGTGTAGGGACTGTTGAATGGGCAGGCTCATGGGCAGGCTCAGCGAAATAACAGAAGGGAACTCAAATCTCAGGCACAACTCTGTGGCCAGAAGCATTAAGATCTCTTTCTTTTTAAAATATAAAGATTGAGTCATCCACTCCCTAAAAGGGATAAGGGGGAGGATTTGGCTATGTAATTGGCACATTGCCACATTAGCTCATATGGTAGATGAACAGAACTATATGCTTTGATTCCTAGCAATGTTCATGGCTTAATGCCAACTTCAAAACTTTAAAAATGCTATTCTACTGTCCATAAGAGGAAATTTGGGAGACCAGTAAGGAATTGATTTTCTCGGGATATTTCCAGTGAAAACTCAGTTGAAAGGAGACGAGAAGAAACAAAATAATTATTTGTGAATGTCTTTAATTGACACAAAAACAGAAGACATCAAATTCAATCAGCAATCAACTCCTAGCCAATGAATGCATTTACTAAATTATCCGTAATACATTTATCCTCAAGATGAGGGCCTGGAAAAACAAGCATTCTAATTTGCTTCACCATTAGATTTGACATTTGGGCTCAAAGTTGTCTTTTAAAAGGTACAGAATACTAACCTACACAGATATTGAGTTTTCTGTGTAATTTCTGTCTTAGTTTCTTTGAAGCCTTTTCCTCTGCCTCCCTCTACTGATTCAAATGCAGCAAAGCAGAAGAAACCCAAGTAACTGGTTTGGCTAAAAGTTTAAATTGGAAGAAGAAAAAATACAGGGAACTCCAGGCTCCTCACGCTAAATGGCAAGGTAACTTGCTCGTCAGTCCTATATTTCTCTTAGTTTGGGCATTATCTTTATCTTCTGTTTTGTGCATTTTTTTTTTAGAATACCAATAATGAGATCTTTAGAAGTAGTGTAGAATAAATTGGGAATATCCAGTCAAGATACTACAGTAGAGCAACTATGATCAGCACTGGTCAAGCTTTTCGGAGACAGAGCTGGCTCTTCAGAACTGGGTGGTTTTTCCTAGGAATGCAGGAAACGTGATGCCTATGCCCCTCTAAAAGATCAAGGGAACGCAGAGAAGAGACGACACAATGTCAGGAAATCGTGGCCCCTGCTTTCTGCCAAGCTCCTCAAGATAAGGACAAATCTTACAGGAACAGAAGAAGCTGAACTACATGCCAATCACATTCAACAAGTTCCTATCAAATGTCTGAGCTACAAGTTGACAGAAAGGAAAAATGGAACACAAAAGCACTTGCATTATGCACTCATATTACATGTGAAGTGTGTGAGTGAGAGGACGGGTGAAAATGTCCACTTTAAATGACACTAGGAAGGCTTCACTAAAGACATGTTTACAAGCTCTCAATTATAAGCACCTTAAAAGGATGGGTTTCCCAGCACAGAATCAGAGATTACAGTGGCATCATGGAGATAAGGGTGGAGGTCTACAGCAAAACAAGACGGAAAAGCTTGCTAGGGGTAGAGATGTTGATAGCATCAAATAATATTTCAGTGTTATTTAATTACAGTTATCATGTGCCATGGCTTTACACATTAACTTTGTTTATAAACTGTGATAGTCTTCAAATTATTCAAGGGCATTCCGTGTTATACGTCCTGCCATACTGTCATTGAGAAACACCATGATTCTGATTTTTAGTACACTTTCACATTTACTTACGCACCATTTATCTGTCATATATATTGTACAGAGGCTTTCCTAAGCCTTCAGAAACAAATTAAAAGTGACCTTTACTACCAAGACATTCAGTCTAGCAGAGAAGTCACAAATATATTTCATTAATAGCAATACTATGTAATAAGATAGAAGATAAAAAGTAAACACAGTGGATATGAAAACACACAGAAGAGAAAACACAGGTGGAGAGGGAACAGCGGGGAAAAACACAGGGAGTTTCCCTAGATGAGGGACACATGAGCTACCCATCTGCCATAAGGTGCCCAGGAAAGACCTGAAGACATGAGTGAGACTTTATAGACTAGTCTCCAAGTCAGCCTCCAAGAATGGCAATAATTATAAGTTCAATAGTTCTGAATCTCACAGGATGCTAAGATCAGTATCTTCCATTGTTTCTGCATTCCTTTATCAAGTAAAATCTCATTGAGTGCTTACATGGAGCACTTTTTTTTTTTTAACTCTTTTAGGTCTCTTGAACACAGCAGGAAAACTGGAGAGTCAAGGTTATTACCCTCCAGGAGCTTCCAGCTGGGAGACAGGGAACAAACTAGTGGCTTACTGACCAGGGAGTTTGGCTTACAATAAGCCCTAGAAAATAGGGTGACATGTTAAAAGGTGAAAGGGACAGGGTGAGGGGAGCATGCAGAAGCTGGTCACAGACAGCTTCTTTGAGGCACTGATACGTGAGTTCAGAACTGAACATGAAGAAGGAGCAGGCAAGTAAAAAGTTGAGGTGGGACGGGAGGCATCCCCTGCAAAAGGTATGGCCAGGACAAGCACTGAGCCTGAAGGAGAGAAGGAAGGTCAGTGGGTGGAATGCATGGATTGTGGGGAGGTGCATCAGGAGAGATTGGAAAAGTAAGCAGGGCCAGAGGGGGATAAGGAGTTTGGGGTGTATTTTAAGTGCAGTGGAAGTGATTGAAGGAAGTTAATAAGTAGGAGACGACAAAGCCTGATTTACCTCTGAAGACAGCCACACTGGCTGGTGATAAGTGGAGAATGGACAGTCGGAGGAGAGGGCAAGAGTGAAAGCAGAGACCGGATCTGAGGCCGCTCGGGAGCTCCGGCTAAAGACAATGGTGGCTTAGACTAGAGAGATGACAGAGATGGAGAAAGTGAGGTCACAGAAGAGCAATATGGTGCAGATATGAGAGACAGAATGATTTTCAGTTGATTCCTGGGTATTTGGGAGATAACCTGGAGGGATAGTGGTATCTTTTACTGACCTTTGGTATTTTTTTTGAAAATTGATTCAAAAGGGATGATTAGAGAGTTAAAGTTTGACAGGAGGAAGGTGGGCAGCTTCTTATAGGCCAATGTGGTAACACAAGGAAATGTGTCTGTACAGGACCGGAGAGAGACCAGCAAATTCACAAAATTCTATGGGACCCACCCTCTGACAGCACTGTTTGTTCCCAGAGCATGGGATGGGCCTCCTTCTGCTCTCCCTGAGTCTGAGCTTGCGGTCTTCTTGGTGGCTTATGAAGGGAACACGCTGCTCCACCTGTTTCTAAGTGGGGCTGAGCAAAGGGGAAACAGTTCTTTAAAAGAGAGGGCTGGCCGGGCGCGGTGTGTCATGCTTGTAATCCCAGCACTTTGGGAGGCCAAGGCGGGCTGATCACGAGGTCCAGGAGATCGAGACCATCCTGGCTAACATGGTGAAATCCCATCTCTACTAAAAGAAAAAAAAAAAGAAAATTAGCTGAGCGTGGTGGTGCGTGCCTGTCATCCCAGCTACTCGGGAGGCTGAGGCAGGAGAATCTCTTGAACCCGAGATGCAGAGGTTTCGGTGAGTCGAGATCGCACCACTGCACTCCAGCCTGGTGACAGAGCGAGACTCCGTCCAAAAAAAAAAAAGTTGGGGGGGAGCTTACGCTTTTCATTAAATGTATACTTAAAATTTTAAAAATAGAAAACGATGGGCCAGGTGCGGTGGCTCATGCCCGTAATCCCAGCACTTTTGGAGGCCGAGGCGGGAGGATCATGAGGTCAGGAGATCCAGACCACGGTGAAACCCCGTCTCTATTAAAAATACAAAAAATTAGCCAGGCGTGGTGGCAGGCGCCTGTAGTCCCAGATACTCGGGAAGCTGAGGCAGGAAGATTGGCGTGAACCCGGGAGGTGGAGCTTGCGGTGAGCCGAGATCGCACCACTGCACTCCAGCCTGGGCGACAGAGCGAGACTCCGTCTCAAAAAAATAAATAAATAAATAAATAAAATAAAATAAAAAACTATGGATTTACAATCTTTTAAAACCTAGAGATCTGCTAGGCCTTCTAACTCATTTTTTTATAAATGAGAAAATACAGACCAAGAGACAATAAGTGATTTGCTAAATTCATACTGTGTTGCTGTTACTAAGAGAGCTTGTGGCCTTATCTGACAGTTGATGCTGAAGTATTTTCTTCATACCTCTGAGTCTCTCAAGTCAATTTCAAGTAGTGCTCAAGACTTTGCTAATCTACAAAGCCAGATCACATGATTTGAGACAGAATGGGAAAAACCTTCTTTTCCTTTATACACCCAACGATGCCAACCTGGGGTAGTTGTTTGTGATGGCCTTGCTTTCATTAAAAATAGACTATACAAAAGCTAAGCAATAAAATTTAAAATAAATATAATAAAATTATGTCAAGATTTAAACTTATCTTCACATAATTAAGTGGAACCACCCAGGACCTTTGATTTAGTAAACAGTAGTAAAATATTTTATCTTTCCCAAATCTTAACCTGTTTTCATTAATTATGTGGGTTCACCAGCAGAGGGCGACGTGATACCTTTTTTCTTTTTTGCCCCCTCCCCCAACAAACAATTTAAAACAAGTGGCTAGAAAATCAGAATCCCCTTGATTACATCCTATTGATAATTCACTATTCATAGGAGCAATTAGGGATTCTCTTAATGTCAGCAGAGTATACTTGTTCATTCTTTGGGGTAAGGATATGAGACTGGGTGATCTGGAGGACTTGCTGAGAGCTGGTAGGAATTTGAAGCTGTTTCCATGAATGTTTCTGCTGTGTGAGTTAACGAACTCGAGCTAGCATGGCAAGGTCATGTTATTTAATGTGAAAATTCTTACAAATAATGTTTCACAATTAACATTAAAAAGCTTGTTTTTGAAAAGGATCTGATTTTTGTTTCACAGACTAAAACTGGGAGTTTCATCTTCAATCAAGCTGGAAGACCCAAGACTATTATTTTGTTTGATATTTGGTCAAAGCAAATTAGTTAAATAAATTTTATCTGCTTCCAGCCTACGTTTAATTGGTAAATTTGAACTTTTTGAATGCAGTGTGTATTCGTATTGTCTCTTTGAAGAGTAAACTATTGTAAATCTGTAAGTGATCTTACTTCCTGAACTCTATTTTGTTTCTCAAGGCATTTAATGGTGATTAACAACTTCATATGTCTAATTTATTTTATTTAGGGAAACGTTGTGGTCTTCAAATTTTAATGAAAGTTTTATGTTCTATATGATGTTGTGTTGATGGATATTTGACATTATGCCTTCGCTAAAACCCATAAAACTGTACAACAAAAAGAGTAAACCCTAAGGTGACTTGTAGACTTTAGTTAATAATGTATCAATATCAGTTTATTAATTCAGACAAATGTACCACACTAAGGCAAGTTAATAACAGGGGAAAATGGGAATGTTCTCTACAATCTGCTTAATTTTTCTGTAAACCCAGTACTGCTCTACAGAGAAAGGAGGAACTAGAATGAGATTCCTATATCCTCCTTCTCCCTCCAAGGGAGGGAGAGACTGGTAGTTCCTGCCCACTCTTCCTGGGCAGAGCCTTTGCAGCATGGAGGCTTAGAGAATTTGCAGTCTGCTGCTGATTGTGTTTTAGTCAGTATTTCTGATTTAGGAGGTTGGTGGGGAGGCCCTAGAATTTGCATTCCTAACAAGTTCTGAGGTGATGTTTCAAATATGTCCAGGCAAAAAAGACCCCTCACAGAGATTTCTACAATATGGCATGTGAGTGAAGCCACACATATCTCAAACTTCAAGCCTAAAAACAAAAGACAGAAACCCAAACACCAGAGTGAACAAAGAACGTCTCAGAATGTCTGTGGGGACCAGTGATGCAAGGGATTGACATCTCCCTCTTCTCTTCATCTTGGCACTTCAGAAATCTCCCCAGCTTCGACACCGCCCTGGGGATGGGGCAGGACCTCTCATTGTTAAGCTATTGTCACTGCAGGCTAATGGGGACTTCAAATAGAACTAAGGTACAATTCCAGAAAAAAAAAATCTATTTGTGGCCGGGTGCAGTGGGACACGCCTATAATCCCAGCACTTTGGGAGGCCGAGGTGGGTGGATCATCTGAGGTCAGGAGTTCAAGACGACCCTGGCCAACATGGTGAAACCCTGTCTCTACTAAAATACGAAAATTAGCTGGGCATGATGGCAGGTGCCTGTAATCCCAGCAACTCGAGAGGCTGAGAAGGGAGAATCTATTGAACCCAGGAGATGGTGGTTGCCGTAGCCAAGATGGTGCCACTGCACCCGAGCCTGGGTGGCTGAGTGAGACTCCGTCTCAAAAAAAAAAAAAAAATCTATTTGTTACACACACATAAATTAAAGTTTTTTTAAAACTCTTTGTTCACCAAAATTAAGATGCAAAAAAAGTCATGACAGGCCAAAACAGAAATTCAGTCTTCGTAGGTTTGTGATATATTGGGCTTTTCATGTTTAAATAAATTCATTTGTGTTCAAGCATAAAGATGGGTACAATAATTGTCTACAAAGTGATATTTATCAATTTCAATACCGAAATTGGTCAGGGACAATGACAAGAACTTCATGATATAAACAAAAAGGCCCTGGATAGTTTTTGCTAGTCCCTTTTTTTATAGGTTGTTCTTATGCAGAGGGTTTTTATTATCACATCCTTATAAATAGTTGTATGCTATTCCTCAAGACAAGAGTCCACTTACTTCCATTCCGACAATGCTAGCTAACATAATTCATTAGCCAGAACTGTTCAATTTTATCACTATAGCAGAGAAAAAAAATGGTTATATTAATAATTTTAAGCCAGCATTTCTAAACATATAAGGATGTTTCTGGTGCATGCCTTATATGCAAAACTCATAATCCTCACAAAACTTTACAGGTGGGACACAGTAAAAACTAAAGCTTGAAGTTCTATTTAAACATTTGCAGATGGATTTTATGTTGCTCTATTCAAATTGATGTGAATACATTTTTTCTACTGTCTATTTATTTCCTGGTGGGGCTAGACATGTTTCTCTGTCAAAAGTAAATTGTCTTCTCTAGCTTCAGATTTCTTATATCAGGAGTATTCTATGAATGTAGTGACAAATTTTACAGAGAAAGTGACAAAAGAGATTTGTAAGACCCTGCCCATCATTATTCAGGATCTCCATTGTCCTTTCAGCTTCAGCCATCAGAGAAAGTTGAATGAACAAACGATACCCCCAGACAACCTTACCAAGTCATCTGTAGACTTACAGTCAAGTTTTAGTGCAGTTCACCCTAATTCACAACCAACAGGTATGGGCAGCTTTTCCCATGAATAAACTATAAGAACCCCTGTACAAACTTCAGCCCAGAGACCTGGGAGCAGCATCAGTGTATGATGCTCTTGAACCTCATGCTCTTGAACCATCAAATATCTTGTCAGGTACTGTTAAAGACAAGAAGAAAAAAAATTGCAGTTAAAGCTCCACGGAATTAACCACTGGGTTCATATTTCTCAGTTAAAAGCATATGACACAGCCATTTCCCGGGTTCCCAGGCCTCTGGGATATATATATACTCTCTGAGTATTTTTAAGAAGCAGATGACAGCATGAAAGAGAAAAATTCCCAAGACTTTCCCACACTCTAGATATGAGTGAGCTTTTGCTACAACATTTGGATCAGGGTGTAGAGTGCAGGAGCCAGTGGCATTCTCTGTTGTGGCATTCTCCTCCTTCTTTTCCAGCTGTCTTGTACCCTCACTGCTAGTGTCATATTCTAATTGTTCATTATCAGGGATGGAAACTTTAATATACCTTTTTTAATTCTGATGCTTGGTTTCTAAGGCTAATTCCCAATATTTTGACACTTGACTCACAGGAAGAAAACACAAGTAAGCTTGGAGACCCAGAGAACGTGCCACACTGTGGGTTGCTTGGGAACTCACATGGAGGCTATGATGAGGGAAAAATAAGAGAGAGGCTGAGGGGTGTATTTTGTGGCACCTTGATTCTTGTCTTTATCTGCATTAAGATGGTCACATACACCCCTATTCTTCACCATTTTTATTGCATCTGGAAAATTGAAAACAAAAACAACATATCAATTTTTTCTGATGCTATTCCCAAACTTCACTGAAATCAGACCTCTTCTCAGAGAGAGTTCTGACCTGTGCCCAGAAATTTTGAAAAAAATCCATTAAATGTTATTTTTTGCACTTTTAATGTGTCTCCAATCAAGCTCTTTACTCCATTGAGCATTTTGATTGTGTGACGTTTTTGACTTCCAACTATAAGCTTTCCTTTAATAAAAAATACTGGGTTGCAAGAAAACAGCTTTAAAAAGATGTGTATGGAGGTCTCTAAAGCTTTGTGGTTTCTATAATAACAAACATAATTCATTCAGTTCCCACTGCATAGCAACCTCTGTACTAAGGACTATATGTTTACTATCTAATTCAATCTTCAAAACATTATTTTGAAGTAAGATGATGAAACTGGGGCTGAAAGAGACTAAATAATGTACCCTAGGTTAAGGCATTGGTCAGTGGGAATAGGACCTATCTACGAGATACTAAATATCATTGATGCTAGAGACATATCTAAGATTTGTCTTTTTGTTAAGAAGACACATACCTACACTCTAAGCATCACTTTATCTATTGTAAAATTAGATTGTGAATGCAGACATTATTGCTTCAGCTCAGAAGTCAACAAAAACCTCTGTTGTAGGTATGAACACTATCTTCTGTGAAGTAGCTTACTTTCTGTGAAATTGGGTAGACTACGCAATATTGCCATAGTCTGACGGAAACATTAATAGCCCTCCCTGAGCAGTCTTTATGGGCCACTATTAATTATGTGAGTTGCTGGGTACAGTTATACTCAAGAGCAATTGCCTTACTATTGCAATGCACAAGTAAATAAGTTCCATTTCTTAAACTGACATCCTCTGTAATCTTGCCCCTTCTTTCCTCAAGCCTCATGTATCTCTTCTAAAGCTAAGTTGTACTTTACCGTTTGGCAAATTTTTTAGGTTAAGAATCAGATAGCAAATATCTTGGACTTGGTGGGTCATAGATCTCTGTTGCAATTTTTCACCTTTGCAGTTGTAACATCAAAGCAGCTATAGGTAATACATAAACAAATGAGCATCACTGTTTTCAGTAAAACTGTATTTGCAAACATATGCAGGGGGCTGGATTTGATCTGTACACTAGTAGTTTGCCAACTCCAGTTCTAAATATACATTAAATGACCTTAGATGAATTAAAACTTATAAAACACAGAACAGAGCCAGATACACAGTAGTTCTATATAAGTTAACAAAATAAAATAAACATAAAACAAAAACAGATATATGCAATTCTCTAAATATATCATGCTCTCTTCTGTTCCCTTGTTTTTGCCCATGTAACTCCTTTTTCCTATAATTTTCTCTCCTCTTGTACTTGAACACCTTTATGACCCTCAAGATTCTACTTGATGTTGACCTACAACTTCAAGACACCCCTCTGTTCTATATTCCTAGTTTGGGTTGATATGCCTGCCCATCCACTCTCACAGTACCTTGTACCTGCCCGAAAGACAGTCCTCCCAATTTGGTATGGAAATTCTTGCCCTGATGTGATATTTGGCTCTCTATCAGACAGCAAGCTCAGTGAAGGCAAGGAGTTTGCCCTTCCACTCAAGTTCCTCAATTTTTTTTAACAGGCAATGCTTACTAATTGTTTTTTTGAAAATCACTGAATGAATAAAATTTTTTGAATGAATAAACTCATTTTTTTTCAGAGGCAAAAGTAACTAAATGTATTATCTAAATGAAAAGTTATAAGTCTTTTCTTCCAATTTATTGTCATTTATTGCTGAGATCAGCTCGGTCATGGAGACCCTAACCCAGCGGCGCTAGAGGAATTAAAGACACATACACACAGAAATATAGAGTGTGGAGTGGAAAGTCAGGAGGCTGACAGCCTTCAGAGCTGAGAGCCACAAATGGAGTTTTACCCACGTATTTATTGACAGCAAGCCAGTGATAAGCATTGTTTCTATATATTATAGATTAACTAAAAGCATTCCTTATGGGAAACAAAGGGATGGGCTGAAACAAAGGGATGGGCCCTGGCTAGTTATCTGTAGCAGGAACAAGTCCTTAAGGCACAGATCACTCATGCTATTGTTTGTAGTTTAAGAACGCCTTAATGGAGCTTGTAGTGAGCTGAGATCATGCTACTGCACTCCAGCCTGGGCGACAGAGTGAGACTCCTTCTCAAAAAAAAAAAAAAAAGAAAGAAAGAAAAAGAACACCTTAAGCAGTTTTCCACCCTGGGTAGGCCAGGTGTTCCTTGCCCTCATTCCAGTAAACCCATAACCTTCAGTGTGGCCATCATGGTCATCATGAACATGTCACAGTGCTGTAAAGATTTTGTTTATGGCCAGTTTTGGGGCCAGTTTATGGCCAGATTTGGGGGCCTGTTCCCAACATGTTCCCCCTTTTGGTTTTTGCAAGCAAAGGTGGCTTTATCATGGTGAGCTACTGCTCACGGAGTTGGGATCCACATCTGCAGACTATACAAAGACAAACAACAGAGATTAAAAGCACAATCATCATTGAAGTCACAGAGCTTCCAAGTGTTTTTATCTATTTTAATGGGTTAATAGCTGCTAATCTGTCTGCAGCTCCTTCAAGCACTCTAGTCCCTGACATTAAGGTCAGGTGTGCCTGGGATGCTTTAAATATTTGTTATTTTAATTTTGCAATATCCAAAGACAAGTTTGTAGAGTGTCCTTCTAGATGCTTTTTTATTCTTTCCCAAATTTTGATCTTATTAAGAGCTATTAATAATTTCCACAAATCCTTATGCTTAGCTCCTAGAGCGGGCCATATCATTTGAGGTTGAGGTGCCACTATACCGCCATGTTTCCAGATAATAGGAACTCTTGTCATATTTCTTACCATTTCTACCATCTAACCATTTTGTTTAGACCAGCTGAACATAGCATGGTCATGGCATGCAGACTGAGAGGTGTAATTCAAGTTAAACCTCCCCTTTGGGCACCTATCAATAATGATTCCATAGGAATCATTGTGCAGCACCTCTGCCTGTTCTGCAATACAATCTTCCCAAACAAGTATGTTCAGTTTTTCTGGCCAGGTCCAATTCTGTTTACAAATAGGTTTTTGAGGGTGGTATGCCTCAATTATTGGAGCGGATTTATTATGGTAAATACTGAGATCAGAAAGCATGTGCAACCGTGTCATAGAATGATTACATCCAGGCATTATTGCCAGCCAAAATTGATACATATACCCAATAAGTATACTTGTTCTCTGTGTCAGCCCTTATTGAAGGAATACTCACGGCAGTGGTGATCACCGCTATCATAGCTATCATTAAATTACTCATTGTGACTGGCTGTCCTGCTTTCCTCAGGTTTTCTTCTGCCATCTGCAACAGCTTCTTGATCTGCCCCCAGGTAGGTGGGTGTGTTTGACAGGTGTTGCTTGTGACAGTTGGGATCCTCCTCAACATCAGTCTCAACATGGCTGCAACTGGTGGGTCTTTGGGATCCTCCCAAAACCTCTTCCTGGGTATCTGGCTCATAGTAAGGTTTCAGGTGTCTTGATGGTATCCAAATTGGCTGCTGGTTCTGTCCTGGAGAAACACAAGCATAACCTCTACCCCAAGTTATTATTTTATCTATTTCCCAAATTTTTGTTATCGGATCTCTCCACCAAACCAGTTGTTGTGCTTCTGTCTTTGAAGCTGGTTTCTGTAGATGCTGTTCAGCTGCTGAAAACATCTGGCCTTTAGGCAGGCTCAAGAAATTTAAAGTCAATAATGCTAGATTCAATTGCGTATGGGGTGTCCCGAAGTCTCTGTTTCCCCCTTTTTGCTTTTGCAACTGCTGTTTCAGGGAGAGATTCATTCTTTCCACTGTGGCTTGTCCTTGAGAATTATATGGGATACCAGTAATGTGTTTAATATTCCATACAGAGAAAAATGTAGCTAGCGCTTGGCTAGTATAGCCTGGGGCATTGTCCGTTTTAATAGAAGCTGGAATGCCCCTCACCACAAAACACTGCAAAAGGTGACGTTTAACACAGGCAGAAGACTCTCCTGATTGGCATGTACCCCAAAGTGAGAAAAGGTGTCCACACATACATATACATAAGCTAGTCTCCCAAACGAGGGAACATGTGTGACATCCATTTGCCAAAGAGAATTAGGTTCCAATCCTTGAGGATTAACCTCTCTTGTAAAAGATGAGGAATGCACCATTTGGCAAGTAGGTCATCGCTAGATAATAGCTTTAGCTGCTTTCCAGGTAATGCTGTATCTGCGTTTGAGACCAGAGGCATTAATATGGGTTAAATTGTGAAAGTGTCTAGCATTAGATATTGCAGTAGCAACTAGGCAATCAGCCATTAGATTCCCTTCAGTTAAAGGTCCTGGAAGAGGTGTATGAGCCCTAATGTGAGTGATGTAAGAAGGGTGCATTCTACTCCTAACTGCTGTTTGCAATTTGGGTAAATAAAGTCATCAGTTGCTCATCTGTGTGGAATCATAACTCAGCATTTTCAATTAAATGTGTAGAATGAACCACATATGAAGAATCAGAAATCACATTAATAGTCATATTAAAAGCAGTCAATACCTCAATTACAGCTACAAGCTCCACTTTTTGAGCTGAAGTGTAGGGTGTCTCAAAAACTTTACCTTTCGAGCCAGAATAAGAAGTTTTACCATTACTAGACCCATCTGTGAAGACATTCTCAGTACCTTCAATTGGTTTAAATTTAGTTATTTTAGGGAGAATCCAATTAGTTAATTTCAAAATTGAAACAGTTTTGTTTAAGGAAAATGATTATCAAGAATACCCACAAAGTCAGCTAAATGGGTTTGCCAAGTAAGACTATTTATAAAAGCCTGCTGTATTTGTGCCTTCGTGAGAGGGACAATAATTTCTCCAGGATCATATCCATGTAATTTAACAATCTGAGTTCTCCTATTTCGTATCATAGTAGCGATTTGATCAAAATAAGGAGTTAGAATCCGTGAATTAGTATGTGGAAGAAAAAACCATCTACTAAGTCATGCTTTTGGACAATAACACCAGTAGGTGAATGATGAGTTGAAAAAATTAGCAAATCTAGAGTCTTCTCTGGATCTATTTATTTGAGCTTTATGGACTTGCTTTTTGATTAGCTGCAGCTCTGCCTCAGCTTCTTTTGTTAATTGCCAAGGGGTAGTGAGACTAGGATCTCCTCTAAGGATAGAAAATAGATTACTCATGGCATAGGTAGGAATACCTAAAGCAGGTCATATCCAATTAATGTCCCCTAGTAATTTTTGAAAGTCTTTTAATGTTTTCAGTTGATCCCTACGTAGAGGTTACTTTCTGTGGCACAATTGTAGTGTCATTTACTAAGGTCCCCAAGTAGAAGTGAGGAGTAGTAGTCTGAATTTTGTCAGGAGCTATAATTAAACCAGTGCAAGAAATTGAATTTTACAAGTGATCGTAACATTGGAGTAATTTTTCTCGAGTGGGGGCAGCACAAAGTATATCGTCCACATAATGAATAATGTAATACTGTGAAAACTTTTTATGAGTAGGTTCAATTGCTTGCCCTACATAAGTCTGGCAAATTGTTGGGCGGTTTAACATGCCTTGTGGCAACACTTTCCAATGAAAATGCTTAGCAGACTGCAGGTTGTTTACTGCAGGAATTGTAAATGCAAACCATCCACAGTCTTGCTCAGCTAAGGGGATAGTAAAGAAATACTCTTTTAAATCTATGACTATTAAAGGCCAATTTTTCAGAATCATAGCAGGGTAAGTCAATCCTGGCTGTAATGTCCCCACAGGTTGTATCACTGAATTAATGGCTCTAAGATCTGTCAACATTTTCCATTTACTTGATTTTTTTCTTAATCACTAAGACTGGAGAATTCCAGGGGAAAATGTTGGAGCTATGTGTCCTTTTTCTAATTGTTCAGTAACTAAGTCCTCTAAAGCCTCCAGTTTCTCTTTACTCAGTGGCCATTGTTCTATCTAAATTGGCTTATCTGTTAACCATTTAAAGGTATAGGTTCTGGAGGCTTAACAATGGTCACCATCAAAAGTGATATCCTGAACCTTGGTGGGAATTTTGTCTTTCTGCTTGAAGTGGTTCCTTCAAACCTTGCAAATTTTTTCCTAGTCCCATACCAGAGACATACCCCATTTCATGCATCATATGTTGACTTTGAGGGCCATATAATTGTTCTGGAATTAGAACTTGTGCTCCCCACTGTTGTAATAAATCTCTTCCCCATAAATAGGTTCAGAAGTTATAATTGGTTGAATAGTCCCAGGTTGTCCATCAGGCCCTTCACAAGACAAAATATACTATTTTTAGGGGCTTTACCAACTCCAATTATGTTAAATTGAGCTGGTTGAATTGGCCACATGGACAGCCAGTGCTATAGAGAAATAATTGACATGTCCACCCTTGTATCTACCAAACCTTTAAATTTCTTTCCCTGGATAGTTATTTCACAGGTAGGACATTTATCAGTAATTTGATTCACCAAATAAGCTGCTTTTCCTTGTTTACTTGTGCTTCCAAATCCTCCTGTTTGTTTAATTTCACTTTTTCCCATTTCCACATATGGTACAATTAGGAGCTGCACTATACACTCTCCTGGGCTCTGCTTTCCAGGGAACAGAAGTAGATATAACCATTTGAATTTCCCCATTGTAATCTGAATCAATGACTCCCATATGTACTTACGCTCCTTTTCAATTTAAACTAGACCTGCCTAGAAGTAGTCCTATCGTCCCCACTGGCAAGTGTCCACAGACCCCTGTTGGGACCTTTTGTGGGTGTTCCCCAGGCAGAAGGCTCACAGCTCAGCTTTTGTGCAGCATAAATCTACTGCAGCACTACTGGCTGTGGCAGGGGACAGACATTGTACAAGGGTGAAGGAGAGGCCTGAGCCAGAAATGCCCCAGTTTGGAATGGGGCCCATGACAGGCCCCTCATGGTGTTTCCCAAAATTGGGTTCCCATCTTCATCAAACTTAGAGTGACAGCGATTAGCCCAATGTTTTCCTTTTTTACACTTTGGGCATAGACCTGGTTCATACTGATTGATAGCCTGTTTAAACTCTTTAAGTATTTTATAAGGAAAAGGCTCAAACGTAGCTATAACATTCCCCTGTTGATCTGTGGGGTGTATTCTAACAGAGAACTGCCAAGCCTCTAAATCACCCTCTCTTCTAGCTTTCTGGATTCCTGCCTGAATAGAACTGAGAGCGGTCGCTCAAGGTGCGCTCGAACAGTCACTGGGGCAACTACTTTTTGCCCAGTGTCCTCCAGAAAAGAAAGATCTGGAGGGTCAGACCACTCTTTTTCTTCAAATAATGAGGGGATGCAGAAGGTAGGGATGAACCTCTTCCTCCTTTGCTGCTTTAGCTTTAGCTTTAGCTGGCAAACAAACCTGCTCTGTCACCTCTTCTGTTACTTCATTATACTTTCCTTCTTATCATCAGTGTGAAAAGGTTCCAAGGTGGAACGAACCAGAGCCCATACTTGTCCCATTGTTACCCTGATGCTTCCGAGCTCCCCTTCTTACTCACCACAAGTATTGCTTAAGAGTACTTGGTGTCCTCCAGCTTAGTTCCACGTTCCCCAACTGTCACTCTGGCAACCCTTTGCCCAAGATTTGAGCCCCACGTATGGGCACCACTTGCTGAGACAGCTCAGTTCTGGAGACCCTAACCCAGTAGCACTAGAGGAATTAAAGACACACACACAGAAATATGGAGTATGGAACAGGAAATCAAGAGGCTGACAGCCTTCAGAGCTGAGAGCCACGAACAGAGTTTACCCACGTATTTAATGACAGCAAGCCAGTGATAAGCATTGTTTCTATAGATTATAGATTAACTAAAAGCATTCCTTATGGGAAACAAAGGGATGGGCCAAAACAAAGGGATGGGTTCTGGCTAGTTATCTGCAGCAGGAACATGTTCTTAAGGCACAGAACACTCATGCTATTGTTTGTGGTTTAAGAACACCTTAAGTGGTTTTCCGCTCTGGGTGGGCCAGATGTTCCTTCCACTCATTCTGGTAAACTGACAACCTTCCAGCGTGGGCGTCATGGCCATCATGCACATGTCACAGTACTGCAGAAATTTTGTTTATGGCCAGTTTTGGGGCCAGTTTATAGCCAGATTTGGGGGCCTGTGCCCAACAATTCATCACAGCCTATGGGAGAATGAGGATAAAATATTTATACTGGGGAAAATCTCTGCTCCTTTTTAACCTCAAGTAAGTCCTAAAGAAGAAAAGTGTTTTGTGAACAGAAAAAAATGCACACTAGGAACTGAGAGCTATAAATATAAAGATGAAGAATCAAAAAATGAAAATATTTTAAGAAATGAGTAATATGAATATAAATGAAGGTGTGTCTTAGTCCATTCAGGCTGTTACAACAACATACCATACACTGGGTCGCTTATAAGCAACAGAAGTTTATTTCTCAAAGATGTGGTGGCTGGGAAGTCCAAGACCAAGGCAACAGCAGGTTTTGTGTCTGGTGAGAGCTCATTTCCTGTTTCATAGTTGATGCCTTCTCTCTGTGTCCTCACATGATGGAAAGAGCCAAGCCACTCTCTAGCACTTCTTTTATAAAGGCAATTATCCCATTAAGGAGGGCTTCCCTCTCCTGACCTAATCACTTTCCAAATACTCTGCTTCCTAATACCTTCATAATAGGGGATTAGGTTTCAACATATGAATTTGGGGGTGACACAAACATTCATATCATAGCATGGTGGGAAATTCATCTAACTTTGTACTTCACATGTTACTCGAAATATTTGTTTAGGACAGACATTCTTTCAGTTTTTCTCTGTCTTCTAGAAAAAAGTCACATGTATATATCTTTGTATTCATTAAGCAACTGTGTGTGTGTGTGTGTTTGTGTGTGATGTGCTTAGTCTGGTAAGGATCTAAAAATAAATAAAACGGGAGGTAAAACATCAATGTATCTATAATATGAGTCAAAAGTCATTGAGTATTGGAAGTGTAGTGACTATCTTTTGTTTGTTTGTAATTCAGCATTCCTTCCCTATCATAGTCAATTTGTTCTGTTATAACAAAATATCTTAGAAATTTATTTCTCACAAATCTGGAGGCTGGAAAGTCTAAAATCAAGGTACTGTCAGATTCTGTGGCTGGTGAGAGCTGCTCTCTGCTTTATAGACAATGCATCTTGCCACAGCCTCACATCGTATAAGAGGCGAAGGCTATGTGCTCACATGGTGAAGAACAACACAGCTCCCTTCAACTTCTTTTATAAAGGCACTAATCTCATTTCTAAACTTGGAGCCCTCATGATCCAATCATCTCTTAAAGGCCCTACCTGTTAGTACTATCACCTTAGTAATTAAGTTTCAACATACGAAGGAAAGGGAAGACACATTCATATATTCAGGCTATAACATTCCCCTTTCTTTTGTTACTTGAATACCCTATTTTCATGGAGAATGACCTCATTCTGCTTTGGTATAACTCCCATCCATTATGGTATCCTGCCTTTTTCTACCCAGGTATGGGTGCTTGAGCCCAGCAAGATCAATTAGAACCTCTATTCAGAGGTTTTACAATTTTAATGAACTGGCACAAGGATGAAAAATGATTGGCCTTGAGTCTTTTCAAGGAGCATCCTGAAAAGGTTAACCTCTTATTCATATTACTTAGCTCCCCAGAACAGAGACTTTGGTAAGATATTCAGTAACAAAAGGGAGTAAAAGAAAACAAACAACAAAAGGAATAGCAAAGGCTTATTTTAAGCCAGAGATAAAAGTACAATATTCTCTCTTTGAGCAGCTATAAAAATCATGTTCTATCTTTTGTATTAAATGGAATGAGAATCTTTTGTTAAAGTATTAACAAGATAAATTTGTTATTATTCAGCACTTTCATTTACCAATGTTTGACACTGGAGATATGTTTACCTATTTTACCTATATTTTAATAGATAGCAAATACCTATTTTCACAATGTAAGAGCTAACAAAATGTGAACATAAAATATGGAAATGTTTGAATCTTGGCAAACATCTGAGTAATTTAAGATTGAGGCGTAAAATTGACTCATCTCTTTAGAAACCAAAGTGCAGCTTGGAGAGAAAATAAAATATCAGATACGAAACAGATATTAAATTTCATTCAACAGAACATACATCTTCACTTTATTTCAAAATAACCTCTTATGAAATTTTGGAAGATGATAATGGACACTTTAAAAACAAAAAATAAGAGATATTTGTGAGGATACAGAGAAAAGGGAATGCTTATACCCTATTGGTGGGAATATAAAGTAGGACAATTTTTATGGAAGACAATATGAAGACTGAAGAACTAAAAATAGAACTACTCTTTGATCTAGCAATCCCACTACTGGGTATTTACCAAAAGGAAAAGAAATAATTATATCAAGAAGATACTTGCACTCCCATGTTTATTGCTGCACTACACACAATAGCAAATATATGGAATCAACCTAGTGTCCATCAATGGACAACTTGCTAAAGACAATGTGTTATATATACACAATAGAATACTATTCCACCTTAAAAAATAATGTAATCCTGTGTTTTGCTGCAACATAGATACAACCAAAGGCCATTATCTTAAGGAAAACAACTCAGAGACAGAAAGACAAGTGCTGCATGTTCTCACTTATAAGTGATAGTTATATAATGTGTACACCTGGAGGTAGAATGTGGAATAATAGACCATGGAGACTCAGAAGGATGTGTGGATAACAGGGTCTTGATGATGAGAAATTACTTAATGGGTACAATGTATGTTATTCCAGTGATGGATACACTAAAATCTCTGACTTCAGAACTATGCAATATATCCGTGTAACAAAATTACACTGATACCCCATAAATTTATACAAATAAAAATTAATTAATTAATAAATAGTGTGACAGATATAGAAAGTATGTAAAAGGAAGAAATAACTAATAAATCTTAAAGATAGATTTATCACAATTGGTTAAAAACCAATTTGTGGCACATAAAGAACTTCTGCTCTACAATCTAGTAAGTGATACAAAGATAAATAGCAGGTATGTATTCCCCCCTCCAGTTTCAATACTCATTCTAACCTTAGATACCTGGAAAGAGAGCATATTTCTTTCTAAGGGCCACTATATTATTAAAATATTGGTGTTTCCATTGAAATGGTATGGATAGGACTTTATAAATTGTAGCAACTTTTCTATATGTTAACAATGCCGTAACATTGAATTAGAAGATAAAAAAGTTCTATTCATAAGTAAAACTTATAAGTACTAGTAATAGACCTGTGAGAAGATATATATATATAGTCTCTAAATATATATATATTTTTTTTTCTACTCTCTCTCTCTCTCTCTCTCTCTCTCTATATATATATATATATATATGAAAATAGGGAAGAGTAGAAATAGTAGAGATTTCAATATTTCTTTAATTTGGTTAGCAAAATCTTACACAAAGTCACAATTTTAATTTTAAATTAAATTTTAATTCAAGATTTATCTGAAAGAATAAATAAAGAATAGTCAAGAAAAATTGGATAAGGAGCAATAATGAAAAGGTGTTGGCTGTATTTGACGATAAAAAACAATAGACACACAGGTGAATAAAACACTGCATATGAGGCAGAAACAAACACTAGGTTGAAGGGTAGAGGGTAATGGGAGGAATATATATTCACAAATAGCACCAAAAATCAAATGAGAAAGGAATGGATTACTCAATGTCAGTGAAAAAAATTGCCAGACATTTGGCAAATAAAGTTATTTTCTAATGTTTGCCTGATATTATATACCTTCATGACAGAGTAGGAGCATCGTCATCTTGGACAAGCACCA
Organism: Homo sapiens; assembly: GCF_000001405.40. NCBI lineage: Eukaryota > Metazoa > Chordata > Mammalia > Primates > Hominidae > Homo > Homo sapiens. The sequence continues at coordinate 107,952,342 of NC_000002.12, forward strand.
CCATTCTACAGTTCCCCTTGATCAAAAACCACCTAAATCCAAAGGGCATCAGCCTAACGGCTAACGTCAGCTTGATCATAAATCACAAATGACATCTCTGACCAGCAACATCCCAACCATCAGACAAACTCCTCCCTGACCAGAGATGTGCCAGCCCTGAGATAACCTTCCCTCCAGCCAGAGAGATGTCAGCCCCAAGATAACCTCCCCTCCGACCAGAGACATTCCAACCCCGCCATAAACTTCTGCCTGACACAGAAACATTCCAAGCCTGCGATAAGCTCTCTCATCCTGAAACCAATAAATACTCTTAATCAGTAAGAGAGAGCGCTCCTGACTGAAATTGGCCAGAAGCCCCTCTCGGGTTTATTCTCCAAAATAAACCTGTCTTTGATGGTTGAGCCACTTTTTGTGTTTCTTTCCACTTTCTTCAACTCTTAGACTTTACACATTCTGTTAGATTAAGTAGTTAAATAATAAAAATAATCGTAAAAAACTAAAATCTTAACTAAAAAGTCATTTAATTTTTATCTAATCAGTCTCATGAAGAACAGCTTTCTAATCATAAATACAATAGAAGAAATTAAAGTGAAAATATTATAATGCAACAAAAAACTGGAAAATGTATTTTGACATAAATAAAACAAAAAATGGTTGATATGTTTCATATACAGATAAATGTTTAAGCAAATCAGAAGGAAAATATAAGGTACCAATAATATGTTAACTAATGTTATAAAAAGACCAATCATAAAAGAATAATTTAAATTGAACAATACATTTATTTTAAAATCAACTTTAATACTAATCAAGGAAACAAAAACAAGACTATTGTCCTATTAAATTAACATATTCAACCAGATAATGGTTAATACATACAAATACATATATTATATATTTATGGGTCATATATATATGGGTCAAAGAGTACAAACTTTCAACTATAAAATGAATGAGTACTGAAAACCTAATGTGCAGTATGGTGTCTATAGTCAGTAATAATGCAGTATTAATAATAATGTAAAATTGCATACTTGAAATTTGTCAAAAGAGTAGATCTTAAATGCTTTCACCACACACACATAAACACACACACAGAGGTAACTGCGTGGGGTAATATCAATATATTAATTAGCTTCACTTTGGTAATTATTTCATAATGTACACATATATCAAAACATCACACAGTATAACCTAAATATGTGCAATTTTTGTCAATCATACCTCAATAAAACTAGGGACAAAAGACACATGAGTGCAATAACAGCCAAATCATAGAAGTAAACTTAAAGTTAAATAAAAAATAGTTCAATAAAATCTCTTCCCAGATAGCTCAACAACAACAACAAAAGAATTATTAAAGGTCAAGAGAGTGAGGATTTGGAAGAGAAAATCTGTTGAGAAGTATTTTGGAAAAAGCAGTTGAGCACCTCAAATCACAATGTCTTCCAAAACGAGAAGTAGTTATTGCTTGTTCCCTTTCCTCCAATCATAAGAAAGGAATATGTCAGCTAGAAAACATACTTATGGTATACTTAAATAGAAAAATTGAAGAAGGTTTAATAAAAAGACTAGTCACAAATTTGTGAACAGGGATAAGGGAAACAAACAAAACGTGGTAAAGCACCCTCAGTACTAGCAAGAACAGGGAGCAGTTGCAATCCCTATGAGTTTGTTATTGGAAACCACTGAGACCAATAGCTATACAAGAGAGATCAACAGGGCCTAAGGAACAGGCATAAGGTAGGGAAACTCAAACCCAAATACTTGTATGCAAACGTTTATAGTAGCATTATTCATTATAGCCAAAATAGGGAAACTCAAACCCAAATACTTGTACACAAACGTTTATAGTAGCATTATTCATTACAGCCAAAATATGGAAACTCAAGTGTCCCTGAATGGATGAATGGGTAAACAAAACGTGCCATGTCCATACAATGTTATATTATTTGGCCATAAAAAGGGATGATGTACTGATATATACATATGCTACAACATGGATAAACCCTTACAACAACATGCTAAGTGAAAGAAGTCAGTCACAAAAGGCCAGGTGCTATATGATTCCATTCATATGAAAATTCAGAATAGGGAAATCTATGGAGACAGAAAGACTAGTGGTTACTTAGGGATGAGGAAGGAGGTTGAGGCTGGGGCTGTAGTGGTGGGGCAGGATGGTGATAGCTAAAGGGTATAGGTTTTCTTTTGGGGGATTTTTGAGGTGACAAAAATGCTCTAAATTTGACTATGGTGATGGTTGTATAATTATGTCAATCTTTTAAAAACTATTGAATAGTACACTGTAAGTTGTATGATATATAAATTATATTTCATAAAGCTGTTAAAAATACAGATGCAGAACTACTGTTATGCCAGAGAAAGTAAATTTATTTCTACACCCAAATTGGCCCCCAAAACAACCTCTGGCAGTGCTCTGGAAATCAGCCAAAGTCATACATTAAAGTGAGCAGTCTTTAATTATGAACAGTTATAAAACTGGGTAAGAACAGAGGGAATCTTTGATGTTCTTTCCTGAGACTGCTCCCATTATTCCCTTCTATCCCCTAGAATAGTCAAAGTGTTAGCTGTAATGAGGAGATACAAGATACGGACACCAGAAGTTTTGCTGCCAAACAGGGCTCAATTGATTTGGCACAGAGCACAAAAATGACCACATCCAACAATGTTGTTAGTAACAGCAGTAACCTCCATGTCCAACAAATAGGGATGGTCAGCATCTCAGTAAGCCTGAGGTCAGTGCAGAAACACACCAGCAAATAAGCCACACATTTAACAGGGTGATCCAGAGAATGAGATAGGCATGGAAGGCCTTTATAAGCTCTCCATTTATATCAGACTTTCTGGAAGATTGTGTGCACATGCAGGAGAGAACAGATGAGATGCAAGCTAACCACATACCTTTGGGGAACATGGAGCTGTGTTCACACAAAAAAGAGATGCAAGAAACTGCCTGAACTTTATGAGCCCTCCAAATCACACACAGTTCCACCTGCAGAGGGTAACATTTTTACTGACTTGAGATGTCTAATCGCTGACTGACCAATAAGCCATGCAGTTACAAGGGTAAAACCTGAGAAGCCAGGCTTAAAAATAAAAACAAGAATTTTAAGAAGTTGCTCTGTAGAGACACTACAGAGGATGTGATTTAGGCAGGTTTTTTTAAAAAAGTTAAAAAAGAAAAACAAAATTGAAGAAAAAGGGAGTCAAGAGTTGCTATAGTATATTATCTGAAATGTTCAACTTTCAATAAAACATTGCAGGATATGCAAAGAACAGGAAAATGTGGGCCATACTCTGGAAAACAAAAACAGTCACTTGATATAGTCTTTGAGTGGCTCAGATGTTGTACTTAACAGAAAAAAATACTGCAAAGCAGCTGTTTATACATATGTGTAAATACCAAAAGGAAAGTATGTTTAAAGAATTAAAGGAAAGTGTAACAATAATGTCTCAATAAATAAATTATCTCAATAAAGAAATAGAAATTATAAAAAGAATCAAATGGAAATTCTGGAGTTGAAACATATAATAACTATAATAAAAAACTTCACTAGAAGAACTCAATAGGAAATTAAGGATGGCAGAAAAATAGTCATTTAAAGATAGATTAATAGGAATACTCAAGTAAAGAATAGAGGGTAAAAGAAAAATTAAAGAAGTTTAGAGATTCATGGGACCATATCAAACATACCAATATATGTGTAATAAAAGTCCTTGGCGGAGACAAATAGAGAAGGTGGAGAAAAATATATTTGAATAAAGAATGTCCTAAAGTTTCCAAATAATTCATTAATTTTATTAAAACAATCTACACATCCAAAATGTTCAATAATCCTCTTATTAGATAATTGCATAGAAAATCAAACCTAGATATATCATAGTGAAACGTTTAAAAATCAAACACTATGCAAAAATCTTGACAAAGGCAAGAGAAAAATGACTCATCAATAGAGATCCAGAAATAAAATTAAGAAAATTCACTCTCAATAGCACCAAAATAAATAAAATATTTAAAAACAAATTTAACAAAAGAGGTATACTTGCACACAAAACATTACTACAAAACATTACTGAGAGAAAACTACAAAACATTACCGAGAGAATTAAAAAGATGAACTAAATGGAGAGATGTTCTGTGTTTATGCATTAGAACACTTAAGGTATTCCAGATGCCAATTCTTTTTGATTTGAACTATTGATTAAATACAGTCTTTATCAATACTGAAGCTGGCATTTGAACTTTTTTTGGTAGTGCAAGCCCTGAATAGCAAAAGCAACTTTTAAGAGAAGAACAATGTTCAAATACACATACTACACAACATTAAAACATAAAGGTACAATAATCTACACGGTGTGATACTGGCATAAGAGCAGGCATATAGATCAATGGAATTGGCCTGAGAGTCCAGAAACAAATCCTTACATTTCTGGTCACCTAATTTCTAACAAATCTCCCATTATAAGTCAATGGGGAAAGGATAGTCTTTTCAACAAATGGTTCTGGGTCAAATGAATTTTCACAAGCAAAATAATGAATGTAAGTTTCACCTCACACCACACGCAAAAATTAATGCAAATGAATCATAGACCTAAACGTAAAAGTGAAAACTGTAAATCTTCTAGAAAAAAGATAGAAGACATTTTTGCATCCTCGGGTTAAACAAAGATATGACACCAAAAGCACAATTCATAACAGAAAGAAATGATACACTGGACTTCATCAAAATTAAAAAGAGATAAAAAGTCCTCTCTTTAAAAAAAAAAGAAAAAAAGAAAAGACAAGGCATAGACTGAAGGAAAATATTTGCAAACCATATGTCTGTTTAAAGACTTGTATCCAGAATATGCAAATAACTCTTGCAATTCAATAATAAGACAAAGAGCAGCTTAAAAAAAAACATGCAAAAGAGTTCTGCTCTTGACCAAAGAAGGTATAGAAATGACAGATAGACACATGAAAAGATTCTCAGCATCATTAGTCATTAGAGAAATAAAAATTAAAACCACAGTAAGATACAACTACACACACTCTAGAATGGCTATAACCAAAAAGACAGACGTTACAAGTGTTGACAAAGACAATTGAGAAACTGGCTTTCTCAGAAGTTGGTGGTAATGGATTTTTTATTTACAACTTTTAGGACTAAATATACAATTAAAAATATGCACTATTGGCTTCAACATTGTAAATTAAACTCCATGAATATTTTCCATATTCCTTCAATTAGTCATTAGACATGAGGAGACTTCAAAACATATGAGTATAATCCTGGAAAAATCTCAACAATATACTTAGAGGAAAGCCTTGCTGCAGGGTTTTGAAACTATCTTGTTTCAGTATTCAGGGTCATGGAGAGTGAGCCAAGGTGGGGTGGTAAGGTAGAGAACCAACTAGTGGGACTCAGCAATGCCCTCTCTCTCTCCACACTCTTCCCCCTCACTTGAACCAGAACAGCACTATTATGGTATCTTCACCTTGATCATGTATGTATCAGGTTACATATAGAGGAATTAGATTAAAAGAGAGGCACATCACACTGCTAAGGCCTGAATCACGCAATTCCCTTGAGATGGAGATAGGGATATGAGGATGCCTTCTGAGTGTTTATACCCCTTTCCCTGGAAATCTAAGAATTCACACAGAAAGTGTTTTTCTTAAGGAGCAGGATAATCTGTGCTACTTCACTAATTTCACCTTTATTCAATAGACTTTTTGGTAGTTTGCTTAATTTGATATGAACCTGCAGAAAGACCAAAAGGGCCTCCATAACCCCCACTAATAGGGAAGCCCAGAGACAGTTTCTAAATATTCCTCTTGTTGCTGGAGGCTTTGCATGTATCTCCACTATTCTGTGGTCAGCCAGTGCTCACAGCAGCACTGTATTATATTTCTAGCACCCCTAGGGTAGAAGTGCAGGGGAAAATAAAGCCTCTTTAGTTCCTAATTCCAATTAAGTATTTCAAAAATCTAGTGTCCATCTATTGAAAGATTACTGTCCTGTATTTCTGTTATGAGACTCCCTTTAGGTAGTAATGTGAATAAATTATAAAGACAGTCATTTCCATGATGCTTACTTATTCAGACACGGATGATTGGAGGTGATCCTTATGGGTAAAATACATATGACAAAAACCCTTCAGAGAAAAAGTGGCTTTTATGACTCATTTATGTCCTCATCACAATTCTAAAGCATTCCAATAGGTACATTCAAATATCATAGTAGGAATACAACTAATGCTATAGCATTTTATTTTATTTATTTATTTAAGTTACAGAAACAAAGGAAATTCCTCTTTTCTAAGCAATATCAAGTATCTTGAAACATGCTGATACATCTTTCAATCTACTGTGTAGCCTTTTGGAAAAAATATAAACGAAAAGTTTTGTATTGACTGTAACTGTCTCTAACGTTGACAGAGTTTCTTATATAGAAATCTATTCTCATCAGTAAAAAAAACGCTTCTACCCATTTTCACAGAGGTCTATTGGACAGATAGTGAAATGATGCTGAGAAGGCTTTTCAGCTTCCTCAATAGCTTAATTTCAATGGCCTTATGCCACTAATAGTCCTTACTAAACAAACAAAAATATTCTATCACCTCACATAAGCCTGGATCGTATTTGATCCACATAAGATTATAGCAGTCATTAGAGGAGGGATGCCAATGATTAGAGTCTATATGAAGAATAGCAGCTTCATTGCCAGCCTTTGGGGCCTCTCCAATAAATGAAAACTTCTACAATTAGTCAACAGGCTATTCATTTAGGAAGATTTTTGTTGAGGCTCACCAGGGTCTTTCTTCTGGTGAGAAGAAGTAGTGAACGAGTTTCAGAACAGAGTCATGAAGTGTATAGGAATCCAATGGAAGATAGTAGTAGGGGGAATTTGTCATTTTCAATAACTACATTATGTCGTACCAAAGGAAAAGATGGACAACATTTATGGTTTCTTTTTTCGTTAGCTTAAACCAGAGAGTAACTGGAGAGCACCAGTTTCTCAAAATTTTCTCAAGAAAAAATTAAAACCTGAGGTTACATGGTCAACTATTTTAGGAAATGCTTCCTCAAAATCAGTCATGTTAGCTAACCAAAGATTCTCTGATATTCTTCCTTAAAGAAATGTACTCATGCCTAGACCTGCATCTTCCAAACTGAAGTAGCCATAGGACAATTTTATTTTTTCATCATAATACAGATCAATTTGAGGAAAACTGGCATAAGCCTTATTTTCTTCTCATTCTCAGGCTTCAACAAATAGAAATCAATTAAACTCCGTTACTATCTTTTTTGCTGTCCTTGTATTTATTATTCATTAATGATGCTTTATTAGTGTGTTCAGTTATGATTGTATTCTACATGATATGCCTATCCTAGAAGAAATTGTATAAGGTTGTCACCACTAAGGCTGTACGGAAGATTCCGTCCTGTGGATGTGACTAATGGCATGAATATGACGTCCACACGGTGGCCAGATAGCTAGTGGTAGCCACCCAGGTACCCAGAACCTGTTTTAGTGAGTGAGAAGGGATCTACAGAGGAGTTGAGTCTGATCTAAGAAAGGAAGAGAAAAGGATCCATGCTGTGCATTCAGAGGCACTATAGGAACAGAGACAGAGCATGAACTTTGGAGTCATGGATAATTGCATTTGAATTGCATTCCAGTTGCACTGCTTGCTTACCAGCGGTATGGTTTCAGGCAAATTATTTTATTTCACGAGGACTTTGGTTGTCTTATCTGTAGAATAAGAATAATGACACTACCTCATTGCAATAGGCTGTTCTCGCATTCCTATAAAGAAATACCTGAGACTGGGCAATTTATAAAGAAAAGAGGTTTAATTGGCTCACAGTTTCTGCAGGTTGTACAAGAAGTATGGCAGCATCTGCTTACGGGTTGGCCTCAGGGAGCTTTTACTCATAGCCAAAGGCAGAGCAGGAGCAGGCAGCTTACATAGCAGGAGAAGGAACAAGAGAGAGAAGTGGGAAGTGCTACACACTTTTAAACAAACACATCTCATGAGAACTCACACACCATCAAGAGAACAGCACTGGTGCTAAACCATTCATGAGAAAAATGCTCCCGTGATCCAATCACCTCCCACCCACCAGACCCCTCCTCCGTCTTTGGGGATTACAGTTCGATGTGAGATTTGGGCATGCACACAGGTCGAAACCATATCACTCAATATTTGGAAAGGTAAAAAAAGTAATGAATATAAAGCATTCGATACATAATACATTTCTTTCTTCTCATTCCTTCCTCCTCTTTTGTCCTAGTCATGCAGAGCACTGAACAATAGCAAAAAGTTCAATACATATGCTACCTCATATCCTTTGGGCAATTAGGCCATTGTCCAATCCAGTAGCACTGATTACAAAAAGGAATACAAAGATACTCAAGAAGATATTTGCTCTTAAATGGGTTTTGTAATATTACTCAGGGAGAATAGAGTAAATTTATTAAGGAATATTATCTCTGATTGCAGTTACTCATTCAGCCTTTAATATAACACTTTATTCAGGTGATACTTTTAGCTCATTACCCATAACTATAATAATGTTACTATTAAATGAAGATAGTTTATAGATGAGTGAAATATAAAGGAAATAACTTACAAAGATCATTTTCTTAAAGCAGTACAAAGAAATCATTTCCCAGTGTAGTTAGAGGCAATACAGGGGATATGTTTTATACACTAAATTATGAGATCTTACGAGATTCTTAATATTTACCAATTTTGACACAAGAGATATTTCAGACATACTATCTTAAAAAGTATTAACATATTTTGCATTCTAAAGAGAAAAAGGCTATCAGCAGTAAAAAGCATTGAATCACAGGACTCATTTCAATTCCAGAGGCACAACGGACATCAGATTAAATGTTTGCTTTTTTCATATGATCCTAAATTATCACAGTTGTTTTTCTTTGATCATTTTCAAGCAAGAGTAGCTTTAAGAGAAAAGAAGAAAAGAGAATAATACAGCTGTGTTATAGAGAAGGCAAATTTCTGATAACTTTCCTAAGAATTTCTTTTCCTAACTTCCATTATTGTTACCTAACAGCCTCCAAATTAAGCCACGGAATTTTCCTCTAGCTCCATTCTTCTTTTTCATAATGGAGAGTCTCTGGCCTCATCTTTAATAGCACATCAACCAATCCACACTCACCTCGAGGATTACCAGCTCTCAACGGAGCAATCACTTCTGGCTTTAAATTGTAACAGCCACAGCTAAAGCTGCTGCCATTGTGACTTATGAGTTGACTTCTCTCCTGCGTGCTCCTTCAGGTGGATGGATTAACAAATAGAAACCCATCATTTTGTGAATCTCCAGTGTGTATAGTGAAACTGTTGAAAGTCAGTGATGGTAAAACCTGCCTGAAATGATAGATGTTTGCATATCTTTTTTATTTTCTCTTTCAAACAGTATTGTAAATCTATCAATGCTAAAACTTATGGACTATGAGTGACATTGAAGTAACTACAATGAAATAGATCTATTTTTCTTGGATAAAATTTTTCCTTTTCTTTAGGTATAACTGTATAATTCTTACCAAGAATTACCTTTTCATAAACAGAAATCATCTTATCCTCTTTAACACATCAGTGATCAAGGTATTTTTTAATGTACAGTATTAAAAAGCACTGCATATGTTCCTACTGTTTCATCAATAAAAACATAAAAGTACTGGAAAACTTGTTTCTTAGACTTAAAACCTTCGAATTTGTAAGTTTTAATTTTTGCTTACATCAAAAAATTAGTATATCTTTGTACTAACAATTAATGAGACGGGGAAGTCAGCTCGGATTAAAGGGATTATCATGACGCACATAATAAAAACAAGTATGTTTTTAAAAATGTAAAATGAACTAGAAAACAATTATTAGGGACTTCCATTATAGTTACCTAGACCATGCACCCCATAATAACAATATTATGTCTCCTGAATTTCTCTATCTTCATTTCTCTATCTTCAGTTCCTAACACAGTGTTACACAGTCATTACCCCTTGTTAAGTCAATGATCACTTCTCTGAATTTAACTAATGAAATCCCCTAACACATACACATACATACACAAGTGCATATTTGTTTCAAAAAATAGTTAAGTGTACTGGAGATCACAAACTTAAATATGTACGGGGTTCAGGCAGACAAAATAATAAGTGAGATGGGAATGGTAAAACAATTGCCCCTGTCTGCTCATCTTTTATTTTCCCACTTTTGAATGAGACACTAATTCAATTAAAATGTTCCTTTTCTCCAAACCCTTATTTTAAGAAAAGCAAAGTAAAAAGATCTGAGGTAAATGCAAAGTGACCGTGATACTTGCCGTCAGTCTCAGGAAAATGAGAACAGATGATAAGGTCTATGGTTCCACATTGAAAGGGAGCAAGTGATTATTCAACCCCTCCAATTATTCTCCTGCGGAAACCAATAAACATATAGGCCAGCTTTTCAACTTTCATGAGAAATCTGAACGATTATGTAAAATCTGACTTTAAGATGTTTATATATGCCAAAACTCGGTTACTCAAAGAAAACAGATCTGCTGATGGAATCTGTCTCATGAAACATCACTTTACTGCCAAGAGAGCAATCTCAAATCTGGGTAATGCCAGAGGACCGAGTAAATAGGATTTGAAGCCTCACTCAAAGTGCGTTACCAACAATACTAACAAGGATAAATCATAGTGTATTTTTCTAATTTGTAATAGAGATTTACACTCACATAATTAGCATAAATTATTAAGATAAAAATAAAATGATATCCTTCCACCCAGGATTATATTCCCAAGATATAATACCTTAGAGATGTGGAGAAAAGAGAACAGACAAATGGGCCAAAATTGAGGCTCACACTGCCTTGGTCGCAGCCCAACAAGACATAGTAAGTGACAGTTACTGAATTATTTATTTTTTCAAAATAAAAGACTGCTCTTTCTATAATAATGCTGTGTTTACTTTTATTTTAAGTACTTTCTTAAGTAGGTAAATTAAAAGACTGCAGTTAAAAGTATTCAACCAAGAATTAAGAAGTTAATGTGGCTGCATATATATATATATATATATATATATATATATATATATATATATATGCAATAAATATGTATATATTGCAATATATAAAGGTGTAAGGTGTTCTGGTTCAGCAAGAAAATAGTAAGAGAAACAATAATGTTTATTTCGTTTTGCTTACTCATAATACCAGCACAAAATGAAAAAGTGCTTATTCCCAGAGGATCACAATTGTGTAATTACATATATCATTAAATAAAGTTTTACTTTTATTATTCAACTTTCATGGCAAATGCAAAACAAATACAGAAAAGATTACATATGTAGGCCTGGGATATAGTAAGCACTCAGTGTATATTTTGTTGAAATATTGACTGGATTATCTTACTAGGTTCAACAAAAGATTATATATTTGCCTAAGACATCTATAACTAAAATTATACAAACATATATTTGGATCTGTATGACCATCTAGAAGCCATTAATTATAGACTTATTGCAGCTAAAAGAAATCAATCTGAATAGAAAGATTAAAATAACTGAAAACAAATAAAAACTCTAGGTCAAATAGCTGTACTATTTGGATCAAAGTTGAACCCTTTGCATATGAAATAAATTTATGTTTATTAATGTAGGATATCTCTAAAACTATTTTGCATTAGGAATATAGTATGTTTGTCTTTAATAAAATTTGAAAACCCTGTAGTAAATTGATTTATTTTAAGGAATTAATTCACAGTATAAATGGCTTTAGTATTAATTTCTGTTAATTTTTATTTCAAATATCTTCTGTATATCTACACCTATTTAGGTTTTGAAGCACTGGTTAAATAATGGTAAAGATAAGATTTATTTCAATTTTCTTCCTTAGTGAGCAGCAGTGTTTAATGTCAAAAACATTTACTAATAGAATGTATTTACATTCTACATGAACAGACTAAACAGATGACAATAATCATTTACGGTATGCAGCACATGATGCCCAGTCCAGATGATTCTCAATGTGACTAAGGAATGATTAATGTCTCTACTGCTATGGATTAGAGAAGACTTACCAAATGGCCCATTAGATTCACATTGACAGTACTTCTATAAAATTGAATTAAATGTAGTGTTAATGCTTATAGACTTATTCATCTTTAAAACATCAAGATAATTGATAGAAAAATAAAGAAAACAGGTATACTGTTAGCTTCAGTTTTTATTATTCTCATGCTCTGAAAGTTTAGGATTATATGATTTTAAAGATAATAATCCTAAATAATATCTGAAGATGGGATGATATTGAGACTGGTTGATAAGGCTGAGAATGAAATAACTGTCTTCCATAGTTATGGAGAAAGTCTTCATGTCTGCTGGATTAAAGCTGAGCCTCTTCATTGCAATATTAAATTTACCTAACAGTAAACTAAAGCCTTATTTGTTCCTGACCACAAGATTGTTGGATAAAAAAGTGATTTACATATTTTTCTCTAGTTACCTCTTCACTTTTAAGTAACAAATACTAATAATAATTCATCTGAATAGGAGGAAAAAATTAAGGTTTACTCTCAAATATTTATCTTAATTGGATTTTTAATTTCCTTAAGTGAATAAAATGTTTCTTATGAGAACTTGGTACAGAGCCCTTTACCTATTGTACATAGAAAAACATCCAGAAATCAAGAATGACTTTGGATAAAAAGATTTCATCATAAAAATATGATGTTTAAATCCTGAAACCACTATACAAATATATTGAAATGGAATAATTAAGTAAATAGATGGCACATGGTAGAAGCCAGGTTTCTCACTGTTAGAGTAGGGAGTTACAGATGAGCAAGGAGGGAAGGCTAGAATAATTCATGTAATACTGGATTAGAGTTGTAGACAACAGTATGAACCCATTTTTGGCTTAAAATAGATATAGAAGGATATATATACACACACACACATATATATGTATATATTCTCCCTATCTTTTCATATATACATATACACACATATATTAAAAGATAGGCAGAAGGGGGCAATTGTTTTACCATTCCCATCTCACTTATTAGGTTGTCGTCTGAACCCCATATGTATTTAAGTTTGCACCTGTAGTACACTTAAATATTTTTTTAAATAAATGCACACTTGTGTATGTAAGTGTATATGTATGTGTTGGAGGATTTCATTAGTTAAAGTAGCTGTGACTTAACCGTGTGTGTGTGTAAATAGTAGTTACTATTCACACATATTTCCAAACATTTTTTCTGAGAGGAACTAGAAGAAATGATATCCCAGTAACAATGAGAATACCCAAAACCCATGTCTTACTTCTTCCTCCTATTCTCCAAAAAAGGAAATAGGATTTCTTGGCAAAGTGCCTTACTCTACAACAGGGGCAGGAAATATACAAGATGAACTTAGAACATATTGTGCTGGTAGGAGGTAAGAAAATGCTAAAATTAAACAAAAACACCCCCGCAACAATGGTGAAAGGGACACAAATAGCCACTGTAAAATCTCTTAATTCCTAAGCTGGAATACTTAGTTAACAAAATAAATAATGTAGTATTGGATTGTAACTCAGAGTATAAAATAAATATCCATGAGATAAAACCAATGTGAGTAAATGAATGAACACATAAACAATAAGAAAGAATAGACAAAGTATCTATACAAAAGAATTTCAAGTAATTTATATAAATAACCCTTCCCAAGAAGGTAGAACATAATCCTTCACCCCCTAATGTTGGCTGCAAATAGTGACTTCCTTCCAAAGAGCACAGTGTGGAAAGAAGTGTGGAGAAAATAATTTTATGCTAGAAAAGCCTGAAAAATACCACTTCAGCCAGGTGGTCAATGTCAACATTAACAGTGATAAGTCATATAATTTATCATATGATGGCATGTGCCCTTACTATGATGTGATAAGAATGGCATTTTACCTCTGTGGTAAGCCATTTCTCTTCCCCCAAACCCATGACCACAGCCTAATCATGAGAAAAATATTAAACACACAAAAATTCAGGTACGGTCAACAAAATACTGATGATTACTCTTAATGAACAACTAATGTCTATCCAAAATAATTAAAAAGTAACAACAAGGAAATCTGATTCACCTCATAGTACAGAGGAAACTGACGTGATATGATGACTCGATGTTATTATCCTGAGTGGGATCCTGGTACACACACACACACAAAAACATATTACATGAAAACTAAGAAAATCTGAATAAAATATGAATGTTGGAGATTAAACAACACACTTCCAAGTAACACATGTGTTGGAAGAAATTTCAAGAGAGATTTGAAAATATTTTCAACAAAATAAAAATAAAAGCATAACAACAATATTTGTGGGGTATTGCAAAGGAAGTGCTTAGAAAGAAATTTATAGAATTGAACACATATATTAGAAAATTTTAAAAAATACAATTAATTATTTAAGCATTCACCTTAGGAAATGGAAAAAGTTAACAATTTTAATCCAAAAAGTAAGTAGAAGAAAAGAAATAATGAAGGTTAGAGCAAAAAACAATAAAATCAAAAATAGAAAATCAATAGAAAAAATCAACAAAATTAGAGCTGGCTCCTATAAAAGGTCGATAAAATTAATAAGCCTTTAAGCAGGTTAACTAACAAAAATGGGAAAGGACACAAATTACAAATATCAGAAATGAAAGAGTGGGCATCACTACAGATCCCATGGACATAATATGATCAGGAAGGAATGCTATAAATAACTATATGACGATACATTTGATAAGCTAGATAACATGGATCAATTTTTTTTAATTTTTTTTAATTTTTTAATTATTTTTTTTATTATTATTATACTTTAAGTTTTAGGGTACATGTGCACAATGTGCAAGTTTGTTACATATGTATACATGTGCCATGCTGGTGTGCTGCACCCATTAACTCATCATTTAGCATAAGGTATATCTCCTAATGCTATCCCTACCCCATCCCCGCATGCCACAACAGGCCCCAGAGTGTGATGTTCCCCTTCCTGTGTCCATGTGTCCTCATTGTTCAATTCCCACCTATGAGTGAGAATATGCGGTGTTTGGTTTTTTTGTCCTTGCGATAGATTACTGAGAATGATGATTTCCAATTTCATCCATGTCCCTACAAAGGACATGAACTCATCACTTTTTATGGCTGCATAGTATTCCATGGTGTATATGTGCCACATTTTCTTAATCCAGTCTATCCTTTTTGGACATTTGGATTGGTTCCAAGTCTTTGCTATTGTGAATAGTGCCACAAGAAACATACATGTGCATGTGACTTTATAGCAGCATGATTTATAGTCCTTTGGGTATATACCCAGTAATGGGATGGCTGGGTCAAATGGTATTTCTAGTTCTAGGTCCCTGAGGAATTGCCACACTGACTTCCACAATGGTTGAACTAGTGTACAGTCCCACCAACAGTGTAAAAGTGTTCCTATTTCTCCACATCCTCTCCAGCACCTGTTGTTTCCTGACTTTTTAATGAGAGCCATTCTAACTGGTGTGAGATGGTATCTCATTGTGGTTTTGATTTGCATTTCTCTGATGGCCAGTGATGATGAGCATTTTTTCATGTGTTGTTTGGCTGCATAAATGTCTTCTTTTGAGAAGTGTCTGTTCATGTCCTTTGCCCACTTTTTGATGGGGTTGTTTGTTTTTTTCTTGTAAATTTGTTTGAGATCATTATAGATTCTGGATATTAGCCCTTTGTCAGATGAGTAGGTTGCAAAATTTTCTCCCATTTTGTAGGTTGCCTGTTCACTCTGATGGTAGTTTCTTTTGCTGGACAGAAGCTCTTTAGTTTAATTAGATCCCATTTGTCAATTTTGTCTTTTGTTGCCATTGCTTTTGGTGTTTTAGACATGAAGTCCTTGCCCATGCCTATGTCCTGAATAGTAATACCTAGGTTTTCTTCTAGGGTTTTTATGGTTTTAGGTCTAACGTTTAAGTCTTTAATCCATCTTGAATTAATCTTTGTATAAGGTGTAAGGAAGGGATCCATTTTCAGCTTTCTACATATGGCTAGCCAGTTTTCCCAGCACCATTTATTAAATAGGGAATCCTTTCCCCATTGCTTGTTTTTCTCAGGTTTGTCAAAGATCAGATAGTTGTAGATATGCAGCGTTATTTCTGAGGGCTCTGCTCTGTTCCATTGATCTATATCTCTGTTTTGGTACCAGTACCATGCTGTTTTGGTTACTGTAGCCTTGTAGTATAGTTTGAAGTCAGGTAGTGTGATGCCTCCAGCTTTGTTCTTTTGGCTTAGGATTGACTTGGCGATGTGGGCTCTTTTTTGGTTCCATATGAACTTTAAAGTAGTTTTTTCCAATTCTGTGAAGAAAGTCATTGGTAGCTTGATGGAGATGGCATTGAATCTCTAAATTACCTTGGGCAGTATGACCATTTTCATGATATTGATTCTTCCTACCCATGAACATGGAATGTAATCCAGCATATAAACAGAACCAAAGACAAAAACCACATGATTATCTCAATAGATGCAGAAAAGGCCTTTGACAAAATTCAACAATGCTTCATGCTAAAAACTCTCAATAAATTAGGTATTGATGGGATGTATCTCAAAATAATAAGAGCTATCTATGACAAACCCACAGCCAATATCATACGGAATGGGCAAAAACTGGAAGCATTCCCTTTGAAAACTGGCACAAGACAGGGATGCCCTCTCTCACCACTCCTATTCAACATAGTGTTGGAAGTTCTGGCCAGGGCAATCAGGCAGGAGAAGGAAATAAAGGGTATTCAATTAGGAAAAGAGGAAGTCAAATTGTCCCTCTTTGCAGACGACATGATTGTATATCTAGAAAACCCATTATCTCAGCCCAAAATCTCCTTAAGCTGATAAGCAACTTCAGCAAAGTCTCAGGATACAAAATCAATGTACAAAAATCACAAGCATTCTTATACACCAACAACAGACAAACAGAGAGCCAAATCATGAGTGAACTCCCATTCACAATTGCTTCAAAGAGAATAAAATACCTAGGAATCCAACTTACAAGGGATGTGAAGGACCTCTTCAAGGAGAACTACAAACCACTGCTCAATGAAATAAAAGAGGATACAAACAAATGGAAGAACGTTCCAAGCTCATGGGTAGGAAGAATCAATATCATGAAAATGGCCATATTGCCCAAGGTAATTTACGGATTCAATGCCATCCCCATCAAGCTACCAATGACTTTCTTCACAAAATTGGAAAAAACTACTTTAAAGTTCATATGGAACCAAAAAAGAGCCCACATCACCAAGTCAATCCTAAGCCAAAAGAACAAAGCTGGAGGCATCACACTACCTGACTTCAAACTATACTACAAGGCTACAGTAACCAAAACAGCAAGGTACCGGTACCAAAACAGAGATATAGATCAATGGAACAGAACAGAGCCCTCAGAAATAGCGCCGCATATCTACAACTATCTGACCTTTGACAAACCTGAGAAAAACAAGCAATGGGGAAAGGATTCCCTATTTAATAAATGGTGCTGGGAAAACTGGCTAGCCATATGTAGAAAACTGAAACTGGATCCCTTCCTTACACCTTATACAAAAATCAATTCAAGATGGATTAAAGACTTAAACGTTAGACCTAAAACCATAAAAACCCTAGAAGAAAACCTAGGCAATACCATTCAGGACATAGGCATGGGCAAGGACTTCATGTCTAAAACACCAAAAGCAATGGCAACAAAAGACAAAATTGACAAATGGGATCTAATTAAACTAAAGAGCTTCTGTACAGCAAAAGAAACTACCATCAGAGTGAACAGGCAACCTACAAAATGGGAGAAAATTTTTGCAACCTACTCATCTGACAAAGGGCTAATATCCAGAATCTACAATGAACACAAACAAATTTACAAGAAAAAAACAAACAACCCCATCAAAAAGTGGGCAAAGGACATGAACAGACACTTCTCAAAAGAAGACATTTATGCAGCCAAACAACACATGAAAAAATGCTCATCATCACTGGCCATCAGAGAAATGCAAATCAAAACCACAATGAGATACCATCTCACACCAGTTAGAATGGCTCTCATTAAAAAGTCAGGGAACAACAGGTGCTGGAGAGGATGTGGAGAAATAGGAACACTTTTACACTGTTGGTGGGACTGTACACTAGTTCAACCATTGTGGAAGTCAGTGTGGCAATTCCTCAGGGATCTAGAACTAGAAATACCATTTGACCCAGCCATCCCATTACTGGGTATATACCCAAAGGACTATAGATCATGCTGCTGTAAAGACACATGCACACGTATGTTTATTGCAGCATTATTCACAATAGCAAAGACTTGGAACCAACCCAAATGTCCAACAATGGTAGACTGGATTAAGAAAATGTGGCACATATACACCATGGAATACTATGCACCCATAAAAAATGATGAGTTCATGTCCTTTGTAGGGACATGGATGAAATTGGAAATCATCATTCTCAGTAAACTATCCCAAGAACAAAAAACCAAACACCGCATATTCTCACTTATAGGTGGGAATTGAACAATGAGATCACATGGACACAGGAAGGGGTACATCACACTCTGGGGACTGTTGTGGGGTGGGGGGAGGGGGGAGGGATAGCATTGGGAGATATACCTAATGCTAGTTGACGAGTTAGTGGGTGCAGCGCACTAGCGTGGCACATGTATACATATGTAACTAACCTGCACAATGTGCACATGTACCCTAAAACTTAAAGTATAATAATAAAAGAAAAAAAAAGAAAATGATTCTCTAATGGAATTAAAACAGATTTTCTTGCAATCTATTTAATCACAACAATCTGTCTGGGATTATTAAACATTCTCAATAGATTTTCTTATATAATTCTAAGGGTGTCAACTGGACGTTTAGTATGCCCACTAAATGAGCCTTATCTATATTGCTGCCCAGTTTATACAGTATTAAATCCAGAAGCTTTCAAGAATAACTAATGGCAGATAAAATTTCCAATTTTATGATGAATTGCATATGAGACAATTGTATCCTTTTTGAATTTTGTTTACTTAGGTTTATCTATATCCATAAGTAATTTAACATTCATTTCCAATGGCAAAATGTATACAAAAATGTGATGAGCTTTTACAATGCATCTATTGACCAGAAAATGAAAGGCATACATTAATTATAATATACTTCTCATGGATATATAGGGGGAGAGATCAAAAAAGGTCTAAAATTACATTTTGGCATTATTATAATTGGAAGCTCAATAAGTAGTCATCAAAATGAAAGAGACATAAAAGATTGACAACATTGATTTCTGGGATTAACAGTAACCTAAACTTCTGCTTCTATTAAAAACCCACTCTCTTGTATACACTTTCATTTGGCAGCTTTCTCTTGGAAAATATTGTAGTCACTATTTCCTAAAGGAAAACAAACATGAAACTGGGAGTAAATTTTAATTTGTTGCTTGAAAATAAGCTCACAGAAAAGTCTCCTTACCACATAAAATTCTGTAAGAAATTTGATAGAAATGCAAAATGTCAAAACAAAATATAATAGCTATTTTCATGACTCAAACTAAACCTCAAATAGTGTTAAAATGATTTGAAAACAAAAGGTCTGTATGATGCATAATCCTATGTAATTAATGTATTATTTCTTTTTAAATATAGTTTACTAACAGTCATCCTTTATACAAAAAGCAATTGAGTATATAGTATTGATGTTAATAATGGAGCAAAGAGAGGGGAAATGTGTGATTTGGCTTCTATTTTCCTATGAAGCATACATTTCTGTGTTGATCAGGTTACCCATGCCTAATATCTCATCTATTCTCAACAAAAAAATACAAAGAAACTTCTAGGACATTGAAATTACACATTTTAGTGCACTTCCTGCATCTTTAAGTCAGGGTCACCTATTCTTTAGCTACCCAGATCATGCCTTTTTAACATTTCTGATCTGACCAAAACACATTTCAGTTTTATTTCACCTTGTTCCTCACATGAGAGATAAACTTTATCCTGTTTTTCAGTCCTTCCCTTAGATTTGGCATTTATATTTTATTTTTTTGGATCACTCTTGACTTTTCTAAGAACTTTGGCCAGACATTTATTACTGAGTAATTCCTCCCATGGTGGCTCATGTTAATATAACTCAAATGCGATTTCAGATCAGACAATTCAAAACGCATCATGTCTCCTTGGTATGTGTCAAAGTCTAGGGAGTTGGAATATAACTCAGGAAATATGGTAGGTTTTTCTTCTGCTCAGAGCTCCCACAAACATATTGGACAGTCACGCCATAATGGGAAAGGTTTCTTGTAGAAAGAAGCCTCACTTATATTTCACCATTTGCAAGGTGACTGTGTTATATTCTGGGGGAAGAAAGAGCCAGAACTTGGCGTCCTCTTCTTGACCCACTGTGGAAAAGTGAAAATAAGAACATGCAAGTGGTGGAAAGATCATGTGTATGGCAGAAGGTATCACGATGGTGTTCAAAACACTTCTCAGGTTCTTCCTCTGTTTTAGCCAAGTAAACTCGGATCAGACACATCCTCCCACAGATAACTATAAATTCTGGGCAAAAAAATAAAAGTAAATGAAGGTACTGAAGAAAAATCAAACCTAGGCAGGTATGAAGAAAAGTTAATAATTAAAAGGAAAAAATGGCACAGGACAAGTGTTTCATTTATTATGGCTTTAAGATTGAAGGTAGGTTCCATTTTATACTATTCAAGGCAGTAAATACTACAGTAGAAAAACCTACCATCTTTATTTCTGCTTTTAAGAAATCAGAACACAAAGTTCAGACAACCACACCTGCTGGAAAGTGAGACAGAAAATCCTGGAAAAGAGGAAATGGGGAGCCTTACATATTGTGTACAAACTCTATCAATATCTGTAGATGATTACTTCTGAAACACACATGCGTAAGGCAGACTCCAAAAAGACCATCAAAAGCCAAAAGAACTAAGCTAAGATTAGAGTTGCCTCCCTCCACAGGGAAGACAGAGATTGCAGTATGAATTCATCCATATTAACTGTCTGCTTGTGACAGAGTGGAGTGGAGAGAAATAAAGGACATCAGCAAAATGGTATAGTAGACATCTCCAAAATCCTGTCACTCCAAAAAACTTTTCAAAAACAAGCAGAAACAGAAAAAACTGCCAGAACTCTATAAAACAAAGGTTTTTATAGCAAACAGGTGGATGTTGTACCAAGATAAAGTAACTTTGATTTGTTTGTAACTCCATTTTTTATTTTCTATAGGATTTAAAACACAAATTCATGAAAATGATTACACATCCATGTTACAATGTGTGAAGATGAAATTTGTGACAATGACAATATATGGGGCAGGGAAAACACTATATTGGAACAGAGTCTTTGCATGTTATTAAAGCTAAGCTTTATCAATTTGAACTAGATCAAACTTGTTCGATCTGTCTTATTTTGTTGTTGTTTTGTTTTAGCCTTTTAACAGCCTAAAGCCGTGATTTTTACTTTCTGTCTCTAGTGATAAGCAGATAAGAGAAATGAGGAAGGGGCTTTACTGGCCCAACCAGAAATAGAAACTAAGATCCCACGACTGTTCTCTCCCTCGGACACCCCTGAGCTAGATAATTAGAAATTTAGAATGTTAATTGTAATTCCCAGTGTAGCTACTAAGAAGAAAACTAAAAATAGGTACATAAAGGGAAATAAGAAAAAAATAAACAAAATGAAGGGAAGAATGGAAAAAATGAGGAATAGACAAGACTTAAACAAATGGGAAACAAATAGCAAAATGGCAAAGGTAAGTATTCTATATTACTGGTTAGTTTAAATATAAATAGATTAAACCATATAAAATAAAGAGATTGGTAAATTTAAACATGAGCTGACAGTATGCTATTTACAACAGATTCAATTTAGATACAAAGACACCAATAAATCAAAAATGATGGAAGACATTTCATACAAATTGTAACCAAAAGAGAGATGGAGAGTATATAGTATCAGACAAAATAGACTTCAAGTCAGTAACTGCTATAAGAGTCAAAAAAGATTATTATATACTTAAAGACTCAATTATCCAAGGATATACAACAGTTGTAAGCCTACATGTGCCAAACAACAAAGCCCCAAAATATATAAAGGAAGCAAACACTGAAAATATTAAAAGGAGAAATAGACAGTTCTAAATAATAATTGCAGACTTCAATAACTCACTTTAGTAATAAATATAATAGCCAGATTAACAAGGAAACAGAACTCCAACACCACTATACAACAATTAAACCAAATGGACATATACAGAACTTTCACCCAACAAAAGCAGAATACACATAGTTCTCAAGTGCACATGGAACATTACCCAGAATAGAACATATTTCATGCCACAAAATAAGTCTTAAACTTTTAAATATTGAAATCACACAAAATATATTTTTAATCACAATGAAATAAAACAAGAAATCAATAACAGAACAAAACTTTTTAAAAACCCAAATATGTGAAAATTAAACACATTTATAAGTAAACATGTGTCAAAGAAGAAATCACAAGGTAAATTATAAAATATTTAGAGACTAATAAAACTAAAATCACAGAATCCCATAACTGATGAGACACTGAGGAATGACATTAGTGAAATTGTGAACTAGGAATCACTAAGTTCATATTTCCCCACAGAAACATCAAAGATAAAAACAGACACGTTTTTATAAAGGTTCTGCAAAGGCCTTACACTTTCACTTAGGGATAATCGCCAGACTCAGAGTAGATAAAGCTAAGTGGTGAAGAAGTACACCAGCACAGAGACAATCTGGTGAATATTCCCTACCTCCCTGCTATTTTGTCACTCAAATAAACCTCTGTCAAAGTACTAGCTGATGAGCTAAAGGCATGGAGACTTTGCTGGTTACATGTAATAAGAAATAATCTTTGCAAAATAATTTGGAAAAGCCTTAGAAATTTGGCTACTACAAATTTTAATAATCAAAATAAACAGCAAACCTTGGGTGGAGGGGGAAAATTTAATTTCTGGAGTTATCGCATTCTAATCATAAAATGCCTAATTTCCAACCAAAAGTCACAAGGCATGCAAAGAAACAAGATATCATGGCTCATTCAAAGGAGCAAAATAAATAGAAATTGTCCTTGAAGAAGTGGAAACATTGGACTTACTAGATAAAGGCTTTAGAACAATTGTTTTAAATATACACAAAGGGTTTAAGGGCAACATGGACAATAAAGTAAAAGCAGCTTTATATATATATATATATATGACCATATATAGTCATATTTCTGTATATATGACAAAATGAAAATATCAATAGATACCAAAATTATAAAAAGAAACTAAAAAGAATTATAAATCTATAAACTGTAATAAGTGCAACAAAAAATTTACTACAGGAGTTCAATAGCAGTTTAAAACAAGCAGAAGACAAATCAGTAAACTTGAAGATGAGAAACTGAACCTATTAAGTCTAAGGAATAAATATAGAAAAAAAATTAAGAAAATTAAATAGAGCCTAAGGGACATGGGATACACCATCAAACATTTGAACCAACATGTATATATACTAATATCAGACAAAATAGACTTATAATAAGCTGTTAGAAGAGTCAAAGAAGGACCTTACATAACTTTAAGGGTTAATTTACCAAGAAAATATAACAACTATAAATATATATGCACCAAACAGGAGGCCCCAAAGTACATGAAGCAAACATGTGCATAATTAAGGGGAAATTAGTACTAAAATAATAGTTATATGAACAGTTATAATAAAACAATACGTCACTTTCATTAACGGATAGAATAACCAGGAAAAAAAAAACAACAAAGAGAGGACTTGAACAACACTATAAACCAATCGTACCTTACAGATACGTACAGAACACTGCATTCAACAACAGCAGAATACACATTTTTCTCAAGTGTACATGCAACATTTTATGGCATAGGTCATATGTTAAGCACAAAACAACTATTAATAGATTTAAAAAATTTAAATCATATATAGTATCATTTGCAATCACAATGGAATGAAACTAATAATCAATATTAGAAGAAAAACTGCAAAATTCATAAATATGTGAAAACTCAACATCACACTAATAAAAATCCAAAGGGCTACAGAATAAACGATACTTTAAGATTAATGAAAATTTTTAAAATGCCATAAGCTGTAGGATAACTGCACAATCAATTCTTAAAGATAAATTTATAGGTGTATATGCCTAAATTAAAAAAAAAGAGAAAGTTTAAATTACAAAATTTAGAAATGAATGGATGAATGCCACTAGCCCTATTGTCCCATCCTGTAGAATTTCAGAAATCGGGTAGCCTTCTTTTATTATGTCCTGTGTCTCTATCAACTCTTTAATGCCAGCAGACAATATTTCTGCTGCTACAATCTGATCTCTATTTCTAGATTCAGCTAAGACAGCTGATTAAATACATGGATAATCACTCTATAGAATGGTATTTCAGCTACACCCTTGGTGTTCTCTCCAGAACATACTCTCTTATTTTCACACTATAAACAAGTGCATAAAATTCACGTTTGAATTTTGTTTTGCTTAATATTTCCTTCAATTTATTTTTCTTCTCTTGCATTATACTATAAGCAGTAAGGATAATCTTATCAGAATAAGTCCTGACCTTTATGCCTTCATTTAATTTTAATTAGCCCATTAAAGGCTCTCTATCCAAATAGAGCCACATCAAACCTTGGATCTTTAATATATGAATTTGGGGGAGACAAATTTCAGACCATAATAGAAGGAGATAAAGCCACACACACACACACACACACACAAATATTAAAGAAAAGAAGAAAGTAATGGAGGAAATAAGGTGTAAAAAAGTTATAAAATCTACAGGAATCAAATAGCAAAATGCCCAAAATAAATCTTTTCTTATTAATGATTACTTTAAAGGTAATTGGATTAGACTATCCAAAAAAATGGCAGAGATTGCCAGAATAAAATTTTTTTTAATTTTTTTCTCTGTCTTCTCTGTACAAGAGACTCCCTTTAGACCCAAGGGAAATGAATAAAGCAGATATTTCATGCAAAGAGTACAACAAGAAAATGAGACGATGAGTGGATAAACAACTTGTAATATACGCATACGATGAACTGTTATTTTGCAGTAAAATGAACCACTGACACATGCTACACTATAGATGAACTTCCAAAACATTGTGCCAT
Source organism: Homo sapiens (assembly GCF_000001405.40). Taxonomy (NCBI): domain Eukaryota; kingdom Metazoa; phylum Chordata; class Mammalia; order Primates; family Hominidae; genus Homo; species Homo sapiens. Next base: position 107,977,562 of record NC_000002.12, read on the forward strand.
GTGAAAGACGCCAGGCACAAAGTATCACAGTTTGTTTGAGTCCACTTATATGAAATAGTCAAAGTAAATAAATCTATAGAGACAGAGTGCAGATTGGTTTTGCCAGGGGCTGAAAGGAGTGAGGAAGTGATGAGAAACTGCTCAATGAGTAAGAGTTTTTACTTTGGAGTGCTTTTGAAGCAGATACAGGTGATGGTTGCACAACACTGTGAATGCATTAAATACCCCTGAATTGTTCACTTTAAAATGTTGAAATTACGTTATGTAAACTTTACCTCAATAAATTACTTTTAAAAATGAGACAAAACCAGTATTTAGATGAAAATAAAATGGTAAATAAAGCAAAAGTGGTGAGAAGAATATGTTGGGATCCAAAATTTATGATTCATATTATCCAGGATACGAGCTAAATCACTCTACATGGAAGCAACAGAAAAAATGTGACCAATTCCCATTAGAAAAGATAATAACAGGGACAAACCCTAGATGGCACAGATGTTGCCATAAGCAGACAAGGCATTTATTTTAACTATGCTTGACTACATAAGGAAAATATGTCATACTGAAAGAAGTGATAGGAAATTCAGCACAAATAACAATTCCAAAGGAACAAGTAGAAATTTCAGAACAAAAAATATACCTGACTTCAAACTATACTACAAGGCTACAGTAACCAAAACAGCATGGTACTGGTACCAACGCAGATATACAGGCCAATGGAACAGAATGGAGGCCTCAGAAATAACACCACTCATCTACCACCATCTGATCCTTGACAAATCTGACACACACAAGCAATGGGGAAAAGATTCACTATTTAATAAATGATGTTGGGAAAACTGGCTAGCCATATGAATAAAACTGAAACTGGACCCCTTCCTTACACCTTATACAAAAATTAGCTCAAGATGGATCAAAGACTTAAACGTAAGACCTAGCACCATAAAAATCCTGGAAAAAAACCTGGGCAATACCATTCAGTACATAGGCATGGGCAAAGACTTCATGTCTAAAACATCAAAAGCAATGGCAAAAAAAAGCCAAAATTGACAAATGGGATCTAATTAAACGAAAGATCTTCTGCACAGCAAAAGAAACTATCATCAGAGTGAACAGGCAACCTACAGAGTGGGAGAAAATTTTTGCAATCTATCCATCTGACAAAGGGCTAATATCCAGAATCTACAGTGAACTTAAACAAATTTACAAGAAAAAAACAAACAACCCCATCAAATAATGGGCAAAGGATGTGAACAGACACTTCTCAAAAGAAGATGTTTATGCAGCCAACAAACATATGAAAAAAACCTCATCATCACTGGTCATTAGAGAAATGCAAATCAAAACCACAATGAGATACCATCTCACACCAGTTAGAATGGCAATCATTAAAAAGTCAGGAAACAACAGATGCTGGAGAGGTTGTGAAAAAATCAGAATGCTTTTACACTGTTGGTGGGAGTGCAAATTAGTTCAACCATTGTAGAAGACAGTGTGACGATTCCTTAAGGATCTAGAACTAGAAATACCATTTGGCCCAGCAATCCCATTACTAGGCATATACCCAAAAGATTATAAATCATTGAACAATAAGGACACATGCACACGTATGTTTATTGTGACACTAGTCACAATAGCAAAGACTTGGAGCCAACCCAAATGTCCATCAATGATAGACTGGATTAAGAAAATGTGGCACATATACACCACGGAATACTATGCAACCATAAAAAAGGATGAGTTCATGTCCTTTGTAGGGACATGAATGAAGCTGGAAACCATCATTCTCAGCAAACTATCACAAGATCAGAGAACCAAGCGCCGCATATCCTCACTCATAAATGGGAGATGAATGTTGGGAACACATGGATGCAGGGAGGGGAACATCACACACCAGGGCCTGTGGTGGCTGGGGGGCTGGGGGAGGGATAGCATTGGGAGAAATACCTAATGTAGGTGACGGGTTGATAGATGCAGCAAACCACCATGGCACATATATACATATGTGACAAAACTGCACGTTCTGCACATGTAACCCAGAACTCAAAGTGTAATAATTAAAAAAAAACCATAAATTTTAAAAAGAATTGGATGAGTTTACAGCATAATGGAGATCACAAAAAAGTGTCAAGGAATTTAAAGATATATCAATAAAAATTATCCAATCAGAAAAACATTTTTAAAAGATTAAATAAAATAACCTTAAGATTCTGTAGACAAATTCAAAGAGTCTTATATGTATATGCTCAAAGACGTAGAAGAGGAGGAGAAAGAGAATGAGACAGAAAATATTTGGAAAAAGAATGATGTAACATTTCCTTCTACCATACAAAAATGTTAATTTGAGATCGATCATAGAACAAAATGTTAACCCTAAAATTATATGTTTTTTAAAAAAAAAACATTTTTTGACTTGAGATAAGCAAAGGTTTACAGAGAGGACACTGAAACTAAGAAAATAATTAGAATTATTCAAAATTGAAAACTTCTGAGTCTCATTAAGAAAATGGACAGGCAAGCCACAGAGTAGGAGAAAATATTCACAAAACATATGTAGGATGCAGATATCCCTGATGTATAAATGATATTTGCAATTCAGCAATAGAGACAAGCAACTCATCACACATGGGGAAAATTTTTGAATATATTCCTCACAAAAGAAGGCCTAGAATTAATCATTAAACACATAAAATGTGCTTAACATTATTAGGCATAAGGAAAATGCAAATTAAGTTCACAATGACATATCTCTACATAACCACCAGAATAATGAAAATTAAAAGAAAATACATAAAAATGTTTTCAAACAAGACTGATAACACGAAATGCTGTCAAGGATATGAAGATATAAAAACCTGTGTTCACAGAAATACTTGTTCGGAGCAGCTTTATATATAATCACGAAAAATTGGACACTCCCCAGGTGCCTATCAATTAGAACATAGACAATTAACTGTGGTGTAATCCCACAATGGAATATGACAGGAAAAAATAAAGAAATAATTTTCCACTCGACACTATAAATGAGTCTCAAAAATATGTGAAGTACAAATATGCATTGTATGCTTCACTTTATATAAAGTTCTAAAATAGACAAAATTAATCTATAGTGGAAGAAAAATCACAACATTCTTTGTCTCTTAGGTGCAATGGCAGAAAATATATAAAAGAATTTCTGGGGCAAAAATAATGCTTTATATCTTGATCAGGATTTGATTTAAAATGACACTTGCATTTATCAAAACTTATTTAATATATCAAAACTCATTTCATACTCTCAAGAGTCCTGTACTTCATTCTATATAAATTTCACCTCAACAACAACTATATATATATATATATATATATATATAAAATTATTAATGTCTAGTTAATAATACACTTGCTGAAGTATTTAGGGGAATTGTACTTGTGCCATTTACTTTGAATGCATCAAATAAATGAGATGAATTGATGAATAGTTAAAAAGATAGACAGACTGATAAAGAAATGTTAATGGTAGAATTTAGGTGGTGAATATATGGATGTTAACTTTGATATATGTTTTAACCTTGATATTTGTTTGAATATTTTCATAATAAAATACTGGAATAATAACCAGAAGGAAAAATATGTTATCCTGATATGAAGAACTATAGAAGTGTTGCACAGAATGACTCTAATACTACCAATGGAGAGAGATCATTGACTCTGAGATACACTTTATCACTGTCATACATTTTTATAACGATGAAGGTATACAACTGTATAATTCCTATATAACTGCTTGTTTTAGAAGTATGAGGCTTTAGTCACCATATGTCATTTATCATAAGGACACAAGAAAATAACTTGGCATTTGTTGGGCAATTGCATTTCAATTAAATTGATGTGTACTCAAGTGATTAATTCTAGTGTTATTGTTGTAGCGATGACATAGAGGTCTGTTCTAACATGCTCAGATTGGTGTAACAGAATTTTTACCAAAAATGTCAGTCTTCCCCCTACCAGCTCTAATCCCTATGCTATTTTTTTCTCCATCATTCTTATGACTGCATTTTTAAATTATAGTAATTGCAAAAATAAATATAAATGTAAATTTTTAAATAAAGACTATGTACAATTTTGGGATAGTGTAATATCAAATTGAGTGTAAAAGCACTGTTTACCCAAAGTTAAAAATCATTCATTTGGAAGGCATGAGAACTCCGTCTTATATCTGCCACTAACTGGTTGTGTGACCGTATACAAATCAATGCAATTTAAACCCATGATGACATACATGTATTTAATAACTAGAATGGTCATGTTGCCTTTTCCAAATCTCAGTTTTCTACTTTAGATTTCGAGTAAATGATTTCTCAGATATTTACTCATTTTGAGTCTCTTATTTTCCTTCTGTAAACAAATACAGTATAACTAAGTTTTTGTCTAGTAGTATTCCAGGCACAGTGCTAAGTGCTCTGTAGGTAAAGGTAAATGGAATGGGGTAGTCCCCTTTACAGAGTTCACAGATTAATCGAGAAACAGGCACGTGATCTGTAGACCATTGTTATATACAAGTAGGTACCATGGGCGAACAGCCTAGAAAAGGAACACATGACCCAGTCTGGTTATAGACAGAAATCAGGGAAGTTTCTCTTTGCTCCATATCTGAGTTGAGTCTAAAAGAATGAGAAAGGGTTAGCTTCATACTAGTTGGGGAAAAAAAAGTGCATTTAAAAAGAAAGCTGGGAACCGTTGCTAAGGACTGAGTGTGAAGCTGAGGGAGAAAAGACTGAGAAAGAAGCAGTGAGAGGACTCTTCTACATGTATCTCTCTGAAAGTGGATGACTGACACTACTCCTGGCCTGATCTACAAAGGCATAAATTGGATTATGTTAAAATTTGGTTAAGAAATAGAATCTAGACTTTAGTCTACGGTGTGGTTTGCCAAATATATGAACCTCTGATGCACCCCTGAGGTTATTAGCAAAATATTTCTTTACCATTAGGTAAAGAAAGGTCAGATGCATTTATCCACAGCACCAGCAATGTATTAATAACTGACTGCCACCAGAGGCCAGAACATCAGCAGGCTTCGATAATGAATCAAAGCAACAGTAACAGAAACTGCAGCAGCAGCAATTGCTTACCATATATTGAGTACCAAAGGGAAAATATGCATTGCACTCAATGTTTCAAAACACAGTCATTCCTCCATACCTAGGATCACCCTCCAATTCCAAAGTCTGCAGATGGTCATTTTCTGTTACAAAATGGCATAGTATTTGCATATAACCTATGTACATCCTTACGTATACTTTAAATCACCTCTAGAATACTTATAATTCTTAATACAATGTAAATGCTATATAAATAGTTCTTACACTATATTGTTTGGAAACTGATGAGGAAAAAAAAGTCTGTATGAGTTTAGTACACACATGTTTTTGTTCCAAATATTTTCAATCCCCAATTGGTTGAATCCATGGATGCAGAACCCATGGGTGCAAAGGGCTCACTGTATGCCATTTCAATGAATCCTCACACTCCTAAGAGATTGAAATGACCTTTTTTTTATTTCCACTTTAAAACACAGTGAAGATAACTTAATTTGACAAAGATCCCATAATTAGTAAACCTGAGCTAAAGTTGTCTGTTTTGACTTTCAAAGTTATTTCCACTCTGAAACTCAACATAGTCTTCCAATCCCAGCTTGTCATCAAGATCATTGGGGAGGGATTGAAAGAAAACTAGGTTCTCAAACCCTTGCCCAAGATATACAAAGTCAGAATTCATGCTGTGGGGCCTTAGTATCTGCAATTTTTCAAGAACTCTACAATTCCGATAGTCACCCTGGTTTGGAAATGACTGGCCAATTTTAATTTAAGCTAAATGTAATCCATTAAAAAGTATGAAAGATTTGAGTTGACATTGTATGGGGAAACTGGAGCATTAGGAAGGATAATAACTTCAGCAAAATGGGCCCCCACAGTCTCAATATGCATTTGGATCATATTTGAAGCATGTTCAAAATGTATAGACCAAGTGATGACATTCTCAAATTACCAAAGCTGTTATTAAAAAAGAAAAATGTAATGCTGACGCTGCTGTTCCATGAAGTGTACTTTGAATGGCAAGGTCAGAGGGTGTTAACCTATTAAAGACAGGGATCTTTTCATTTCAATCAATTGAGTATATACCTAGCACAAAGCAGCAGGTGTTTTGTTGTTGTTGTTGTTGTTCGTTGAGACAGAGTCTCTCTCTGTCAGCCAGACTGGAGTGCAGTGGCACAATCTCGGCTCACTGCAACCTCCACCTCCAGGGCTCAAGGAATTCTCCTGCCTCAGCCTCCCGAGTAGCTGGGATTACAGACATGTGCCACCATGCCCGGCTAATTTTTGTATTTTCAGTAGAGACGGGGTTTCACCATGTTAGCCAACCTGGTCTCGAACTCTTGACCTCAAATAAACCGCCCACCTCGGCCTCCCAAATTGCTGGGATTACAGGCGTGAGCCACCGTGCCCGGCCAGGTGTTTTTATATATTTATTGAATAAATGACTCTCCCCGCTCCTCCGAGAAGAATTCCTCCATCTGATTAAGACCTTTTGTTTGAACTTTCCCTAGAATCTGTGTGTACAGATATGCTACATCCTTCTCAGCACTTACAATAGTATATAGAAGTGCAGCTTTTGCTTGTTTGTTCCTTCTTTCTTTTCATGGATAAGTTACTTGAGGGCAAGGTTTGTATAATTTTCTACATGTATTCTCAGTACTGAGAACAGTGTTCAGAATGTAAAAGGCACTTAGAAAATGTGTTTTTAAAAAATAAATGATTTATAAATGCAAAACCTGCTTTTTCTCCCCAAAAGCGGGAATTGATCTCCCACTGACATGTAGTTCCCTAAGTCCGTGCATGATAACATATTCTCAGGAGAGTGGAGGAAGAGGTACACATTAAAGTACCAATATTAAAGACAAAAGAGAAATGGGTGTCTGGGAAATTACACCTTGGCACAGAAATTCACATGCAGCTTCATCCTTAGATCAGACACGGAGCGCAAAGGACTCAGCAAATGAGGAAATGTCTCCCCAGAACTAGACTCAATTCATCAGCAGTTGTCATTTTCAACTGGTGTTTCTTGTCATGGAGGACAGCCGCTCTGCCAGGCAAGAATTTGGCCACTGTCAAGGTCATTGTCCATTCTCAGATCTGGCACTGAGTCCATAGTCTGGCAAGCCTGGCTTGTCAAAGTGGATTAGGTGGGCTCTGGGAGGTGTGCTTTGGCTGCACTCCCAATTCTCATACCGAAAGGCTGGTGATGTTCTCTGAGGACGGCTGCCTCTTCAGTCTCTCTTTGGATCTGAGTCAAGCTCCCTGACCTTAGGCCTGTGCACTATTTCAGACACTGCAATTGCCCATGCCTGCCCTGCTACAGCAATAAGCTGTGTGTCATCATCATCATTAGTATATTCTGGCAGGAAATACATCAGTTAACCTGAGGCTAAGGCCCAGAATCAGAAAATGAGTTATAGAAGACAAAAACAATGAATGAATGGATGGATGAATGAATGAATGAACCTCTTTTAAAACACATGGGTAATTATATGAAATCCCATCTCTGTTTCGCTCTGTCAGTTCCTTAAAATTGCTTAAATTAATAAAATGTGTATGTAAAAATGGGGTTATATTAAAAGGCAACCTAAGTCTTTTCCAGAAAATCAATGAACTAGTCATATTACCCAGGGGAAATAACTATCTTTGCAGGCCTTTTGGCCCGTCTTAATTTCTGTTTGAACTCCCTAGGCTTTCTCACCTCAAAAGAGGTAGTTGGATGCAGTTATTGTTTATACAGAGAAGAAAGAAAAGGGGTAGTAACATAAATTTGGAAGTTAATTTCAAAATCCAGTGTAAGAAAAGGGGAGATGGTCTGATTGGCCTAGAGAGGTGAACAGTAGTTCAGAGGCACTCTTATTTATTCTATCCCTTATTAGACTTGTGTATTTCACTGTTAAATACACTCTCATGGTGGAATGCGGAAAGAAGTGAGAAAGTGGCCAGAGTGCTTGTAGCTTTGTGGCTTGTGACTCTTCTATCTTATTCTCTCCCACCCTTCTCTCTTCCTCCATTCACATTCACACAGGTATCTGCATCTATCCATGTACACCTAGATGTAGAAATACATCTATAGATACATATTTATATGTGTAATATATAAATAATCTATAAAAATAGGTAGGTATATGGATATATTGTAAACTAACACAGCAAATTTTTGTAAGCTGGAATAGGATATTCAGCAGGCCAGCTGCCCAAAGGGCTCTACCAGGAAAGCCATCTTGTCTGACTTCTGTGATAACCTCATTGTTAATCTGGACCACGCCTAGTGTCCTTCATGGTAGCCCTACTTTTAAGTGGCAGGGGTATGAATGTAAAAAGGACTTTCTAAACCTTCCTGAAATGTCTCCTTCAGGGAGCCCATCACCAGGGACGCCAGGAACAGCTTCCAACAGGGCCCAGGGGAGGCCGCGGGAGAGGACCCCTTCCCTCTCAGAGAGACTCGTCAGGAAACAATTCCAGACTCTGACCTGGGAAGAAAAGAACAGGACACTTCTCTCCTCTAGGCTTCCAGCTGCTGCTTCTGAAAATATAATCCTCTGAGACCCTCCCCATTCCCAGCTTCCAACCAGAGGGATGAGAAGTTCGACTGGGAATCACCCTAAGGAATCTCCGCCCAGTTTTCTGGAGGAGGAGATGGGAGTAGCAGGTACTTGTCTCAGGATGGGGATACCATGGCTGGCAGCGCGGACCAGAGCCCAGCCTGCCCCCCAGCTCCTTGGGCCCCGTTTCCTTCGCATCCCGCACACCCACCCTCCTCGCGAGGGCAGCGTCCCTAGCACACGCCCTAGCACCACTCTCCTCTGACGTCCGCCTCCGGATGTCTGACGATCGCCCCCGCCTGCCGCCCTTATAAAGGGGACTTTTCCCAATACTCGATCGATTCCCACCTCGCCCTGCGCCGCGCGCCCTCCGCCGGCGCCAACACCTGTCAACTCTGCGCGCTCCCAGGTTCTTGGAGACGCCGAGTGAGGAGCCGCCCTGACCGCCCGGCCCCGCTCCGCACTGCACCCCGACCCACCCCGCACCCTCCCTTTCTGCACCCTCGCACCCACACCCCTCGCGGTTCCAGGGGGCGGCGGCCCCGGGCGGAGCGCTTTCGCGTGCAGCCACCACTCCAGGTAGGAGCGGAGCGGGCATTCCTGCGCCTACGGGCCCGCACCCTCGGAAACGCCTTGGGCACCGAGCCCGGGCGGTTTTAGAGGGGAGGGACGCGGCGTTTTTCCCTCTCGGTGGGATGCGAGGGCGGGTTTGCTGTCTGGCACCGTTGCTGTCAGGGTGCAAGAGGCTACAAAGTCTGGGCGCAGGAAATGGGTAGAGGGGGCCGAGGAAAGGCCGCAGGGGGCCGGGAGAGCATCGGGCTGCTGCGGAGAGGAACTTGCCTGCTTGGTTGCTCACAAAGGCAGAGAAGACACAGCCCGCGGGCGCTTCTTTTGCCTCCTTTAAATTCCAGAGAGGCTGATTCTTTCCCCCAACGTCTCTTCACCCACCTGCACGCACAAATGTCAGAGTTTCCCCCAGAAACTTGTATGTGAGAGTTTGGGTTCATGGAACAGCTGTGGTCACAAAGGTAAAAAATAAATAAAAATAAAAATAAAAGGGGACAAGAATTTCAGAAGGTGAATGCTTTCGAACTTGACATCTGTCTTCTAAGAGTCTTGATTTTAATATCTTTGAGGCTTCTGATGTGCTTTTAGGCAATTGTGTTTAAAACAACAGCAACAACAACAACAAAACCTTTTCCTGTATGTACCATTAATGGGGGGTGATGAATTGAATGAAGGATATTGGGCGAAGAAGATCAAGAGAATGGATCCTTTCAACAACAAAAAACATACTTAGTTGCTATAGTAACTTGAACTACAGAAGCTTGTTGAAAATGTGGAGTTTGATGTGTTTTTGAAATGGATTTTTCTAAAGATTTTTTTCAGATATTTTTATATCAGATTACTACTGAAGCCATTCTCTGAAGTTGTTTGAAAGGACAGATAAAAGAATGAATAAATTAATGAATATTTTAAAATTTTCAGAATGGTCATTTATGAAACACTTAACACTTCTAGAATAAATAATTCTAGAAGAGTAACTTAGTTCCAAAACGCAGATACAGCGCTACTCTTTGTAAATGATTTGACAGTTACTGAGTTAAGATATACACGACAAGGTTAATTTTAAATTTAAAGCATGTATGAAACACACAAGGATTATGATTCCATTTGTTAAACTACATTTCCGTTTTTTTTTCTGTTTCTTGCAAACTCAAAATAATGTTAAATTGTTAAATAGAAGTAGGATAATGTAGTGGACACTTATTGTTAACTGCCCGTTTCACGTGTGGTTTCAGGGTTGTACTCTTTCTGTGAGTGGCACAGGATCTCGCATGAGCCAGCTGGTTTATTCCTGGCTGCCTACATGTGCATAGTGCTTGACTGGTTTATAATGCATCCCTGTATTTTCTTCAGAAGACTTAATGAAGTAGCCAGCTGCAGAAGAATCTGGATCATTAGATAAAAATGGCTTTCCATGTGGAAGGACTGATAGCTATCATCGTGTTCTACCTTCTAATTTTGCTGGTTGGAATATGGGCTGCCTGGAGAACCAAAAACAGTGGCAGCGCAGAAGAGCGCAGCGAAGCCATCATAGTTGGTGGCCGAGATATTGGTTTATTGGTTGGTGGATTTACCATGACAGGTACGTTCAGACGCCGCCGGCTCCATGCAGTCCTCCCTTCCTTGGCATCTGTGAGTGTGCAGCGTGTGGCTTCAGAGTGACAAAGCAAATGTTGGTCTTTGTCCTTTGGGGATTCTTTATGTTCACTAGTTATATATATTTTAAAATAATTTTCTATTGATTTAAAACCTAAAAATAAATTGGTTTCAACTCAGTAGTACTTGAACAAAAATGATTTTATAATAAATCACTGGACTGAACAGTCATGAAACAAATCTTGGCTCCCTGGGCTATTGAGTGGGTGGAAACAGAGTAAAAACAAAGAGGTGGGGGAATGGGAAGCTGTCCTAGTATTACAAGCTATGTATCTGCTAATTAATGTGATAGGCAGCATCTCAACGTGTCCGGTAATACATGCATAAAGTTGTGACTTTGAGATTTAAATAAGTGCCAATGAATACCATCTAGTGATGGTTTTTAATCTGCATAAATAAATTTGGGGGTGATGATATTCCCAATTGAGTGATTCCCTGTTTTGAAACCTAATTCTTTCATTTAATAACTAATTCCTCACAGGAAGACAATCACATGTTATGAGTCCACAGCACTAATAAAGAGATTTCATGAACCTTGTTATAAAAGGGAAAAGCTAGGGTGTGTCCTCATAGGAATCCCCAGGCCACCATCTGCAGTCATCTCTCATTCAAACCTTCTTTGTGTTAGCAGGAGCTGATATTCTTTCTTACTTTGCACTAAAGTGGTTCTGTTTAAAGGGTGATTTGTTTCTTTTTTATATTCTTCTTGGTCGTTGAAAATAATTCTGAAAAACATCAACTTAGAATTATATGTTTAATATTTAATACAGTTGCACTAACAACACATATTTCATTATACAGTCTTAGTAGAGTTTTTAAACATTTGCAACATAGCAAGAACTGTGAGCGTTCATTGGAAAAATATCCCATGGGAAATGATATCAAGTGATGCCCAATTTCAGTCCCGAAGGGCAATTTTAAAATGATTCACCGTGTATATCAGATAGTTTACCAAACCAGTCTGGGGAGAGGCCATTCATGTTCTGAACCCCTTGACTTTGGCAATCTGAAACTTACAGTGTTCTATGTGAGCCATCAGTTTTATCTTTCAGACATTGACATTTTATCTTTGTTTAACTCTTCATCTACTGTACGTGGACTCATTTGGTCTTTATAACGGCATTATGATGAGCATCTGGGGTTAAGTGGAGATCCCGGGTTACAAGGTTAACAAGGACCAGGGCTGGAGCCAGAACCAAACACAGGTCTCCGGTAACTTAGTTCCAAAATGCAAGTACTGCGTCATGCTGGTGACCGCCCCATGCTGTGCCACATGCAGCCCTGTAACTAGTTTCACTTTATTTCTTTCAAAAGGTGCACAGTTTGTAAACACTGCAGAAAGAATAAGAAAGCTGCTGCATATCAAAATATGTTGTTTATTGAAAATAATTATAGCCCTCTACTATTCTCATTTAATATTCTGTTTAATATGGTCATAAAAATAATATTTTATATTTTGTTTTTACCATTTAGAATGGTTTTTTTCAACCTAACAAGCTATTAAAAGGTACGGAAAATATTTGAATCATGCTATTTTTTATAAAGGGCCATGATCTTCCTCAGTTCGTAAAACTTTTTTTTCTTTCTCAGAACTCAAAATAACCTTGGTCAATATCATAATTCATTTAAAATCTGAACCATACTACCTAACCTTGTCAGATTGATTGACTTGGATATATTTTATAAAGAATAGAGATAAAAAATGTTGATTCTTTTAAAAATGAATATATTTTAAGAGGTTGTGTTCTCACTCATGGATCTGACACAAAATATACAAACAAGGAGAGCAAATACTGTTATAGAAGAGACTAAATTCAATTATAAAGGGGACTTTTAAATCTTAGTAAGTAGCCAAGCCCTCACTTCTATATCACAATAGTTGCAATGATTCAGTCACCAATTTTCTTTTTGGACAAGGGACAGTAGACTTACACAATGACGAATGATCACTAATGAGCTTTGTGCTTGTAAGACCATCAGACCATTTACTTTATGCAGTAAAACATTGACGTGTTAGCAATTCCAGTTGCCTGGTAGAAAGATAAAGTCTCAAGTTTTCTGCCTGTAAGAATTCATTTCTTCAGCTCATGGTTACACACACAGTGAAAAAAAAAAGCCATTTTAAAAATTTCAGCAGGGCTTAGAATAAGAAAACAAATAATGCCATTTGTTATTTTTGTTATTTGTTAACACTGAGGGTAAAAGCTACAGCAAAGGTGGGAGTGATTGCTAAATACGTATTTGTCTCCAGGATTTTGTATATAAACTTTTCATTTAAATGTACTCAAAATTCCTATGTAGGAAAATCTTTTTATGTCAACCCTAAGACTCCCTCTTCTTTGCTTTGTATTAGATTAAAAGCCAGATAAATTTTGCCATAAACACAATAGAAACACATCCTAGGTAGTTTTGTATAGATATTATTTCATTTACTTACATTCTAACTGTGAGATTTTGGAAAATTCATCAGAGTTAAATTTTATTCCTAATGGGATGATGCAATCCAGAATTCAGCCTCATATCTGATAAATTTTTATTACCAACCTGTGACCATCATAACTTTACACAAATTCTGTATAAGGATTGCTTAGAATATTTTGACTGTACTGTAACCTCAACAAGGTGTAAACTGCAAAGATTTAGTGTCCTCTTCAACATTAGTTTTTCAGCAAGGATTCAATATTATACTGTTTCCTCAGAGAAAATGGTGCTAGCATTACATTGTCTATTCAGAGAAAAATATTAATCTGTAGATCATTCTTGGCTCAAACCTGTTAAGTCAAAACTCATTTTCTTTGGTTCTTTGACCTCCTTGCCTCAGCTATTGTGCTACATAAATTTTATTTATCTGAATAAGACATTTTTCATTACTTCTTGTCAAATAGTAAATATCTTACTAAAAGATCCATATTAAAATATAGAATTGCAAGTATGTATGCAGTTCACATTTTACCTTCTTCTGAGTGCTAGGTAGTCTAGGCCTTAAGGTAACATTTAAACTCACTTTGGACACCTTGTAGTAGAAGTGTCATCTCGATCCTCTCTTCACTCCTAATAACTTAAGGTAGTAAGTACAACTTAGTGGTGATGGAGATAAGATTTGCAAGCTCTGATATCCCCAGAGTGTTCAAGAAAAGACTCTATTAGTGAAAAGTACATTTCTACAAACATACACTCACCTACATAGATGCATGTGTACACACATGTACGTACACATGCACACCACTCCGTGAGGACAGTATAAAAACATCAATACAAGTAAAATGGAAGGGCCTTGAAATAAAGAAAATTTACCCCTTGACCTCAGACTATATTACATATAATATCATGAAAATGCTGCTGACTCAATGCATTTAGAAAACATCTAGGGCAGCACTATCCAATAGAAATATAATATGAGCCACAAACATAATGTTACATTTTCTACAAACCTCTAAAAACAAAAAGAAATAGGTAAATTAATGTTAATAGTATAACTTATGTAACTCAATTCATTCAACATGTTTTCATTTCAACATGTGATTAATGAAAGAAAAAACATTTGAAATCTGGTGTTTATTTTATATTCCTAAAACAACTCAATCTAGGCTCGTCACATTTCAGGTGCTCAGTAACTTCTAGTAGCCACTGGTTTGGCAGGCAGATGTAGGTATAACAGGTAAGACAGTATCACTCCCTCACTTTTCATTCTGTTTCAGCTACCTGGGTCGGAGGAGGGTATATCAATGGCACAGCTGAAGCAGTTTATGTACCAGGTTATGGCCTAGCTTGGGCTCAGGCACCAATTGGATATTCTCTTAGTCTGATTTTAGGTAAGTGAAAGTGCAAATCTCAGTGACTCACTCAGTAAAGTATACAGAACAAGAGTATAAATAACAAGTGGAATAACAAGTCAAACACTCTGAATAACCATTGTAAAAAAATGTCCCCAGAGATCTTTAAGGAGTCATTACCAGAAACTGGTAAGTAGCAGAACACTAATGCTTAAATTATTTGATCTCTTGGTTAGGAATATATTTAAAATCCTCTGGACCTGTGGCTGTCAGCACAGTGAATTTCTTAACATAATCATGTTTTATTTCTTTCAAAACAAGTATGGATATATCATTAAAAATGAATCAACTTGAAATGTACCTGTGTTTCTTTTAGCAAGTCAAATGAATAAGAGGTCAAAAGTATTATATAACAGAAGGTACCTCATTTTTGGGGCACTCAAAAGGCTTTTATTGAATCTGTGCTTATTCAAAACCTCTAAATGCTATGTTGAGAGATAGAAATGCATTGAGGCATTTAAGTGAGCAATGTGCTGGTTCATGTTTTTCAATTCACATACCTCAACATGATCCACTTATCCTTTGGACACATACAATGGTAAGTGTACTAAATAAATTATATTAGATTGCTAAACCTAATATTTATAGTAGGTTGGTACTGTGTGCAGACTTGTTCCTCAATCCATACAGGTGTTCTGGAAAATGCATTTTCCTTGATAAATGGCAGCATAGTAAAAGACTATTATATTACATTCTTTTTATTTTCTCCTAAACAGTTGCTTAATTTTTAGGTGGCCTGTTCTTTGCAAAACCTATGCGTTCAAAGGGGTATGTGACCATGTTAGACCCGTTTCAGCAAATCTATGGAAAACGCATGGGCGGACTCCTGTTTATTCCTGCACTGATGGGAGAAATGTTCTGGGCTGCAGCAATTTTCTCTGCTTTGGGTAAGGACCAGCTAAGTTGTCTAGCTGCATCTTTGTAGTTAACTAAACATCAGATACACAACCTTACTTTCCTCAGCCTTGGCTTCTGAGGACATTTTTATTAAAACCATATGCTGAACCATATTTATATGCATAAAAGCTTAATGGAAATTCTACGTTTACTTGCAATATGGTGGCAGAGGTTAAATAAAACCTCAGCTACACTTTCCATACTTGAATTGCCTCATTAGACCAATAACTATGAATTATAATGATCAATTTGCTTTTATGAGTCATATATGATTTTGAACAAAGAATAATGAATTAAGCATAGCTAAAAAGTGCAGTTTACTTAACATAAATGTTTAAAACAAGGATTCATGAACCAGGGGTTAGTGAGAATACTAATACATATTTTTGGTGTTGAATAAATTTAAATAAATGATTTATATCTTAATTTCTTCCAATAAGTGTTCTTCCTGCAAACTGAGAACTTTTTACCTCCCATTGTTTTCCCTCTAATAACTGCCATGTTAATTGGCATAAACACAGATATAAAACTACCTAAACTCCTGAGACAACAGTGTTGCATGTTATTCTAAAAGCACTGATATTTTCAGAGATGTTGACTTTTTAAATAAAATGTTTAATTAAAAACATATATAAAACAGAGTCAGTTCCAGCAGTAAATAACATTCCTAAAGAAGTGAGATATCACCAACCCTCTGCTGACAGAATAGGTAAGTAATGTAAGTCACACAGCAAAACTACAAACTTGAAATATTTCCATAAATTGATATTATAAAGTTCAATGTTACGGTTTAGTAGTGGAAAAATTTAAGTATGGTAGAATATAACAAGAATTTCCCCTTCAGTTTAAATGTCTTCTCAATAACTTACATGAGAAAGCTTGCCCATGCCTTAGCGTCTCCTCGACTCCAATCTACCCTTAGAGACACAGGCTTAGATGTGTACCACATGGGACCAGTTGAGACTGTTGGACCTGACTGAGGCTGTTGAGGCAGCTGGGAGATGGAAGCTCCCCATAAAGGTGTGCACTGCCCCGCCTTCAGCACATCCAATTTCATCCCGCAGGTTAGTCAGGATTTTTTTGATTGCCAACTATAAAAAAGAGTGACTGTTGCCGAAACAAGAGTATTTGATCGTTATAAAATACAGCAAGAACTAGGTGGGGGGCCGGGCGCGGTGGCTCACGCCTGTAATCCCAGCACTTTGGGAGGCCAAGGAGGGCGGATCACGAGGTCATGAGATCGAGACCATCCTGGCCAACATAGTGAAACCCCATCTCTACTAAAAATACAAAAAATTAGCCAGGCGTGGTGGCGGGCGCCTGTAGTCCCAGCAGCTACTCAGGAAGCTGAGGCAGGAGAATGGCGTGAACCCGGGAGGCAGAGCTTACAGTGAGCTGAGATCACGCCACTGCACTCCAGCCTGGGCGACAGAGTGAGACTCTGTCTCAAAAAGAAAAAAAAAGAAACAACTAGGTGGAAAATGCTGCACTTCTCTGGTGCTGGATAATAATACTCCACATCCACTGCTGCTCTTATGTTCTAATGATATTATGTGTAAAACTACACCTCCCTTTCCACCTGACTCTCATTAGCTGAGTTGCATTGGGCGCTTGTTTGCCATTGCTTTGAACACCAAAAAATGTTAATTTTAAGAACAAATTACCTGCTGAGGTATCAAAAAAGGAGTGGGCTGAGTATATAACAAAATACAAAATGTTCACTCATTGAGTAAAGATCAACTTATATAACAGAGCCCTGAAGAAAGAATAGAATTAATAAGCAAATGCTTCTAAAGTATTTTGGAAATATAAAATATAGTAACGAAACTGTGAACTTTGTTATAATTAGTTTTGTATATATGTGTGTCTGTGTTTGTGCCTGTATTACAATATACAGTCAGCTTAAGGATGTAGATGCATTCTGAGAGATGCATCAGCAGGCAATTTTGATGTTGTGTGAACATAGAGTGTACTTACACAAACCGAGTTGGTAGCGCCTACTACACACACAGGCTATACAGTATAGTCTATTGCTCTTAGGCTACAAACCTGTGCAACATGTTACTGCACTGAATACTATAGGCAATTGTAATACAATAGCTATAATGTCACTAAGCAATAGGACTTTTTCAGCTTCATTATGATTTTATGAGAATTTATGTATTTGTGGTTCATCATTGATGGTAACATTATTACCTAATCCATGACTACATATGTAAAATATGTTATTGTCTGTATCTTTCTAAACACTCACATATATCAAACAACATATATAAAAACATTGCTGCTATTGCTTGAACTCTTTGGGAGAGAGAGAGAGAGAGAGAGAGAGAGTGTGTGTGTGTGTGTGTGTGTGTGTGTGTGAAGTTACTTACTGGGTACTATGTACATTATTTGGGTAATGAAAGCACTGAAAGTCTAAACTTCACCACTATGCAGTATACCCAGGTAACATCATTGCACCTGTAATCTTTAAATTTACACAAATAAAAAGTAATAGTTGGATTTAATTAAAATTTAGTGTTTATTACAAATAATTTGATATATTCAAGAATATATAAGATCTATTACCACCTTTCTGTGAATGTGTATAGTTCACCATTGAAACATAGGAGAATCTTAAACTATCTTCTTGGTAGAAATTGACATCCTACAACATTTTGAAGAAATGTGTATTTACACTTCTAACAGCTCAAGTTCAGTGGATTTTCATAACTTTGCAGGATACTTATTTTATAGCTTCATGAGTAGACTAATATTTCCTGGTATACCTCAAAGTATCACTTTGTTTTACTTACAATTGATTTAATTTTTCAGAAAATATTTTAGAGAAAATTTTATCTCAATTTTAATAGTGATAATGGAGAAGTGATTGACGTCTCTAATATCTCTGAGTTACAGTTAAGTGACAGCATCTACTAGGACCCCAAATCTTTGAGATTTTAGTCAGCTAATCTTTATTTTATAATTGAACTTTTCATAATTCATGGTATATAGCTTAGAAGCGTTATTAAAGTGGAGAACTACACACAAAAAAAAAGAACGACAAAGTGTTGGAAGTAAAGTTTCGATTCGAAGTAAATGATCTCAGGAAAAAATAACTTTTCAAATATCTATAAAACAATAACTCAGTCAGTTATCTGAAGTCACTCATCTATAATTATCTCTCATCCTTGTCTTCATTCTCCAACTTCTTACTAGATTTTTCTTTTCAAGGGATCTTTACTCTGGAAAATAATTCTATTTTATCACCATAGCAAAACACTGAAAAATATTTCTTACTGATATTTTGGATCAACACATCTTATATTGAGATAATGTAGTTTCATCTCCAGTGGGTTGCATATACTACTAGCATGCCAATTGAGGAATGGGGGTAGGGTGTAAGACAACTCAGCTGGCTGCAACTGATGATACATAAAATCACAGATCCATTACATGTATGCATTTAATAATGTGACATGTAAACTGTATAGTTTTGAGAACAATAGGGAAAAGGCTACTAAAGCAACAAGTGAATTATGAACTGTCAGTCCAAGAACCACAGCGGCCCAAACTGGTCATACCTCAATATGTTCAGTGGAAATATAGGGACCAACAAACACAATAAACAATGTTATAAAGAGAAACATAAATTTGATTTCTAAGAGAAGTTTAAAATGTTGATGATGAAAATTACTTAAAAATATGATATTCAAATCTTAGGCTCTTCAGTATACTGGTATCCTAGGAGCAGGACTGGTATGTTCTACCAATTAAATAAAAGAAGAGTGATCTGTCGCAAATTAAAGAGGGAGAAATTGATTAATAACATTTACCAATTTGATAATTTGTTCCTACAAATTTTTCTCAATTCTTTGCTGCCTTAACCATTTGTTAGCTATCAAAGCCTAGTAGGGGGCAGAGTAAATGCAAAATGGCAAATGAATGTCAATTGTAAAATGTGGAAATGGGTGATCATGTTTCTCAGAAAGCCTTGTGTTTTTCATAGATGTGACTAATGACGTTTGGTAATGTAATGACGTTTTGGTCAATGATGGACTGCATATATGACAGTGGTCCCATAAGATTATAATAGCATATTTTTACTGTTACTTTCTCTGTTTAGATATGATGTGTAGATATTCAAATAGTTACCATCATGTTACACTTGCCTACAGTGTTTAGTACGGTAACAATCTGCACGAATTTGTAGCCCAGGAGCAATAGGCCATACCATGTAGCCTAGGTGTGTAGTAGGTTACACCATCAAGATTTGTGAGTGAGTACATACTGTGAAGTTGCACAACAGTGAAATCACCTAACAACACATTTCTCAGAGCACATCCCTATTGGTAAGCAACACATGGCTGTATTTGATTGAGTCAGAGTTCCAGATAGTGAAATTATTTTGAGTTCTTGTAATGTAATTAAATTTCTCAGTAATTCAGGGTCTTCTATAACCATACCATGGATCTGTGTGTCCTCCAAATAAATAAGTTAGCAAACCAGTAATTTCAGAAAGAAAAAGTATGTATCTCACTGAATTTATTAAGATATACAAATTTCAATATAAAAATTAACTTTAGGTGTTTTCATCCACTGCATTTCATATGACAGAGAGAAAAATGTTGTTTATCACTGAACTTTCATTATGTCCTTATACAAAGAGCAGAATCTGTCTGGGCACCTTGACCACAGAACTCTCTTGTTTGTTTCAGGAGCCACCATCAGCGTGATCATCGATGTGGATATGCACATTTCTGTCATCATCTCTGCACTCATTGCCACTCTGTACACACTGGTGGGAGGGCTCTATTCTGTGGCCTACACTGATGTCGTTCAGCTCTTTTGCATTTTTGTAGGGCTGGTAAGTGGGAGCACCCAAGATTCTCCTCCTTTTTTTCTGTAAAAGGTAATGTATTTTATACTAACTCATTAAAAATGAGTAGAAATATTATTTTCCCTCATGAGTAATACATACTAAGTCACATACATGAAATTTCAAATTTCTCCATAAATTAATTAGATGAAAAACTCGTCATTTTGATAAAATTTGACAGAAAAGTGTGCTCTCCATTGGACTGTTAGAAAGGTCTAGGTCTTGCTTTCCTTAATGCCTAGATTTGATGGAAACTTATGCATGATCTCCTTTTAGTATTTAAGGCAATCCATTTCCCTCGGCAGAGATAACAAAATTCAAACCTTAGTGGTAACTTGTACAAGTCTCCCTTTACGTTAGTTGGTGAATCCTAAGAATGCTCATAAGACATAGAAATGATCCCATTGGAAAACTGTGGATTTCAAATATTAATCATCACTATTTGTGGTCTAAAAACAAAGAAAATTCTTAATTATATAAGGCACCAGAAAGATTTATTATCTATTGTTTTTATTATAATTATGAGACATGAGTATTATTAGTATTATTAGCACTATATTAAAAGCACTTTTGTGTGTCTGAACATATTTTAGTCAATGTTGAAGAAATGTGAAGAGTACAGTTATGCATATAATATTCAATACCTAAGATGTATCAAAAGAAGAATAAAAACTGGTGTGTCCATGCTGGGCTAGGGTCATCATAGGTTCATGTACATTATCTCACCATACACATATATTATCCCAGTTGTAGATTCTTTAGGGGCAATGCCCTCCTGCAAAGGCCACAGACTGAGCAACCTAACACTAGAGATCATGATTCATTTTCCCAAGGATGGTTAAGTACTCTTGATTCTCCTCATCTTTATTTATTTATCTTACAATTTAAAGCATTTCATTATATTTTACTTTTGACACTAGACACTTAGAAATTAAAAATGAAGAAGTAATCTCATGCCCTTCTCTCCTTTTTATAAACTTTCCATCATCTCTAATAATATCCTAGAGGAAAAATTGTAAAAAACAGACTACAATTAGATGTGCAGTTTAACTATAAATTTACATACGCTAGCAAAGATTATAGTATTTTCTCTTTTCTCCTTAGACATTTTATTTGCATTTCATGGAATTTCGTCCATTCATATTGTAACTGAATATGAGAATATTTAATTTGCTCAAGGACTCCCACTATTTTGTATTTAAATTACCAAAATTAAGTGGACCGTGCTGAAATTCTGATTTTTCCTTAGCATCAACATAAACTTCCAGAAATAAAATAGGGAACATAGAAATAAATCCCTCTTCAGAATGTCAGGAGCCAGGTTGGTTTGGCAATGACAGCTCTCATAACTGATGCACTAGGTATTCCAAGAAACACAACCCCAGGGAATGAACCTGTTATTGATGATATATGTGATTTCTCATTGCTTTGTATGAGACTAGAACTTAAAACCCACGGGTGCATAAATCAAGTATGCAAGTGTAAAGATGACAGTGCAAATATGTTAGAATATTTTTCCTGCCACAAAATGTAGCCAAATTGATAAGGAATGGAGTTCTGTTGGTTACTAGAGAAGGCCCTATTGAATTGGTTGAATAAAAGACTAAATAATGTTGTTTTCCAAACTTTAATTGCTGTGTGAGCATACATAATTAATCAACTTACCCCTTAGACCACCTTCTTTTCTCAAATTCTCTAATGTCATTGATTTTATCATCACCCCTGGAGCTCCAAAACTGTAAACTTGAGGTTTTTCTTTTCATTTTCCCTCTCTCTGACCTCTCTCTCCTTCTTGTAAGGGTTGTTGGCTCACTCTTCATAATCCTTTTTAGTACCGATATTTTTTCATTCCCAGTGTCACTGCTTTACTTCAGCCTTCATCTAGGTGGAATTGAAATCACCTACCACTTTCCCTGACTCTTCCTTTTCACTAAACTCACCATTCATGTCTATGTTATTAAATTTCAGAATAAATTCCACTGAAAACTTTTTAAGACTTAAAAGAATTTTTTCTAGCTTCCAGTTGCCTGCAAAAACAAAATACAAATCCTTTAGCTTGCAATTTGAGTTTTCTCCACACATCCATCTTTATCTCTCCCATTTCCCCAAGCTACTCCCTTGCCAGCAAAGCCTGTCACCAACAGATGTGGGTGCGAGTGTACACGCACACACACACACCCCATTTATTCTTCTCCTCTTTGACTTGCTCCATCTAAACATCTCTTCCTTCAATTCTTTATTCTTCTACCTGTTAGTATTGGGCCCATCTTTGAAGGCTTATATGTCACCCATGTATTTCTCAATCACATATTTTCTTATTACTTTAATGAATGGATATCTTTCCCTTAAGGAATGGATATCTTTCCCTAATTCACAGAAAACATAAAAGTGTGTGTGCCTACACACACTTTTATATGGATATATATTTCAAATATAATTTTTAAAAAATTTTTATTTTATTTTGTTTATTATTATTATTTGTAGAGACCAGGTCTCACTGTATTTCCCAGGCTGATATTGAACTCCTGGACTCAAGCAATCCTCTAACAGTGGCTACCCAAAGTGCTACGATTATAGGCATGAGCCACTGTGCCTGGCAGTTTCTTTTTCTTTTGCGACAGGATCTGGCTCTGTCAGCCAGGCTGGAGTGCAGTGGCTCAATTACCACTTACTGCTGCCTCTGCCTCTCAGGTTTAAGCAATCCTCCCACCTCAGCCTCCTGAGTAGCTGGGACTACGGGTGTGCACCACCACATCTGGCTGATTTTTGTATTTTTGGTAGAGATGGGGTTTCACCAAGTTGCCCAGTCTGGTCTAGAACTCCCGAGCACAAGCAATCCACCCAGTTAGGCCTCCCAAAGTCCTGGGATTACAGGCCTGAGCCACAGTGCTCGGCACCATTTATTTATTTATTTTTTAATACAATTCTTTTTTTTTTTTTTTTTTTTTGAGATGGAGTCTTGCTCTGTTGCCCAGGTTGGTATGCAATGTCCAGTCTCGGCTCACTGCAACCTCTGCCTCCAAGGTTCAAGCAATTCTCCTGCCTCAGCCTCCCAAGCAGCTGAGAAATACAATTCTTTATTAGAACTCAAGTTTGTGTTATCCAACATTTAACAGAAGAGGAAAACAAAAACAATCCACATCCCTCCCCTCCTCCCCCCACCCACACACAAGGGGATATATATCTCAATAGCTACGTATCTATTTATGTATGTGTGTGTGTGTGTGTGTAGATAGACAGTCAGAGATAGATAGATGATAGATAGGTAGGCAGATAGATACATAGATAGATTGACAGATATTTCAAATATAATATTTTCTTCCTAGAGGTTTTATGTTGCTGCTGCTATAGTTTGTATGACATGGTATAATCAAGCATAGAAATAGTCAATGTGGCCGGGCGCGGTGGCTCACGCCTGTAATCCCAGCACTTTGGGAGGCCGAGGCGGGCGGATCACGAGGTCAGGAGATCGAGACCATCCCGGCTATAACGGTGAAACCCCGTCTCTACTAAAAATACAAAAAATTAGCCGGGCGTAGTGGCGGGCGCCTGTAGTCCCAGCTACTTGGGAGGCTGAGGCAGGAGAATGGCGTGAACCCGGGAGGCGGAGCTTGCAGTGAGCCGAGATCCCGCCACTGCACTCCAGCCTGGGCGACAGAGCGAGACTCCGTCTCAAAAAAAAAAAAAAAAAGAAAAGAAATAGTCAATGTGTTATTTTAATTCATCTAAATCAGTATTTTATGGTGCCCAACAAAAAACAGAGAACATGATTTCCGATCCTTCTCTGTCTGAACTAGAGGAACTACTGAGCTGTGCAGTGTGTGAGGTGTACAAATCTTGCATATATCAGACAGTTGAAAACCATCGCCTAGGGCTCCAGTGTCACTTTCTGTTGCAGTGGATCAGCGTCCCCTTTGCATTGTCACATCCTGCAGTCGCAGACATCGGGTTCACTGCTGTGCATGCCAAATACCAAAAGCCGTGGCTGGGAACTGTTGACTCATCTGAAGTCTACTCTTGGCTTGATAGTTTTCTGTTGTTGGTAAGTAATGCTCTTACCTGAAGAATGTGATTTAATTGTTCCTGAAATCAAATTTGTTTTCACGATTTTCATATTCATAGTAAAAAAATGTGCTTGTGGGCTCATGGCCATTTCTGAATTGAGGACTCTCTATCGGGAGGGTGGAGCCAGGGCCGGACTATCGTGGCTGGCAGTGTCAGGGTGGAGAACAAATGAGGCCCTGAGGGGACAGCATAAGGTGTTCTGGGTGGTGGGTCCTCATTTCCGTTGTGATGTAAGTCAAGGAATAACATGCCCTACCCCCAGGACTTTCCCCAACCTGAAGGCAAAACCTTGTAAAGGCTTTATTTTGTGTTTTGAATTAAGGCATGAAACCCAACTTATGAAATAAGTCTCTCATTCACTCTTGAATTACAGAGTAAGTGAATTAGTAGTGCTAGAGGCCCTAAGTGAGGCAGGTTGGAAAGGGACATGTCACTCAGGAAAGATGCCAAGAGAGAGGCCCTCAGGAGCCAGAGGAAGCTTGAAAACAGGCAGAACTTTGGGGCAAAGGTGCAGGCACTTTGAGGAGGACATGGAAGAGATAATGGCCGATCCCATTGAGGCAAGAGGGAACAACCAGAAGAACTGACCAGATTTTACGACTGTGCTAATTAGAGGAGTTAGGCCTGAAAATAACACACTGTATTTGATTTCAACGTAAGAAATCAATTATGGCAGAGTGTGGTGGCTCACCCTGGTAATCTCAGCCCTTTGCCAGTCTGAGGTGGAAGCCTCACTTTGAGGCCAGGAGTTTGAGAACAGCCTGGACAACATAGCAGGACCCCATCTCTATAAAAAAAAATCTTCTTAAAAAAAGAAATAGATTACTTTTTCTATTAAGCTTAAAGGGAAATTGGTTATTTTTGTTTTCTCTGTAGAAGGTTGGCAATATTGTATGACTTTGTGATCGTGGCACATGGCTGAATTCTAGCATTACCTCAACACTCAAAGTGACTGTGTCTTTTCCAGTTAAAATTTTTCAAGTAAAGGGCAGGAAAATATGGCAAAAATATGTTTCCAGTAGTGGACTGGAGGGCTTCTTTGCCTAAGGATTGTTGAGAAATCTGTTGGCTCTCTTTTTTCTGGTATGGCTTAAAATCATGAACTGAAGGAGTAAGAGTAAATATGTATATGTAACTATACCTGCATAGTAGATGTGCTTATGGTTACATCATAGAGAGGATGAGACTTAGAACAATTAAGCAATTTGTCAATAATCACATCATTGTCTGAGTTAGAGATTGATATAGAATATTAAGACCTCAAAGTCCTTTCCCCTACAGCACACTTTAGTCTTCAGACTATTCATCTTTAAAATAAGACATTTTGTAAAGTGATGGCTAAATTTCTTCCAGCTCTAAAAAATTATATGACTTAGTCATATTCATGATTCAAATTATAAGACAAGTTAAAATGAAGTAGTACATGTTGAATAAATGAATGAACTATAGAAATTGGCCTTGAAATGTTGCATCAATGGTCTTGATCTTCCAGTGGTCTCTCCTACATCCCCTATGTGAAGATGACTTGTCAAGTCCTGCTAGTGATACTGTCAGTGTATCTCCTGGTCACACTTGGAACCTTCCCACTGTACCCATGTTTGCTCTCTATTAGGTAGACTGCATTCCTTACCTGGTCTACTCTGATAACCCCCACTCATCTCTCTGATGGCAGCCTGCCCACCTCTTACTCTCCCATGCCCACTTTCCATATTACTACCTACTTTAGTCAGTTTGGGCTGTTGTTACAATTTACCATAGACTGGGTGATGTACAAACAGCAGAATATAATTTTTATAA
Source organism: Homo sapiens (assembly GCF_000001405.40). NCBI lineage: Eukaryota > Metazoa > Chordata > Mammalia > Primates > Hominidae > Homo > Homo sapiens. The sequence continues at coordinate 108,003,861 of NC_000002.12, forward strand.
TTCTGGAGGCTGGAAATCTCAGACCAGGGTACCAGCATGATTAGGTTCTAAAGATGGCAGTATTCCAGGTTGCAGACTGTACACTTCTCGTTGTGCCCTCACATGGTGGAAAGAGGGTGAGAGAGGTCTCTGACCTCTTCTTAAAAGGGCCCTAATCCCATAATGAGGGCTCCACCCTCATGACCTGATTATTTCCCAAAGACCCCACCTCTGAATAGTATCATGTTGGGATTAGAGTTTCAACATATGAATTTTAGGAGGACAAATATTCAGTCCATTGTATCATGAGAGCTTCTGTTTGTAGATGAAGTCAGACTTTACCCTACTTAAAAACTTCTGATGACCTAAATGTCCAGGGTGATGAATATGTAATTTATGATGTATCAATCCATTCAAGTCATTGACATGCAAGATGTTAATGATATATTGATAAAACAGGTCACAGAATGAAAGGAAAAGGTTTTGGAAGAATATAGACTTCAGGAATGGGGTTATGAATTTTAGAATTTTTTCCTTTAATTACTTTTGAACATATATGGCTTTTATAAGAAGGAGATTGTTATGGTATCTATGTTACAGACATTCTGCTTAGCCCAGGTGAGACCATGATAAGACAGACGTCCCCAGAACCCAGAGCCCAGTGAGAGAGACAGGCAGTTAATGAAACCTTAATACATTGTGCTATGGCAACTCATTTATCAATTCATTCATTCATTCATGTGACCAATATTTATTGAATATTGACTTTATGCCAGAAAGAGAAGTAGCAGTAATCTAGCCAAAAGTATGCTTCCAGCTTCTCCTCCAACCACTCCCTCACTCACCTCTCATCATACCAAATACCCAGTGGTCTCAACTGCCTGGTCGCTGTCATTATTTTCTTTTTTCCTATTAGTTTCTCTCTCAGGTACTCTCTTCTCCCTCCATCTCCACCTGTGGAAATGCTCTCAAAGCCTATGGACAATCTGCACTTCATTTCTGCAGGTTTTCCTGTTAACATGCAGCTACCCTTTCTCTCTTCTTACCACCTTTTTCTCATCACAAATAATTAATGGTTTATCATTTTAATTCCCATACAGACCTCTTTATATCATGCAACAAATTGCATTATAGTTTAAACGTTTTTTATTGTATATGCTCAATAAGAAATTTAAGCACATTCCAATATAGGTATGTATATCTATCAGTTGCTTATATATTCTGTACTAACGTATGATGTAAATCATTTAATAAAAGCAACCATACAATATTTAGGTACAACGTAAAATTAATATACATAGAAGTTCTAGTATTTATTATTTGATGCCGGCTGTATTGCCTTGAGCACTCTGCAATGCTCACTGCGGAAAACACCACATACATTGACTCTCATAGTAGAAAGTAAGTTCCAGGGAAAGACCATGCCTTATTCATGTTTTTGCTCTTACAGCCATTACATTGCCTGGCACATGATTGGAGTGTATAAATATTTTTGGGTTGCATTGATTCAGGTTAAATGTCATACTTTCAAAATCTTAATTATTTTCTGAGAATATTTTATGATGGTTAGAACCACCAGATGATAACAAATTGAAGGCCTCTGGGGTAGTTTAAATACAGTTCAAAATAGGTAAATTAATGAAAAGAAATAATTGCTGTATGTAATTATAGAGAAAACTTCAGGAAATTCTGCATAATTGAAAGTTGATGATACATTGTCTTAGTTCAGTTGGGTAACAAAGCATCATAAACGGAGTGGCTTATAAACAACACAGATTTATTTTTCACAGTTTTTCACATCGCTGGGAAGTCCAAGATCAAGGTGCCGGCAGATTCACTGCCTGGTGAGGATTCGCATCCTCATAGAAGGCACCTTCTTGCTGCCTCCTCACATGGTGGAAGGAAAAAAACTCCTTTGACTCCCTTTTATAAGGACTCCACCCTCATGGGCTAATCATCTCCCAAAGTTGCCAACTTGATACCTAATACCATCACCTTGGGGATCAAAATTTCAATGTATGAATTTAGGGGGAACATAAACATCAGATCATAGCAAACATAATGATACTAATTGATATTTGTGGCTACATGCCACATTTTTTTTACTACTTCTAAGTTGTACTTAGGCCTATTCTAAATGTGATTGCAATAAAACTCTTTAAAAAAATGAATAGATGTTTGCCTCTCCATCCTTGTGTTTCCCGCACAGATGCTGGGTGGAATCCCATGGCAAGCATACTTTCAGAGGGTTCTCTCTTCTTCCTCAGCCACCTATGCTCAAGTGCTGTCCTTCCTGGCAGCTTTCGGGTGCCTGGTGATGGCCATCCCAGCCATACTCATTGGGGCCATTGGAGCATCAACAGGTAAATCTCTTGCAGCTTCACCACATGTGCCAGTTAGTTTACCAATCCCCACCCAGACACCCTTCTGTCCCACTCCCCTCTTTCCTCCACATAGTGAATTCTTTCTCACCACATTCATATCTATAGATTTGTTATAGCATTCAGTAAATCGTATTATATAGTTCAGCGGCCTCCATTTTTTTTTTTTTTTTTTTTTTAGTAGAGACGGGGTTTCATCATGTTGGTCAGGCTGGTCTCAAACTCCTGACCTCAGGTGATCCATCTGCCTCGGTCTCCCAAAGTGCTGGGATTATAGGTGTGAGCTACTGCGCCCAGCCTCCAATTTTTTTGATTGCTCACTCCACTATGAAACATTGGTGAGCACACCCTCCTCCCAGTTTTGGTATATTTATCCATTGTTTATATGCACTCCTGTCAGCAGTGGATCTCAACCAAGGTGCATGCTGACATCATCTGGGGAATGGTGGGGAGATCTTTTAAAAATACGGATATGTGGCCTACTTCACAGGAATTTTATTTTAATAACTGAAGATAGAGATGGGCACTAGTGTTCTTTTAAAACCCCTAGGTGAGTTGAGAGCCAGAGTTGAGAGTCACAGGCTTAGAGACGTTTACCTGTCATCCTCATGACCTCCCTAAAGATCACTTTGAACTTGAGATTTCTGCTTTACACCTTTAGTAGTTTTTAATTAGGGGTTTTCTTTCTTGAAGAAAGTGATGGATAAGCATTTAGGTCAAGACAAACAAACAAAGTCACTTAGAGAATAACTTATTAAAAAATGGTTTTGAAAAAAGAGCATTATGAAATGTTTATCTCCCTGTTAGCCTCTATGTAGAACATGTTCAAAAGCTCACCTTTAATTTAATTAAATGTATTAATTACTCCTGACCTTTATGTTCCGGTGCTGTAACTTTTAAGAGCACTTAATGAAAATACATCATGTTAATCCAAATTCAAAGGCATCTTCTACGTAGAGGTAATAAAATAGATTAAAGTTCACCTTTTGTCCTGTGGTATTCTGTAAAGGTGATCCAGGGTGATGTTCCTACAGCAACTTTGACTTTCGATTAGTAGAGTCTTTTATTGGATTGTTTAACTTTTAGGAGAGCAGTCCTGGTTCATAGTGTACACTCTCCATTCCAGTTGTTCATCCAGGAGACAGACACTTCAAAAATGTAAAGATGACTGACGAAGGTGGTATGTAGTGTTTGTCTCTGAAAAAAAAAAAGATAGTATTTCTCTCACAAGCAGAAAACATATATGGACGTGTGTGTGTCTGTGTGTGTGTGTGTGTGTGTGTCTGTGTGTGTGTGTTTATTGTAGGAACACAGGCTAACAGAAACAGCATTAAGCCTATTTTTTCTTGGATTAGATACACATTCTTGTTTGTTATTTCTGTTATCATAAAATCTCAGTTAAGGCCACAAAGTTGCCTGCATGTAAGCAGGCTTTGGTGACAATTGTAATAGAAAATGAGGGAAGAAAAAATGGTAGGATCCAAAGAGAACAATTCCTATTTGGTCCAATGATCATGATATTAAAAAAGTTCAGCAAATAAAAAGCCGACTATGCTAATGAACATTTAAGGATTCCATAGTTCTTCAACACATGCTACAACTAACCAGTAAAGAAGCTATGTATTCAAAGATAAATCTGTGTTTCAAGTCTTCTTACCCTACCCACAACCAAAACTTCCTGAAAATTTCAGCCACATGACTGTAATTTTTATTCAATAAAAAGGGACTGTTCTTAACCTAGTGAAATTCTATGCAATGTGGAAATAGGAGAAAAGTAATGCTGAGGCAGCTTCAAAACCAAGTTTATGTACAGAGAGATGATGGCTGAGAATAGCCCTACTATTGTCTTTCTTCATTTACACATGAATAACTGAGCCTTAAAGAAGAAACAGTGAGTGTCCCACCACATTTCCAAGTGGTTGAAGGAATACTCTAGAATTCTGTTTATGAGAGTTTGTTTTCTATGATTCTAGGCAATGTAACACCATCATTGCAGAAAGGAAATATATATCTTACCACCAGTGTCTGTGCAGGCATTGTGAATAACACTAACTATAACCAATACCTTTTAGAAGCCAAGAGATATAAGACATTTCCACTTGACCAGCACATGGACTTCACACCAGACTAATGTATATGATTCTGAGTTTATTTCAAAACAACCTAGTAAATAGGATGACCCCAGATGGATAAAGAACATTTGGTTCCTTGGTGGTTATAATGGTTGTTGATTCTGTTCAACAGACTGGAACCAGACTGCATATGGGCTTCCAGATCCCAAGACTACAGAAGAGGCAGACATGATTTTACCAATTGTTCTGCAGTATCTCTGCCCTGTGTATATTTCTTTCTTTGGTCTTGGTGCAGTTTCTGCTGCTGTTATGTCATCAGCAGATTCTTCCATCTTGTCAGCAAGTTCCATGTTTGCACGGAACATCTACCAGCTTTCCTTCAGACAAAATGTAAGAACAGTTTCTTTCAACCTGACATTTACTAGCATTGCTCTTGCTGCTTCTGATGTTGTATTTGTTGTATATACAGTATTATATATTTATTAATATTCTATGTTAAATCTGACTGTACTTTAAGCATACGAGATTAAATAACAAATTATACCTATGCTGAATGGATGCTATCAGTACCTGTTCTTATTCATGTCAATACTAAAGGGAACAAATCAATATAATTATTTCCCAAGAGGTACAGTCACAGGGCTATCATTTAACCTTTTTGTCTTTCTGATGAAAGAGTAATGAAACCTAAACTATTCAGCAAAACTTTTAGTATAATTAAATTCTCTATGACACTGGAAAATCTTGGTGGAAGCAGGGCATGGTAAGTTGTTCGACACGTATTTTTGTAACTTCTGAACTGTTTTATACTTGCACTCCAAAGTCCACCTTTGCAGGAAGATATCCTCTCAATTTGATTTTCTTTATTGAATCAAAGTGGCTGCAAAACAGCATGCTTCTTGGTTGATTAAAGCTTTTCCTCTCTCTAGGTTTTAGTTAACAAAACAATCCCAGTGTTTTTGCTTTTGCTTTGTTTTGTTTTGATTTTATTTGATTTTTTTTAATTAACCAAAGGAACTCCTTGAACAAGGCATTTTCTTTTTGTTTTTAATTTTACTTTAAGTTCTGGGATACTTGTGCAGAACGTGCAGGTTTGTTACATAAGTGTATGTGTGCCATGGTGGTTTGCTGCACCTATTGACCCGTCCTCTAAGTTCCTTCCTTGCACCACCCCCCACGCCCCCCAACAGGTCCCAGTGTGTGTTGCTCCCTCCCTGTATCCATGTGTTCTCATTGTTCAACTCCCACTTATGAGTGAGACCATGTGGTGTTTGGTTTTCTGTTCCTGTGCTAGTTTGCTGAGGATGATGGCTTCCACCTTCATCCATGTCTCTGCAAAGGAATGATCTTATTCCTTTTTATGGCCACATAGTATTCCATGGTATACATGTGCCACATTTTCTTTATCCAGTCTATCACTGATGGGCATTTGGGTTGGTTCCATGACTTTGTTATTGTAAATAGTGCTGCAATAAACGTATGTGTGCATGTGTCTTTTCAAGAGCACCAGAAGGTGGTTAGTTTAAGGATGGTAGCACTTCTACAAAGAGATAAACTAGGGATGGCCTATGCTCTGTCAATGCCACATAAGAACTGTTCCCTAATATGTAAAGTGAGGAAATCTTCCCTTGCTTTATTATACCTCCCTGACACCATGTTAGCTCATCCTGCCTTTGCCCCTGTGCATTCAGGAAAAGGCTCAGGTGGCCTGTGTGTCATGCATCTGGTACACAGAAACCCCTCCCAAAGGTCCACCCAGGAAGTCACCTTGATTGTTTGCTTTGGGTGCTGTAGCTGTAGTTGGTTTTTCCCATAGATTGAGCCATTTGAACCAGGAGAATTCTTTAGACCAGTTTTGAAGCAAAAAATATGTCTCATTCTTTGCCTAAATGAGCCAAGACACTGTGCAAAAAGCTGACACTGTGGCAATTTCTTACAGGCTTCGGACAAAGAAATCGTTTGGGTTATGCGAATCACAGTGTTTGTGTTTGGAGCATCTGCAACAGCCATGGCCTTGCTGACGAAAACTGTGTATGGGCTCTGGTACCTCAGTTCTGACCTTGTTTACATCGTTATCTTCCCCCAGCTGCTTTGTGTACTCTTTGTTAAGGGAACCAACACCTATGGGGCCGTGGCAGGTTATGTTTCTGGCCTCTTCCTGAGAATAACTGGAGGGGAGCCATATCTGTATCTTCAGCCCTTGATCTTCTACCCTGGCTATTACCCTGATGATAATGGTATATATAATCAGAAATTTCCATTTAAAACACTTGCCATGGTTACATCATTCTTAACCAACATTTGCATCTCCTATCTAGCCAAGTATCTATTTGAAAGTGGAACCTTGCCACCTAAATTAGATGTATTTGATGCTGTTGTTGCAAGACACAGTGAAGAAAACATGGATAAGACAATTCTTGTCAAAAATGAAAATATTAAATTAGATGAACTTGCACTTGTGAAGCCACGACAGAGCATGACCCTCAGCTCAACTTTCACCAATAAAGAGGCCTTCCTTGATGTTGATTCCAGTCCAGAAGGGTCTGGGACTGAAGATAATTTACAGTGACCCCATCTAAATAAAATACTGCTTTTGCAAACAGAACACTGTAATAGGGTAGTTCTGGAGAGATGGTATGCAGCATACAAAAATATATTAAAAATATAAACAATGTTCAGGAGAGTAAAAATTCATATAAAGTGCAATTGCACAAATACAAGCCAAGCTAGAAGGAAGCACCTATGAAAGCAACAACTTTGTTTCTCATCCATAGTAGTATTGATTTTGATGCTAGATAGTTTTGCTAGGTATAAAAAATAAGTAAAGTTCCACTTAGAGAACAAAGGGCCAAATAGAGTTTTTATATTTGTTATGATAAAAGGAAGTAGATGTGAAAAAGCCTAAGAAAAAGGAAATTGGACAGTTTTGATACAAACTTTGTTTGCTAATGCACTGATGAGTCTAGTTTCATTATAGCACGAAGCTATGAGAATAACTTCAGTCACTCCCTTGAATGGTGCAATGAATTAACCAGCTGATTTTTCTTAGTGTGATGATTAACCCCTTCTTTCATGTTCTGAGCTATAACATTTGCTGAATATGCAATTTGTTATTCTTTTATTAATGGCATGTAATATTCTGAGCACGGGCAAAGAAAACACACAAAAGATTATGTATTGGCATTTATTTATGTGCAAGGTGATAGGAAAACTGAATCCATCTTTGTAGAAGAGCACTGGGCTAATTTGTATGTTTCCATAGCTACTATATGCATAAACAACAGTACCTGAAGGATTATTAAGCAACCTTAAAGCAATAAGTTCATTAAACAGAAGGTAATAGGAAGAACAGTACATTTTTGTCTTTATCTCAAGTATATAAAGTTTTGCCCCATGATAAAATAAGTAACATATAAATTAATACATAAGTTAATATTGGAAGTGAAATTAGGCCTTATGTAAGGAGAGGTAGCTACACAGCATCTGTTACGGTTAATGAGAGGCACACTGCTAAATTTACGTATATTTCATTGAATACTTTATGGGAAGCCTCCACAACACCTCCTGATAGTAGTAAAATTAGAAAAAAACAAACTCTACTAATTTTTAGATATTCATTAATAGGAAAGATTTAATGTTACAGCATCTACTCTTTGGCACTTTTTCACATAAGCCAGCCTTAGAGACTAGACAAATAACTACTGCAAAAAGTACATAGTGAATTTTAAAATGTAGAAGAAAGCAAAAAATAAAATAAGTCCTAAAGTGAAGAAGCCATCAATTTTAACATTTGATGTCTAGATAACATTCATGAGATTGGTCATTAAATACTATTTTGCTCCTTTTCTGGTGTTACACATACACACTCATACGTGTGTGTGTGTGTATGTGTGTGTGTGTATGTGTAATGATTTGTGTCCATTTCAAGTGTTTTCACACCAGTCACACATTATAGAAATTACTGGAGCCATGTCTACAAAAGCAAAGTGAAGTGATGAGCTGAAAAGTGATCAGGGAATCTGATCCCATAAAGAAAGTGAGTCTGAATTGTTGAAACTAAAGCACTTCTTTTCCAAAAATACTTCTGCAACTCATGAACAAAATGAAGTTAACTTAGTGTTTAGCATTAAAAATAAAAGTTGTACCTTGACCCTAGAATTCCTTTTATAAGATTTAATTGTAATTGTCTCAAAGCATCAAATAATACATCTTTATCATTAAACATGAATTTAATGTCTAGGATAATTTTTAAAAGAGGAAATTAAATAATTTTACATGTCTCATATTTTCAGTGCTTTCTCAAAATTTGATGGTGAATATTACATTGCATTCAAAATCTTCACTGAATATCATATGTATCTAAATGAAAAGAGAATTACTTATATTCATCTATTTTCTCAGAATCTATTCAGTACCCTATGGAGTACATGGAAGAAGTATATTTTTGGAACCAGTAAGTATGGGAGTCCACGATTCTCAGGTATTGATTGAAAAAAGAGAAAGGGGCAAGAAATTCATTAAAGAAAAACCACAGATACTGAAACATTTGACACATAAAAGTAATTAATTGCTGGAGACTACAATTCCTGGCAAACACCATTATTCCAGATGCACCATGCTACCCAGCATGCTACCTGAATGGCGGTTTTTATCCATCCTGTCACCCTGAGCATCTGTCTCAACCTGCTGAGGCACAGACTTCCACCATGTGCATCAGGAAACACCTCACTCATACTGTCATATAATGCAACAGGGAGGCATAGTCTCTCTACAGGTCTCTCTCTTTACGTTGTACCATTCTGTTGGGCAACAATTGTCCCAACAACCACACTTAAATCCAGTGGGGAAAAAAAGGTTAACAGTAAAAATTTCTTCCACGTAATTCAATTTCTCACAATAGACAGAAACAGGGGGAAAATGTTTGCCCTGTTCAAAGTACTAAAACTAGATAACTTAAATAATTTAAGCCAATAAATAATATTATATTGTATTTAACCCATTATTCCTCACCTACCCTCAAAGTAGGTATACAAAAGACTAGTTTGTTATTAATCCACAAATATGCTAAATGTTAGCAAGATGATTTTTAAGTACAAAAAAGTTTAAGATTGCAAGGAAGGAAACAATGGTCACAAGGTCTTTACTTATGCACATTTGTGCATAAATTTCCACCCAATTTCCAAGACAGTTGTATCACAAAGCTGTGAAATGTGCAAGAGTATACTTTGTACCCATCATGTGCTCTGTTTTGACATAATGAGTAATGCAGACATTTACATGTTCTTCCAGCTTCAATCAGTAGACCTGATTTTCAAAATCTGCCCTCAGATGAAAATAAAATAAACGAAACATTTAGACAATGGCTATATTAATCTGGGAAGGCAACACCTGTGGATAAAACATTAGAAGAAAACATATATTTTATTTTCATACTTTTGATATGATTGTAACATATTTCTTGAGTAATTTAAATGCTTTGTTTTCCCACACATATTCAAATCAGCAAGCTTGTAGCTGGACTGCAATATCAACAACAAGTTGTTTCAAACAGCATCAAAATACAACTTCATTGCTACACTTACAAGTAATGAATTTTATGTGACTATGAAACGAATATAAGCTTAAAATAAGTGAATCTAATAAAATGGCTATTCCTCTTTTTACTTGGAAATAATAAATTAACATTATATTTTAAACATAAATTATGATTTCTTTTTCTGTTTTAGCCTTCATGTAAATTTACACTGGTATGATGTGTAATTTATTGTACGTTTGCTACTTCATAGACAGATGCATATAATGGTTCTAGAACATATATTTTTGTCTGTCAAATTATTATATAAAATTATGCTTAAAATAAGTATATTTGCAACTGTGTAAATGCTTTAAGTGTAATGGCAATGTATTAAATTGTGCTGGTCAATTTAGGGTATCATTGTCTAAATTTGGCTTTTGGGGGCCCTCTCTTAAACTAAGTATATATGGTGCTTCAAGACAATTATGCAATGAAATCAAAATAAACCATCTCATTACTGGAGGATAGGCAAATGCCAAGTGGAAATGCTGCACCTCACGTAAGTCTTGGGGCAATATATATCATAGCTCAAAAACAAATGTAAATTGTTTTTCTTGGAAAAGACATTCTACCATTGTACACAGGTCTTTTGTAAATCAAAGAAATCAATAGAATAATATCCATTAAGAGTCTCATGCTTACTGACTGAGTCAGCCAGGTGATTCCAATTATATTCGTTCCAATCACATAAAGAAGATCTGCATTTTTCAAACCAAACAGCTGACCAACAGTTGTTGTATGAAGTCAATCTCTAAGTGACAAGTGGCTGTCATTGTGCTCCAACTATGTGCTCTGTATCTCTCATCTTACTCTCTCAAGATGTCTTTAGACATGTAGTTATATACATTCTCAGAAGAACTTTGGCCTTTCATACCTTAATTATAATAAGCATTAGTGCCTTTGGATGTATATAGGGCAGAAGGGCCTATAATGAGTGTAGGGACGAATGAAGGAAAGAATAAGTAGGTATGCCAGGGCAACATCACATCGAGTTGTCGTCTTGTGGACACACTTCTGGAGATTATACATTTTTGCTTTATCACAAATCTATAGTGTGGGGGGAATTATTAAGAGCCAGAAAAGAGACTGTATCAGAATATAATATTAGGGCCCGTGGACGTTATCTTCATTTTAACCATTGTATCTAGAGAGCTTAAATTTGATCATTAACATTCTCCTAGAACAGACATTCTTGAGAGAGATCCAGAAAGCTATGGGATAATGATAATTATGGTTTCTCCAATTTTTATACTGTCACCTCAAGAAAAGTTACAAAACAGTAAAAACAGTCATTGTATCTTATTTAAATTCTCTAAAGTCAGAGAATATGTGGTGATTCTGCCTTTATTTTTGGTTGGAAAACTATAGTTATCTATTTAAAAGAGATATTGCATTATGTATTTTGAAGCCAAACTGCTGTGTTGATTTATCAGTTTGTCATATAGAGGCAGTTAAAAGCATAAACCAGGTAAGACTAAAAGTCCAGTGATAGAATTTAGAGCAGTAGGTATTACTGAAAGAAGTAATTGAAAACAGCTTCTGATAGTGCAGTGCCACACGTGGAGCTGAAGAGAATACAGTAGAAGGATGGGGCCAGGAATCACGCTCTTTTGGGTTCTGAAAATGGACGGAGCTGGGAGAATTATTGAAACTCTCTGGATCTCTTTTATTTTTGTAAGTCTTCTTTTTTTTTTTTTTTTTATTATACTCTAAGTTTTAGGGTACATGTGCACATTGTGCAGGTTAGTTACATATGTATACATGTGCCATGCTGGTGCGCTGCACCCACTAATGTGTCATCTAGCATTAGGTATATTATTTAGATAACCTTTAAGATCTTTTATATCTCTAGATTTTTCATTACGCCCTTATTAGGAAACTTTTTCGGAGAATTGTAGCGTAACTTGTTGGACAGTAGTTGAGAGTGGGACTATAGAACAAGACACACATGGCTTTGAAAAGCAGCTCAGCATCAGATTGAGGGCCACAAGAGTTGCATGGTCTTAGCCAAGTCACTTAACCTCTGTAGGCCTCAGTTTCCCAGATGTAGATGGTATTTACTTGCTATTAGTACATTATATGATGCATACAAGCTTTCCTGAAACTGTCTTTCCAACTGGGAAAACTGTGACAAAATTTATCTAGCTTTTGGGAAATCATTTTGACTTTGAATCTTGTATTCAACTAGTTATCAGCATGGATTCTATGATAAGGATGAAGAAAAAGGGATATGTTTTAAAATATATTGACCTATAGGTCATATTTGGTTTATTTGGCTCTTCAATGACCTCATTCAACACAAATTTTATGCTGTGCTGCATGCACCCAAGTTGTGCTCCATACATTACCATTGGTTTAACTAGACGTGGCTAAGTCCATGGTACAGTTTACCTCAGCATTTATATTGGAATTTTTGGGCAATACCACTTATCAAGAGTACTTTGTGCCCAGAGTAAACAACAGAAAGAGAAAGGCCATGGCAGTTTTGCGGGCTTGGGAAAGTCTGAAAAATTTCTTTAGCTTAGTTGCCATGTGTTTTTCTGATCATTTCCTTAGAAGATACCACATGATTGAAATAATTTTTAAAGAAGTAATAACAACGATAGGATATTCAAAATTATTTTTTCAATGTGTAAATCATCCAAAGTTGGCCTTCAAAGTTCATAAATGTGTATGTTGAGGGTGAATTGGGGGTGGGAAATACATGCTAATGGGTTCCAATAAAAATTAACATGAAATTTGAAAACATCAAGGTCGAGAAAGTATTGCAAACCACACTACTCTATGTAGGTTAAAATGTCCCAGGCATAGATGATAGCCATGGGCACAAAACGTAAGCTAGGACTTAAGTGCAAGGAACAATTTGGGTTGAACCCATGCAGAGCAATTGCTGTCTCAAACCCATTTGTTTGTGTTCACAGCGTTTGAACTTACACAATGAACGCCACATGTTCTGGTTTCTGTTCATCAACATTAAGTCCAAATTTATCCTGAAGAAAAAAACTAACCTACATAGTGTTCTATTTTATAATAACTTCCTTTTTACATTTTCATTTGTATAGCAAAATTTCCATTAAATAATAACATACATAGTAAATATTTCCCACATTTCATTTTCCAGAGAGAACTACAAAGTCCCAGAAAAATAAATTTTTAAAACTGAAGATTTTAAAACATAATATAAAATAAAAAGAGCTGATTATGACTTTGTACACATTTGGTGCAGGCTCCTGTATCACAGTTATTTAGAGGGGCTAAAAAAAAATCCTTAAAAGTAATTTTAGTTCACTCCATATCCTAATTAATAAAAGACTTTTTAAACAAAATCTGAAGTAGAAGCAAGTTTTCAGCATTCATATTGGTGGCCTGTTAGAGTCTACTTTGGAGATTCTTCTTTCTTATTTTCATCATCTGCTGACCCTAGGTGTTAGGAGATGTTGCCTTCAGTCCTGGCTTTCCTCCTAACTGTTTGGTCTTGGATGACTTAATTGACCTTTCATCATCTCAAATCATGTTCTATAAATGATATAAATTTCTATAAAGGCTCTTTAAGGCCTCTTTCTGTCTTGAAATTTAATCCTATGTTGGTCTACACCTCCCCTCCATGTCAGATCAGATGTAATTTATTACTTACACTAACGCTATTCGAATTACCCCAAGATCTCATGTCCTATCCTCTCCCTCATTGCCACTGCCAGCTGGTTAGTGATATCAACTTCTCTAGTGAATTATCCATTTTCTCTTTCTAGGAAATAGGGGGGACACAATATTTTTATCAAGGAAAATAACACACATTTGCCCCCTCCAAGTCCTATTTTCTTACCATCAGAAATGCTCTATTTGTGAATTCAGCCCATCTTGTGGTATTAACAACATACGATCGAGTCTCACTATAAATATACCCTTCACTTTGTCCAGGTAGTTGGTAAAAGCCTAAGGTATTGAACAACTCCGAGTTACCCAGCAGGCAGCCCCTTGGAATCACTGGACTATTCTAGTAGCCTCTGAAATTCTGCCTCCTACTCTATGTTGAGCCTTCTAAGACCCATAAACCGCCCCCCAAAACTGGTTATTTTTTATATGAGTTTCATCCACTTATTTGTGTATTATTCAACAAATGTTTATTGAACACCATCTACTCAGGAGGCTTGGACAGAAGAACTGTGTGAGCCCAGCGAGCTATGATCATGCCACTGCACTCTAGCCTGGGCAACAAAGACCCAAGAAAACCCTCCAAAAAACAAAATGGACTTGAGAGATTAATGAAAGTTGATTCTCCAGTAGATTCAGAAGGTTGATTTCAGGGATTTAAACCTATTATATTGTGAGCCCACTCACAGGCATGAGAGAGCTGGGGGGAGCTGACTTGGGGAGAAGTTATTAATTTGCTTTTTTATATACTCAATTGAGCTTTTTACACAGTTTCCAGGAGGGGGAATATAGTATGCATTAGAAAATGTATTTCACATGCTTGGAGCTATTCTAGATTAAGTTTTTATTCAGGAATGAGTCTTTAATCTAGATCATTGGTTCTCAGTCCTGGATATACACTAGAAACAACTGAGAAGCTTTTGAAAAGTATTGGGTCCCTCTTAGACCAATTGACTCGGAATCTCTGGAATTAGGGACTAGCATCGGTATTTTTCAAAAAGTTTCTCAAATTATTCTAATATGTAGCCAAGGTTAAGAAAAATTGATTTAGAGTCTGTATCTCTGGGATATAAAGAACTCATAATCACTAATCTGATGCCTAGACAGGAAATGAAAGCATAGCTTCCCCTTTCTTTACTTGTCTGAGAGATGACTTCTGAGCATTACAGATTTCATCTAACAAGAAGAATAAACATTGAACAATGAAGCCTAAGGGTTAAAAATGTTGTGAAAGGGAGTGTATGGGGCATGTATGAGTGCCTAAAAAGGGGAACAAATCTAATCTGTGCATTTGGGCAAGTACATCCTCAGTTGTTTAATACGTGAAATGATGAAGTGCCATTCATCTAATAAGTAAACATTAAATCTCTGCTCAGATTGTTTCCAAATACCATTTTCCATTAAAGAATATCAGGACTCCCTATAGGGAATGGCTGATTCCAGTCTGTGGCAAGGAATGTTAAGAGGAGCCTGGAATATATTTGCATAATAGATAGCAAAGAAACTACCAATGATCACTGAGATCACGTAAAAAGGCAACTGAGCCAGAGAGTGGGCCATTTGCCCTATGAGAGTCTCTCTCATCCTCCTACCCCTGCCCTTTTCCCTAAGCAACCAGGGAAGTGCAACTGTATCTACCCATGGGCCACACTCACAGGGCAGCCAGGGGAAATCTTTCCTCCCCCACCTAGCAGCACCAGGTGTAGAACACACACTTGAGACGCACAGGTGGCACTTACAGTGATGAAGCAGAAGACCCAGCTGCACCAATTAAGTATAGCCAGACAGAACAGTGCTGCAACAACTAAAAACTGAATTGCCATTGGATCCACAGCTCATAGAAGTAGGCCAGGGCCTAAACTCTAAACCCAAACCAGGTGACTACCTGCTAAAATATAAAATAAAAATAAAACCCAGAGACTGCAAACATACTATTCAAGTTATCCAGAATATCATTTAAAAAAAATCAGTCATACCAAAAGCCAGGAAAATCACAACTTGAACGAGAAAAGGTAAATCAACAAAGGCCAATAGGCTGACGAGTAAGATGTAGAAATTATATGACAAGGGTTTTAAAGCAGTCATCCTAAAATGGCTCCCACAAGCAAACCCAAATGTTCTGGAAACAAATGAAAAGCATGAGAACATGAAATGCCTGCAAAGAAATAAAAGGTACTAAAACGACCAAATGGGCAACATAGAACTAAAATTAAAATAATCAAAACAAAAACTCACTGGTTGAGCTCAATAGCAGAATGAATATGACAGAAAAAAGAATCAGCAAACTTGAAGATAAAACAATAGAAATTACTGAAACTGCATAACAGAGAAAAATGGACAGAAAAAGGATTAAACAGAGTATCAGAGACACATTTGATGATAACAACAGATCTGGCACTTATATCACTGGAGCATAGATGGAGAGAAGAAAAAGAGTGAGTTGCAAATGTATTCACATAAATATTACGTTGGTGCAAAAGTTATTGCAGTTTTTCACATTACTTTTAGCCTAATAATAACTGAAATTTTCCTAAACGTGACAAAAGATATAAACCTAAAGTTTCAAAAGTTGAACAAATTCCCAACAGGATAAACTATTCACTACCTACATGGGAACTCCAATCCAAATAGCAGTTGATTTCTCACCTGGAGGCATGGAGGCCAGAAGAAAATGACACTACATGTTTCAAGTGCTAGAAAAAAAAATCAGGTGTCAACCTTGACCCATATACCTGGAGAATATTCTTTACTAATGATGAGGAAATAAAAACATTCTCAAATGAAGTGTTCTTCATTTGATTGTTTAAAGCAAAAATTGTAAGTCATCCAATAAAGTGCCCACCATGTGTAGAGGGAATAGTTTAAGAAAACTACATATTTAATACGTGGAGGGTAAGGGGTTCTAAATAGAGGTAAGTTTTCTACCTATTTCACTCTATGTCATAAAATGTCAACACCTGCGTACTGATGAAATCCATATGTATATTGTTTGTTGTTTTGCTTTTTGGGTTTTTTTTTTTTTTTTGAGACAAGGTCTCACTCAAGTTGCCCATGCTGGGGTGCAGTGGTTTCATTACTCTTCATTGTAGCCTCAACCTCCAGGGCTCAAGCGATTCTCCTACCTCAGCCTCCTGAGTATCTGTGACCACAGGTCTGTGCCACCATGCCTGGATAACTTTTTTTTTTTTTTTTTGTAGAGACAAATCTCGCTGTGTTGCCCAGTCTGGTCTCAAACTCCTGGGCTCAAGCCATCCTCCTGCCTTGGCCTCCCAAAGCTCTGGAATCACACTCATGAGGTATATGTATATTATAACACCTAGAACACCACTTAGAAAACTGTACAAATTGATGTACTCAAGAACACCATAAGCAAGTCAAAAAATAACTCTAAAAATGTTCAAGTGACCCACAAGTGAACACAGGCACTGAAATAGTTAAAGCAGTCTTGACGAAGAATACCCTGGAGGGAAATGCTGGTGAGAAACTTGTGATGAATCTGTTCTGTATCTTGACTGTTACTGGTGGTTATAGAAATTTATATATGTGATCTAATTGCATAGAACTCTGGGGAACCAGCTTCCCTGGAGAGAGTTCTTATAAGAGACCTAGTGTTCTAAGATGCCACATAGCATGATAATTAGCTCTGTAACCATGTTTCCAGTTATTTGATCTGATCTGAAAGTATAATAAAGCTTATCTCATTCCCCTGAGACTGTCAAATGACCACAGCCCAGCAAGGGCTCTAATGTACACTCAAGCGTGTCAGGGAGACTGGAGTGTTACCTTCCTACACACTTATATTTTGGGAGATATAAAGTTCCAGAAATCTGAGGCACCTCTAGGTCAGAAAAGCCAAGGCACACCAGTATATCTGAATTTTAGAGAGATTTTATTTAAATACTAAAGGGTTGAAATTAGGACCTATACCCATTACGTTTCCAAGGAGACTCAAGAGTTGAGGAGCACAGCTTCCTCCTTCTCCTCTATAAACAAAGCAAGATCTTTTTTTTTTTCTCATCCATCATCCATGGAGCATCCAGCACACAGGAACACTGTGTTCCAGAAACCACCTCCATGCCTTTCTTCAAGTGAAACAGCCATTCACTGCCACTGATACAGCTGCTTATTGCAATAATTGTGTCTCCTGCCTTCTGATAGTTGAGCATCTCCACCTGGACTCTACTGTTTTGGTGTCCTATCAACCTTACTGCTTACTAGTGGGCTCTTGCTACCATCCTCCTTGTCAAACAAAGAAAATCATCACTAAATTTCTTAATGGTGCTGGTAACTCTCTCACCAGCACACTCTTTATAGTTGTGATCCTCTGAACCTTCCGTGAAACACCATATAGTGCTCTTCCAGCACGATTTGGCATGTCCACTCCAGCAAGCCCTCTACTCTGAGTGTTTTGGCCCCTTCCTTCATTGTCTGACATGACAATTCTGGTGTCTTCAACTTCATTGAGCTGGGCCAAAACATTTTCATGTTTCTAGGAGCTGTCCTAGCAGTGAGTATACATCATCTTCAGGAGTCTTTGCCAAGGTGTAACACCCTGTATCCCAGGAGAGTGCTTCCATCACTGGAGAGGCTGCTGCCACACTGCACCATAAGGATGGAGTGGACAAGATCCCAGCCAGTCCATCATCAGCCTCTTCAGTGCTGACATGGTGTCGGGCTACTAATTTTTCAAAATTTTCCACTCTTCTTCCCAAGAGTTTCATCAGACGAATAGCCACACTGCCACTTGGACACTTTGAGCTCCCATTATCCAAGTCATCCCAGGCAGGAAGAGGAATCACCATCCTAACTGGGGTTTCTGACCCTGGTCATCAGAAGGAGGTGGGTTTGCTGTTACTCAGTGGGAACAGAGATAAATACATTTGGAACCAAAGTGATTCCTTTAATGTCTTTGGTACTCGCTTGCTTACTTGTGAAAACACATGGGCAGATGCAACACACCAGCCTGAAAAGGATGTGGCAGTCTCCTTAGACCCCCTCAGGGATGAGAGTCTGGGTACCTCACAAAGTTTTCCACCAAAGCCAGCAGAGTTGCTAGCTGAGGATGAAGCGAATTTATAATGGACAGCAGAGAAGGAAAACAATGAGTATTAGTTTTGACCCTGATACTTGGTTCAGTGATGGGGACTTTCCTCTTCTAAGTCTACCCCCAGGAAGAGGTCCACTGGGACCCTGAAGGAGGTCACTTAAAGCTATGACCATTTAGACTCCTAAGTAATTCTTGCCTAGTCCCTCTTTCCAAGTGTCCTCCAGTTCACATTGGAGCATACCAGTCAAGGATACACACCACCTTGAGTCAGCTTACTCAAATATTAAACAGTTCCTACTATTCAACATAGTTCCTGCATATTGACTTTATTGAATAAAATCTGCATTTCCCATAAACTTTAAATAAAAATTTTATTTACATACAAAGTGCAAATTATATCTTCCTTTTCCATAATTCTGGTTAAAAAAAAAAAAGTTCCAGCAATTGCATTTTTACTATTTACCCAAAGAGACAATTATATTCCACTCCACATATTCCTTTCAAATTATCTGACCAGGATTTCTTTGCAAACCTGTCTTGCCTATTTTTCCTTAGGTTGAAAGGATTCTGTAATCTCAAGTCTGCCTCAACCCTGTATCTTCATCCAGTACCCCGGATCAGTAGGATGAAAGTGGTAAGCCTACAAAAAAGTCCACTTCCATTTGTGTCAAAACCTACTTTCCCAATACTTGGGCATGTCAATTCTGCTAATGTTCTAGAGTACAACTTTCTCACATTTTCTAAAACCATATTTTAGAAATGGTTACAAAATCCAAACAATTAACAAAATAAATTAGAATGATGAAAACAAATTAGAGGAATGCTTTTAACTTTCCAGGTAAAAGGCATTGCTTATCCAAGACTGACTACTGTCCTCACCCATATAGTTATAGAATTCCATATTCTGTACATTAATCCTCCCTCCTCACCAAGGGAACAGCCTCAATAAGCACATGAACTCATCCATCATTTATTTGGAGGTTACTTACCTTGTCTGGCCCCTTGCCCATAGTAAAAGGCTGTTGATTTCAGACAGATTGTATAGAAACCTTCAAATAATTCAGGGGAAGTGTCCTAATTTGTGATCCTTTTAAATGCGTCAAAAATGTAATAAGAAGATGGAGGCAACGCATAGGATTCCCTGCCTTTGTCTTTATAGTTGTTTACCAGAGATGTTTCAGCCAGTTGGAACTAAGAAGAAATGAATATAGTTGCTTACTAGAGATGTTTCAGCCAATTAGAAGTAAGAAGAAATGAAACTGAACATGTTTTCTCCACTGGTTCTTGATCATACAGAGACAAATGTGAACAGAAGCCAGCCCCTGTACCTTTGCTCATATTAACACAGTCATTAGAAAACGTTGAGATGTGTAGAGATTCAAGGACCTCAGATAGCTTTCCTCAATGAGATATTAGTAAGCTCATAGGCTGGCAGCATGCGTCCAGGTACTTTCCAACAAACACACGCCATACTTGGTTAACCAAGCAAGAAAGCCCCTAAGGCTGGCAAGAGTATTTCTGGGATTGAAAGAGAATCATTTATTAAGTTTTATGAATCTGAAAAACAACTTTATTAGGTACTGGTGGAAATCAAAGATCAAGCGATAGTAATATTTCCAACAGTATTTGTTGTGAAAGAGAGAGTTCTTATTTTTTGGGAAACACATTCTGATTTTATTTAATAAAACATACTAAAAAAAATATTCTGAACAAAATGACTAATTTTACCATTTACTCCCTGCATTGCCTCAAGCACTTTATCAATTAAGGTTTTATAATGTATTACCTTCTTCAGTGACTTTTAATATATACATTTATGCTTGTTTAAATAGTATTCATTCGGAAACAATGATAGGTACAATTTCACCAACAGATTAGTTTACATCATTAGAAAAAAATAAGAGCTGCTTAATTGAGAAAAATAATTTTATTAAAATATAGTTTTAAAATAAGACTATGTAATTTAGCTTTTCTTTCTCTCTCTCTTTTTTTAAATTAGAGACAAGATCCCACTATGCTGCCCAGGCTGGTCTTGACTCCTGTGTTCAGGCGATCCGCAGGCCTCGGCCTCCCAAAGTTCTGGAATTATAAGTGTGGGCCACACTTCTTGGGGGCTTTTTTCTTTAAATAGTTTTGTGATGCATAGAAAGGCTAAAGCTGTAGAGAAACTATTGTGACTTGGATGTTCATTACAGTGACTGCTAAAATTTCTGACCTAGGCTGGGCGTGGTGGCTCAAGCCTGTAATCCCAGCACTTTGGGAGGCCGAGGCAGGCTGATGACGAGGTCAGGAGATCGAGACCATCCTGGCTAACACAGTGAAACCCCGTCTCTACTAAAAATACAAAAAAAAACTTAGCCGGGCATGGTGGCACGTGCCTGTAATCCCAGCTACTCAGGATGCTGAGGCAGGAGAGTCCTAGAACCCAAGAGGCGGAGGTTGCAGTGAGCCAAGATCACGCCATCGCACTCCAGCCTGGTCACAGAGCAAGACTCCGTCTCAAAAAAAAAAAAAAAAAAATCTGACCTATTGCTAAGTAAGAGGATTATAAACAATTATTGTGTTTATAAATAGAGCATATAATACCATTCAAGGAGATGTGAGTTAGAAGTTTCAAAAATGTCCTTTCTTGAAAACTTTTTGTTAATCTGCTACTCATTCAGAGAATTTGTTAACATTTTCAAATTATTTTCCTTGCTATAATAATTTCAAAATTTTCCTTCATTTAATCGTTAATTGAGGTTGATTTCCATCATCAGCCTCTCCAGTGCTGACATGGTATTGGACTACTAATTTTCCCAATTTTTCCACTCTGCTTCCCAAGAGTGTTGTTTTGAATTGCACATTGAATTGTACAATTCAATGATTTTTATTTTAATTATATATTTTGGGCTATTTAGAGATGATTACATAGGTTATATGCAGATACTACATCATTTTAGATCAGGGACTTGGATTTTACTATCTGATCCCCCATGGATACCAAGGGACAGCTGTATTGAATGTTAGGGTTACTTCTCCAGTGGTATTTAGTTAAGTCCATTTACTTTCTATAGTGAATTTAGGGAGTTTTATACTAAAAAGGGCTGACTATCCAGGAGGTGCTTTCAAAGCACCACCTTCCCTGGAGGATGCAACAGCTGTGAGCCATCCCCAGCACCTCTGCAAAACCATGATCAGTCCTTTGCAAGAGGCCCAGGCCTCAGACTATGCAGTGACTCCCAAGTGGAGCCTGTCTCCTCACTCAACTGAGCAGCAGCCTTGGGCCCCATCAATGAGGAAAGGATTGGAGATGCCTCAAAAAACACAGAACATTTGCAACAGAAACAAGCTTATATTTCTGTTCTTCTGACAAGTAATAATTGTCAGCTCCAAAGGCACTACCAAATCTGGCTCAATCTAACATAGTTACATTCTCTGGTCCGTGACCTTTCTGCTGTACATACAATCCAATCACGTCTATACCACAAGCAAACTGTCATTTTAATAATCAAATAAATGCTGATCTCACTGTGTCTTTGCCAAGTATCTACCTTCATAACTTTGAGGAGGCTGGCAGAGAGAGTTAATAGTATCCACCTTTGTTAAATAGCTGAGGGAGTGAAGGTACCATTCCCAACCACACAAAAGTTTTAAGTAGCAGACTCAGCATTTTCTTTGAGACACTTTCCAAATACCTGTGTTTCCTTTTTACTGCAATATAATGCTTTGACTCTTGGAATGATTCATAGAGTGCTGTTTTTTTTTTTTTTCCCCAGTCAGCAAATTCACCTTACAAATAAGACTTAGGTGTCATGTCCCAAATGTCTCTAATAACCAGAATCACCAAAGATATTTGTTACATACCCATATTCCCAGGTCTCCATGAGCAAGGCTTGAACAGTCAGCAAATGAGTGATTATTTTCTGTTAATTAGATTCATAAAAGGAAAGATAAAAACATGACCCTGAAATGTAATGTCAGTTTCAGGGCTCAATTTAATTAGGTAAAATACCTCCTGTGTCTCTTCATTCAAATGCAGAGTAACAGTGTTTTGTAGGGTAGAGCCTGACCACAGTCTTTGATCACATGTTGTTTTTTAGCCTCCTAAGTTATAATTCTTTTAAAAGAGATGGATACTCTTCTATGATTAGTTCCTGGTTTCCACATCTCTCTTAATCATGTTATTCCAACCTTCTAGTTTGAAAATTGGCCTTGTCGATGAAAAAATATAGAAGCAATACAACAGCATTGTCATAATGATTCTTTACTGTTTGCAATGTCCTTTGTACCTAGCACTGTTTTTATTAATCTTCACAGCATCCCATTTTACAGACAAAACTAAGAGGTTGTGAGTTGCTTTGTGCATAGTGCATTCATTACCAGTGGGAATTATTGAAGCAAATTTGAAAAACATTATTAAAAATAATTAACAATTGAAAATTTCAACTCATAAACACATGACTGTTTTATTTTTATGGTTTTTGTATTTATTTACTAAGAGCTGTATCACATATAAAAACATGTAATATACATCCACAATAATGATAATCTATCATCCATATTAAAAAATAAAGCACTGTGTACTTCGATTTATATTAATTGTATGCAGAAAGTCAAATGTACATTAGAAAGTAGACTGGTGATTGTCTGGGCCTGGGAATGGCAGTGAGGGCCTACTGTAGCTGAGCACAGTTGTCTTTTTGAAGTGATTAAAATGATCTAAAATTATATTGTGATGATAGGCAAGTCTGTAGATATATCATGGTTTTGCAGAGGTGCTGGGGGGTGGCTCACAGCTGTTGCATCCTCCAGGGAAGGTGGTGCTTTGAAAGCACCTCCTGGGTACTCAGCCCTTTTTAATATAAAGCTCCCTAAATTCACTATCGAAAGTAAATGGACTTAATACCACTGGAGAAGTAACCTTAAGATTAAATACAGCTGTCCCTTGGTATCCATGTGGGATCAGCTTCTAGGACCCCCACGATAGTAAAATCCAAGTCCCTGATCTAAAATGATGTAGTATCTGCATATAACCTATGTAATCATCTCTAAATAGCCCAAAATATCTAATACAATATAAATACTATGTAAATAGTTGTAATACTGTATTGTTTTTAATCTGTATTGTTTTTTCTCGTATTATTATTTTTTATTGTTTTCATTAGTATGTGGAATCCACAGATATGAAACAGGAGGTTGCAGTACTAAAGATACAGAGGGCCGGCTGTATCTAGGTAATTTAATTCAGTTAATAGTTAAATATATTTTTAAATGATTCAAGAAGGAAATTATTTTTGAGTCCTGGAAGACAAACCTGCCCCAAGTCCTTCCCCCAGCCTCCTGCTGCTGGTTCCATTCACCAACAGGTTATGAAACTCCCTTTTAAACGAGCCTATCAATCAGGCTTGCTCACCTCCAGTTAATGCTAGATAGACCTATAGGTCATAATTTTGTGCAAAATTAAAAAAAAAACTTGACTCTTCAGTTAACTCTTCAGAAAATACTGTAGCTTCCTGCTGGCTAGTTCTTCAAATTTAATAACCTACTCTACTGAAATAGAACCCTGAAGTAGATACCAGCGCTCTGGGCTTACAAACACCCTTTAATTCAGATGTTATTTCTTGCTGGAACATTTTTGTTCAATTTACAGAGAGGATGAGATTGTAAGGCCGATTATCATTTGACAAATAGAAGTTGCAAGTTTCTTTTTAATTCTATCAGCCACTTTGGTCCTGAATAATCTTAATTTTTAGTCCTCTATTAATTTTCTACTGTATTAAAGTCTCACTCTCTTGTTATGTAATACTTGTTATAAAAATTGCACACATATGCTTCTGCTAGTATAATTGCAACCTAAAGCCACAGAAATATAATTTATATAAATATAAAATTGTGGTTATTTCAATATATGTGTATAGAAAACTGTTATAGTTTCATATTTTCTCAGTAATGCAAAAAGATAAAGATACAGAGGTACTCCTGTAATTATTTATCCATCTCGGGCTGTTAGCTTATTGACAATGAATCAACATAGAGACACTGGCAATATATTTTCTTCCACAAGGGTAATTTATTGAGAAACTGAAACTTTAGCCTAAAGGAGAAAACATTAAAGATCTACCTGCTTCTGTGGCCAATTTTGCATTATGTTAACATGGTATGTATTTTTTGACACTTGACACATTTCAGAAAATCTGAAGTAATACTGTTGCTGAAACTCATAGCATACGGCTTTCTGGGGTTCCAACAGCAGTGTACCTCCTATAACTCCTGGAACTCTGCCACGGCATTAAACACCAAAATGGCAAGGAGGCAGGAGATATTAACAGCAAATTAAAATCCATAAATAGCCCCAGCCCTAACTTGAGGCTTTGGAGTCGATGTCTTCCACCTCCAAGTATTTTCTGAACTAGGGGCCTTTGCAGTTTCTTGAATTTATTTTTTTTTTTGGTTCACCCTGAAGTAAGTCAGCCCAAGGACCCAAGTGCCTGTGTGAATCACTCACTAAACCAACAGGCTCCAGTAATGCACTAATGACTGTACTTACTAAAGGGCACCTTCACCAAAGTGAGCTGGTGTGTAGGCTTAAAGAAAAATAAAAGGACACCACTGAACACACAACTAGAAGCTTGGCTAAATATGAACTGTTTAACCTTTATATACTTAGCAGAGAATGGCAAAGAGATAGAAAAATGTTTCCTGGGGGACATTGAAAGAGTATATTCTTAATAGGCTCATCTCTTACAGAGGCTAAACACCGGCCTAGGGACAGACAAATAAATGGCAGAGCTGTCACATGGACACATTTCTTTTCTCGTATAACTTCCCAGGATGAAGGCCAAAATCATGGATGACTGCTCCCCAGGAGGTAGGGGCAACAGAGCAGCGCTGAGTGAGGCTAAGGCTGCATTTGCCCAAAACATCTTCAAATACTAAGGTTGCTTAGCATAGAGATGGCAAATGGCTCAAGGGAAGAAGTCAGCCTTCTTTATCTGGATACATTTTGAACCCTGATCCTCCAGGGCAGTGAAAAGAATGGTTCTCTTCAAAATGTAATTTCTTCTGCAGAATATATTTTATAAGACTGTCTACACACATGCATGCACACATGCACACACACACACGCACACACTCCAGAGGGAATCTTTTGTTAGGCATGAAGATGTATGCCTGTGCAAACACATTCAAATTGCTCTCACGCTCTGCATGTGCTGACTGTTACCTTTCAGCATGTATATTAATCCCAAAGGTAAGAGGCAGAAAGAAAGAAAACAACAGATGTGTTGTTGTTTTATTTTCTACACTACAGGCTATAATATCAGTATATAAAATAGAAAGCAAAATTATGATACATAAATATTGGCAGTAAGCCTTAAAGTATGACTTTCTTTGGAAACTAGCCGTAAAAATAAGCCCACTTTGTTTATGAAAAACATATTACTTTTATTTTTAAATAAAACATTGAGGCTAATTATATTTTGGAGATGTTATCTTGGTTCATGTAAGTTTGCACAGTGATTGTAGACTAATAGTTCCCAGACAGATGGCCAAAACGGTTGACATTTAGAAAAAACAATATGGTCCTGCAACATTTCAGTGTAAATGTCTAGGCTAAAAAGTTGTGCCAAAGTTCTGGGCCATTATAAATCCAGAATGTAGCCATGAAAGCAGGAAGCTAAAATTATGTAAAGTTAAAATGAAGTTACACATTGGTTCACTGGAGAAAGATTGAAAGCCTATTGCCAAAATCCTTAATGAATGAGGGCGAGTCAGAGGAAGTTTTTGTCAGTTTTTGCAACAAGAATGATGATAAGAGGAAGGCTTTGATCTTCAAAGAGAAAGAATGCTTTGAAGAGGAAGAATAATGTTTTAAAATGGAGATGCAGAGTGGGATAATCCTAATGGATTCTCTAGGCCTTACAACATGAGGTGTGGGTGAACAGGGAGCTTCCAATCTAGAAAACCAAAAAGAATATAGGGTCTTTAAATAACAACCAGGGTTAATTTTCTGAAAATGTAAAGGATTACAACAGATTACAAGATAAATGAAATATACTTAAACTGCATAGAATAGAAGAAGGAATTTGGTGGAGGAAGCACAAAACCCCAGGGGAATGATATTTTAGGTATGAGAAGCCTAAGGGGCTCAAGGGTCCCCTGATCCCAGTTCCAAGAGGCCTGTCAGGCTTTGTGTCAGCACCCCTGGAAGAAGGAAATGGGAAATACTCCATGTGTGTGAAGAGGACAAGCCCCCGATTCTCCCAGGAAAGTCTAAAAGGAGGTGTGTGCTCACAAGAAGGCTAGAAAACATATTTTCTGTATTATGGGTTGGATTTCCATAGGGTGAGGTGGAGAGACTGTCAAATGGACAGGTAATTTGCAAAAGATGTGGGACAGCCACAAAGGTCTGACTGATGTCCTCTCCATTACCCACTTTCTCACACAATGCCTGGCACAAAGTAGATGATCTCTAACTACTGAATTGAGTATTAACATGCACAACGTCAACAAGAAACCCCTTCATGCCAATGTCTGCCACCCAGGGAACCTGAGCTACCACCCACACACCTGTGTGTCATAGCCAACGGGCCAGGAAGAAAGTGAATCTGGACAATAGCATAAATCTAGATTAAAATGGTACGTATTTTTGGAATAATAAATTTAGTTCTCATCACTAGACTCTGAACTTGTAAATGTCAATGAAAATATACATTATAACCATATTTTCTCAGTGAATACTTAAGCAAATTAAAGAAAGTCATTTGGCTCCTGTGACAAAACTTGGTTGTGCTGTATACACAATTCTGACTGTGGAGCCACTATGCCTTTGCTGTGGTGCTCTTGAGAGGTGACAACGTGCTAGCCACCCTTGCTCGCTCTCAGCGCCTCCTCAGCCTCGGCGTCCACTTTGGCCATGCTTGAGGAGCCCTTCAGCCCACCGCCCCACTGTGGGAGCCCCTCTCTGGGCTGGCCGAGGCCAGAGCTGGCTTCCTCTGCTTGCAGGGAGGTGTAGAGGGAGAGGCACGGGCGGGAACCAGGGCTGCTCACGGGCGCTTGTGGGCCAGCGCAAGTTCCAGGTGGGCGCAGGCTCGGCAGGCCCCGCACTCGGAGTGGCTGGCTGGCGCCGCTGGCCCAGGCAGTGAGGGGCTTAGCAGCTGGGCCAGCAGCTGTGGAGGGGGCACCAGGCCCCCAGCACTGCTGGCCCACCCACGCTGTGCCACGCTAGAATTCTCACCAGGCCTCAGCCGCCTCCCTGTGGGGCAGGGCTTGGGACCTGCAGCCCACCGTGCCTGAGCCCCCCCGTGGTGGGCTCCCACATGGCCCAAGCCTCCCCAGTGGCGCCCAGT
Source organism: Homo sapiens (assembly GCF_000001405.40). Classification (NCBI taxonomy): domain Eukaryota; kingdom Metazoa; phylum Chordata; class Mammalia; order Primates; family Hominidae; genus Homo; species Homo sapiens. Next base: position 108,031,895 of record NC_000002.12, read on the forward strand.
CCCATCGACTGCCCAAGGGCTGAGGAGGAGTGCAGGTGCACGGCGCGGGACTGGTGGGCAGCTCCGCCCGTGGCCCTGGTGCAGGATCCACTAGGCTAAGCCAGCTGGGCTCCTGACTCCGTGGGGACTTGGTGAACTTTTATGTCCAGCTGGAGGATTGTATATGCACCAATCAGCACTCTGTGTCTAGTTCGGGGTTCGTGGATGCACCAATCAGCACTCTGTATCTAGCTAATCTGGTGAGGACTTGGAGAACTTTTATGTCTAGCTAAAGGATTGTAAATACAACAATCAGCACTCTGTATCTAGCTCAAGGTTTGTAAACACACCAATCAGCACTCTATGTCTAGCTCAAGTTTTGTAAACGCACCAATCAGCACCCTGTGTCTAGCTCAAGGTTTGTAAACACACCAATCAGTGCTGTGCATCTAGCTAATCTAGTGGGGACTTGGAGAACTTTTACGTCTAGCTAGAGGATTGTAAATACACCAATCAGCACTCTGTGTCTAGCTCAGGCATTGTAAATGCACCAATCAGCACCCTGTCGAGACAGACCAATCAGCTCTCTGTAAAACGGACCAATCAGTTCTCTGTAAAATGGACCAATCAGCTCTCTATAAAATGGGCCAATCAGCAGGATGTGGGTGGGAGTCAGATAAGGGAATAAAAGCAGGCTGCCCAGCCAGCAGCAGCAACCTGCAGGGGTTCTCTTCCATGGTGTGGGAGCTTTGTTTTTTTGCTCTTTGCAATAAATTTTGCTCTTGATCACTCTTTGGGTCCGCACTGCCTTTATGAGCTGTAACACTCACCACGAAGGTCTGCAGCTTCACTCCTGAGGCGAGCGAGACCACAAACCCACTGGGAGGAATGAACAACTGTGGATGGGAGAAACAAAAAACTCCAGATGTGCCTCCTTAAGAGCTGTAACATTCACTGTGAAGGTCTGCAACTTCACTCCTGAAGCCAGTGAGACCACGAACCCACCAGAAGGAAGAAACTCCGAACACATCTGAAAATCAGAAGGAGCAAACTCCGGACACACCATCTTTAAGAACTGTAACACTCACCGCGAGGGTCTGTGGCTTCATTCTTGAAGTCAGACCAAGAACTCACCTATCAGACACATTCTGACACAGTTGTTTTGGAGTGCACAGTAGAATGCCCTCATTATATTTTAGTAGAGGTCACTTGCACGAAAAATAGCTCAGAATAAAAAGGGGAAATCAGGAGAGAAGGCTGGAAGTGGGTGGAGCACTTCCTAGAGATATCTTTGAAGGGACTTTTGAGAGATGAGCAATCAAGAAGACATTGGAGGCAGGGCAGCCATAAGGAGTGGGCACAAAGATCTCTGTTTGTTCTGAGATCTCACTTAACATGGTGGAAACTTTACTTGAAATGGAGACCCGTAAGTTTCAGAAAGAAAATTATATTTTTAAGGTATTTGTGTTTTTTTACATTCATGATCTATCTCCCCTTTATTATCCTATAGGTGAAGTTTCGTAGGTTCTACTGTTTCTGCTGAAAGATCGGAGAACTTTGGATCCACTCTTGGCTCAGAGGCAGATGGTACAGGAAACGTCCCTATACTACGTCTGCCTGGGGTCTGAGTGATAGAAGAGGTGAGCTCAGGGGTAAGAGATGTTGGGGACAGTTCTATCATCCAACTGCCCATTCCTGCCAGTAGGAAGTGTACCACTTCCACTGGTACACTGAGGGGTATGGAATTTTATTTTAAGAAGCAAGATAAAAATTCACTATTATAGCCAATCATAGCTATTATTTATCTTTTGTAAGGAATAACAACCCACGATAATAGAAACAAGCAGTATCTATTAAGCAATCACACTATGCGGGACACTGCTCCATCCTTCACATATCCCTAACTTCTTAAACACTCCCCTGTATCCCATGTTCCAGATGAGACACTGGAGGGCAGTGAGCTTAAAGGAATACCCCGAGGCCACACAGCTGGGAAATGAGGGCACCAGGATGGAGCCTCAGAAGTAGGCACCCAGTGCATGGTGAGGTCGCTGTACAAATAGGCCGTGGGCAGCAGCCCATAAGATTCCTGTAGTTTCTAAACTATGACCTCTCAGGAGGTGCATCCCCACCTCTTTCCATGACCCCAAGAAATCTCCCTGTTCTTCTGCAGTCTCGTGCCCCATCTCATTTTTCTTGGGTCCACCCTGGCACTTGGATAAACGCCCTGAGTTTTCATACTTGGGCTCTTTAGAGCTGCAGCTGGCCAAGTCTCAGACAGACTTCGGATCCCTTTTTCTCTTTAGCACACAGACCAGGACTACCTCTGACTGTTCTCACCCATGGCTGTGACTCCAAGAACATCCACAGCCACACTGCTGAGTTCCTGGCGGCATTACTTAGAGTCTTCTCTGAAATTTTAAGTGCCTACTCACTACCTTACTAGCATATAGCCAATGCCTGTAGAAAATCCTTTCTGAGTCAAAATCTCACCATCCTGATACGTTCCAACTTGGCTAAAACCCATCTCAACCAGTACACAGGTAATCAATAATACAGTTTGTCTCTCCTGCTCTTGGTTAACAATTGATAGCATGAACTGGGGCCCTGGGGTTCTACGAGGCAGGTTACATGGATCTTCACCTTCCTGCCTGGAGGTGCCAAACAGCATCAATTCTAGCCCATGCAGAGCCAACCCTCAGGAATTCCAGTCCTCAAGGGGCACATGTGCTATGTATGCATTGTGTGGCTAAAAGGTCTCAGTGAGCTGGATGCTACATGTTTTCCAGGAACAAACACAGGAAAATTGAAACTTGCATGCCTCCAGAGTCTTTGCTTTGGACTCCAGAAGCACAGGACAGCAGCTTCCCTATCCTGAGTATCATGTATATCAAAATTCAAGGGCAGACTCTGCAACGAAGTGGAAAGCATGAAGTTTGCTGCCTTTAGCTCCTTGAGGCAGGCCTTGCGAGTGTGTGCCTATACCCTGACTTATGCCATGGACAGTTAATGGGAAAGGTGTTTTTGGTTTTTCTTCTGTTTTTATTTTTTTTGTTTTTTGTTTTGTTATGTTTTGTTTTGTTTTGTTTTTGATAGTACCATAGGTAGAGGTGGGTGAGAGTCAGATGAAGAGAGGTCTTGGATCCAGTTAGATGTGCTGTACAAGGATGCCCCCTGGCAGCAGGGCTCAATTCTGCATTTTGTCCAAGGCAGAGACAAAACTCATTTTTGGTTATTGTCTAGAACCAGAGGAAAGACCAAAGTAGTTTTACCTGCAGAAGAAAATTCTATCATGACCTTCATGCCTATAATACTTAGGGCAAAAGGACCAGTAATGGGGAAGAAACTCAATCATAGAAAAAATAAAAGGATATTCCAGAACTTTTTCTCCCACTGGCTTCTCAAGAATAAGTTCATCTTTATGGGCAGTGTTTCTGAGAACCAGAGAAGCATGATGCCTACGCTAGAGACCAAATGAGGGCAGCATTTAGGGACAAAGCATAACCTTGTCTTGAGGCCACATCAGGAGATGTTAGGTCCTGGTGACAAGTCACACCCATCTACTGGGACAGGTACCAAGGAAGACATTCTTTAAGGTAGATAAAATACCACAACCTAAGGGTATGGTGGAAGACATTACATGATTGTCTAGTAAACTCTTGTGTTTCAAAATGTGATCCTTAAACCAGGAGCTTTACAGAACTTGGTCCAAGTGAAGAATCTTGAGCCTTTCCTAGACCTAATGAAACACAACCTGCATTTTATTCAGATCCCTGGATAGTCCTCACAAACACCAAAGTTTGAGCTCTACCATTTTAGTCCAGTTGTTCTCAAATGTAACTGCATATTAGACTCTCTAGAGGAGCTTTTAAAATGAAACTGACCTTAAACTCCATCTTCCAGGTTTTCTGAACACCCCATACTCTGTGCTGTGGGCCCCTTTTTTGCTAGAGTCCCTTCCTCTCACTACTTCTTGATCACAAAATTTTGCCATTGGCCCTTTTCCTCATAAATATCCTCACTGTGTGATTCCATCCACCTTTTGGGAGTTTACAATGACCTACGCCCCATATTCTTCAAATCCTTTTTTTTTTTTTTTAACATTTATTCTAAATTCAAGGGTGCATGAGCTGGATGTGCAGGCTTGTTACATGGGTAAACATGTGTCATGGGGATTTGTTGTACAGATTATTTCATCACCCAGGTGTTAAGCCTAGTATCCATTAGATACTATTCCTGATTCTCTCCCTCCTCCCACTCTTGGCCCTCTGGTAGGGCCAGTGTGTGTTCTTGCCTCCAAAGTGTCCACGTGTTATCATCATTCAGGTCCCATTTATAAGTGAGAACATGCAGTATTTAGTTTTCTGCTCCTGTGTTAGTCTGCTGAGGATAATGACCTCGAGCTCCATCCATGTACCTGCAAAGGACATTATCTCATTCTTTTTTGTAACTGCATAGTATTTCGTTCTGTTTATGTACCACATTTTCTTTATCCAGTCTATCATTGATGGACATTTAGGTTGGTTCCATGTCTTTGCTATTGTGAATAGTGCTGCAATGAATGTAAACGTGCATGTGTCTTTATAATAGACTGATTTATATTCCTTTGGGTATATACCAAATAATGGGATTGCTGTGTTGAATGGTATTTCTGTCTTTAGGTCTCTGAGAAACAACCACACTTTCTTCCACAGTGGTTGAAATAATTTGTCCTCCCACCAACAGTACAAATGTGTTCCTTTTTCTCCACAGCATCACCAGCAGGTTATTTTTTTATTTTAATAATTGCCATTCTGACTGGTGTGATATGATATGGTTTTTATCTGCATTTCTCTAATGATCCGTGATGTTGAGTTTTTTTGTTTCCATAGGTTTGACTCTTAAAGATGCTGGATATAAGACCTTTGTCAGATGCATAGTTTGCAAAAATTTTCTCCTATTCTGTAGGTTGTCTGATTACTCTGTTGATAGTTTCTTTTGCTGTGCAGAAGCTTTTTAATTTAATTAGATCCCATTTGCCAATTTTTGCTTTTGTTGCAATTGCTTCTGGCGTCTTCATTATGAAATATTTGCCTATGCCTATATGCTGAATAGTATTGCCTAGTATGCCTTCCAGGATTTTTATAGTTTTGAGTTTTACATTTAGATCTTGAATCCATTTTGAGTTGATTTTTGTATATGGTGTAAGGAAGGGGTCCAGTTTCAATTTTCTTCATAGAGCTAGCCAGTTATCCCAGTACCATTTATTTATTAAACGGAGAATCCTTTCCCTATTGCTTGTTTTTGTCAGGCTTGTAAAAGATCTGATAGTTGTAGATGTGTGGCCTTATGTCGGGTTCTCTATTCTGTTCCATTGGTTTATGTTTCTGTTCTTATACCAGTGCCATGTTATTTTGGTTACTGTAGTCTTGTAGTACAGTTTGAAGTCAGGTAGCATGATGCCTCTAGCTTTGTTCTTTTTGCTTAGGATTTCCTTGGCTATTGGGCTCTTTTTTGGTCCCATATAAATTTTAAAATAGTTTTGTCTAGTTCTGTGAAGAATGTCAATGGTAGTTTAATGGGACTAGCATTGAATCTATGAATTCCTTTGGGCAGTATGGCCATTTCACAATATTGATTCTTACTATTCGTGAGCATGGCATGTTTTTCCACTGGTCTGTGTCATCTTTTATTTATTTGAGCAGCGGTTTGTAGTTGTCCTTGTAGAATTTCTTCACTTCCCTTTTTAGCTGTATTCCTAGGTATTTTATTCTTTTTGTGACAATTGTGAATATGAGTTTATTTGTGATATGGCTCTCAGCTTGACTGCTTTTGGTGTGCAGGCATGCTAGCACTTTTTGCACATTTATTTTATAATCCGATATTTTGCTGAAGTTGCTTATCAGCTTAAGAAGCTTTTGGGCTGAGACAATGGGGTTTTCCAGATATAGGATCATGTCTTCTGCAAATAAAGATAATTTGACTCCCTCTTTTCCTATTTGAATACCCTTTATTTCCTTCTCTTGCCTGATTGCCCTGGCCAGAACTTCTAATACTATGTTGAATAGAAGTGGTGAGAGTGGGCATCCTTGTCTTGTGCTGGTTTTCAAGGGGAATGCTTCTAGCTTTAGCTCATTCAGAACAATATTGGCTATAGGTTTGTCATATATAGCTCTTATTATTTTGAGTTTTGTTCTTTCAATATCTAGTTTATTGAGAGTTTTTAACATGAAAAGATGTTGAATTTTGTCAAAGGCCTTTTCTATGTCTATTGAGATAATCATGTAGTTTTTGTCTTTAGTTATGTTTATGTGATGAATCACATTTATTGATTTATATATGTTAAGCCAATCTGCAAATAGTCTCTTGGACCACAGTGCAATCAAATTAGAAATCATGGCTACAAAATTCACTCATAACCATACAATTACATGGAAATTGAATGACCTGCTCCTGAATGACTTTTGGGTAAATAATGATATCAAGACAGAAATCAAGAGGTTCTTTGAAATTAATGAGAGCAAACATACAATGTATCAGAATCTCTGGGACACATCTCAGGTACTGTTAAGAGGGAAATGTATAGCACTAAATGCCCTCATCAAAAAGCTAGAAAGATCTCAAGGCAACAACCTAACATCAAAACTAAAGAACCAAGAGCAGCCAAACCCCAAAGATATCGGAAGAAAGAACCAGAATCAGAGCTGAACTGAAGGAGACAGAGACACATAAAAAAACATTGAAAAGATCAAAGAATCCAGGAGCTGGTTTTTTGAAAAAAAAGTTAATAATATAGATTTACCTCTAGCTAGACTAATAAAGAAGAAAAGAGAAGAGAGTCAAATTAACACAATCAGAAATGGTAATGGGGATATTAACACTGACCCTGTAGAAATATAAACAACCATCAAAGAATATTATTAACATCTCTATGCATATAAACTAGAAAAGCTAGAAGAAATTATATAAATTTCTGGACACACACACCCTCCCAAGACTGAACCAGGAAGACATTGAATCCCTGAACTGACCAATAATGAGTTCTAAAATTGAGGCAGTAATAAATAGCCTACCAACCAAAAAATCTCAGGATCAGATGGATTCACAGCTGAATTCTACCAGGTGTACAAAGAATAGCTAGTATCATTCCTACTAAAACTATTTCAAAAAAAAAGTGAAAAAGAAGGACTCCTCCTTAACTCATTCTATGAGGCCAGCATGATCCTGATACCCAAACCTGGCAGAAATACACACGCACACACACACACACACACACACACACACACACACACACACACACAAAACAAAACAAAAGCAAACAAAAAAAAAAACTTCAGGCCAATATCTTTGATGTAAATCAATGCAAATATCCTCAACAAAATACTGGCAAACTGAATCCAACAGCACATCAAAAAGCTTATCCACCATGATCAAGTAGGCTTCATTCCCAGGATGCAAGGTTGGTTCAAATCCTTATTTTTAAGCCAGATTTATCATTGATTGTTCCAGCTTCAGTGAACTTTTTGCAGATATTTTAATTACTGCCCATTTGAAACAGAACTCATGTGTTACTCCTCCTACTCAAGCATACACTTCTTCCTGGATATTCTTTCTTCATTTGTGGCACCAATGTCCCTGCAGGCACCAAAACTATCTCACATGTGCATGGCCACCAGGCCCTTCTGTTATTTCTGTCCTCTCTCCTCAGCTGTTCTTTCTCTCCATTCCCAATGCCATTGACTTAATTCCATGTCTCATCATTATACATCTGGGCCATTTTCTTAAGTCTTAACTTTTCGGATCTATACACTAGATTCTTATCAAAAAGAGCTTTCCAAAATTTAGATCCAGTGATGTCATTCATCTGCTTCAAATTGCCTGAAAGCTCCAAATCTCCTGATTATAAACACCCAAGTAGTTTTTTACGTTTTAGAAAATCCACCATTTTCTGCCCCCAGCCAACACCCCTCCGCATCACTGATGACCTCAAACTTCACCAGACAGCAGTCCTAAAGCTTGGCAGATCCCCAAACACAGCCTGCGGTTTTAGGCTTCTGTGCATTTCATACACTATCCCCATTTCTAGGGATGGCTTGTCTCTTTCTTTGACATCAAACATATTCATACTTTAAATATTGCTAAAACATTACCCTGAACCTCCCTTGCAGAATCAGCTCCTCAGTTATATGTACAATTTTTTTTCAGTGTATTTTGGGGTCTGAATCACACCTTACCTGTTTAGCTGTCTACATCCTATACTGCTCTGAAAGTTTCTCATGAACAAGGTCAATGTCTTGTAAGTTCCAGGCTTCTTTCTTGTAGATCCATTTACCACCTTTCCCTGGTAGGAGGAGTACTTACCATGACTTTCTTCCTCTAGTAGAATCTTCAGTCACACCTGTTCTTCCTTCATGGCTCCTTTTCTCTTGAACAGGTGGTCAGGTTCCATTGATGATCCCACCTCAAAGATCTGATGACATTATCTCCTACCTATAGGTTGCAGTAGCATCTGGCATTTGCTAATCTCTGTTCAATTCACTGTCTTCTGTTTAAATATTCAGTTCTTCCATCATCTCTTTAATCAGCTCCTGCATGAAAGTCCCTTAATTTTTAATACTCAGAGTAGCTCTGTTTTCCTGTTTGAATTTTGACTTATGTAATGCCATACTCAACTTTGTAGCACTAATACCTAACCCAATGCCAGGCACATTATGAGAGCTCAAAAAATGTTCATGTACCTATAGAATGAATAGGTGGAAGGGATTTAATAGACAGAAATTGTGATGAAAATACAGGCAGGCTTGAGAAAAAAACTAAATGAGAATGGGAGAAAAAGAAAGGCATCAGAAATGATACTCACATATCTAGTCTACTACGTAGTAAATTGAGATGCCATGAAGAAACACTGAAGAGTCTACAAGAAGACATGGTTGACAAGGAAAAAGAATTCACCACTGATTTAAGTTTTTTTCACTAAAAATGTTTCATGCGCTATAACATCATAATCAAACTACTGAAAAAAAAACAAAGTTGAATAAAAATTCTTGAAAAGAGCTCACTAAAAGTGACACATTAAATATGGGGAAAAATAAAATGAATGAATATATATTTCTCATAAGATATCAGGGAGGTCAGAAAACAGTAAAATAAAAAATAATAAATGCTCTGAAAGAAAAGACCTGTCAACCTAGAATTCTATGTCCAATAAAAATACTCTTCAACAATGTATGCAAAATAAAGACAATTTCAATGAAAGCAAATTAAGAAGATGTGTTGTGAGTGATTGCACTAAAAGAAATGCTAGCCAGGTATGGTGATGTGCACTTGTAGTTCCACATCTTGGGAAGCTGAGGATGGCTTGAGTTCAAGACTTTGAGACCAGCCAGAGCAACATAGACCTCATCTCTTTAGAAAAGAGAAAAATGATAAAGGAAACTCTTCAGGGAATAGGAAAATAATATGATATGGTTTGGCTCTGTGTCCCAACCCAAATCTCATCTTGTAGCTCCCATAATTCCCACATGTTGTGTAAGGTATCTGGTGAGTGATGATTGAATCATGGTGGTGGGTCTTTCCTATGCTGTTCTCATGATAGTGAATGGGTCTCACAAGATCTGATGGTTTTAAAAATGGGAATTTATCTGCACAAGCTCTCTCTTTGCCTGCTGCCATCCACGTAAGATGTGACCGAGTGCTCCTCTTTGCCATCCATCATGATTGTGAGGCCTCCGCAGCCATATGGAACTGTAGGTCCAATAAACCTCTTTCTTTTGTAAATTGCCCAGTCTCAGGTATGTCTTTATCAGCAGTGTGAAAATGGAGTAATACAGTAAAATGGTACCAGATGATTTAGGGTATCTGGAGGAAGAAATTTCTAAGCAGCAAAGCATTCAAGATGTGACTTAGGTGCTGTTAAAATCATTCAGTTTCAAAAAGGAAGCAGAGCATAAAAGCTTGGAAAATTTGCAGCCTGACAATGCGATAGAAAAGAAAATCCCATTTTCTAAGGAGAAATTCAAGCCGGCTGCAGAAATTTGCATAAGTAACAAGAAGCCAGATGTTAATCCCCAAAACAATGGGGAAAATGTCTCCAGGGCAAGTCTGAGGTCTTCACTGCAGCCCCTGCTCTCATCACAAGGTCGGAGGCTTAGGACAAAAAAGTGGTTTCATATACCAGGCCCAGGGTCACCATGCTGTGTGCAGCCTGGAGTCTTGGTGTCCTGCGCCCCAGACACTCCAGCTGTGGCAGAAAGGGACCAATGTAGAGCTCAGGCCATGTCTTCAGAGGGTGCAAGCCCTGATCCTTGGCAGCTTCCACCTGGTGTTGAGCCTGCAAATGCACAGAAGTCAAGAATTGGGGTTTTGGAACATCCTCCTAGATTTCCCAGAATGTAGGGAAATGCCTGGATGTTCAGGCAGAAGTTTTCTGCAGGGGCAGGACCCTCACAGAGAACTTTCTGCTAGGGTGTTGCATAAGGGAAATGTGGGAATGGAGCCCCCATACAGAGTCCCTACTGGGGCACTACCTAGTGGATCTGTGAGAAGAGAGCCACCGTCCTCCATACCCCAGAATGGTAGATCACTGACAGCTTGCACCATGTGCCTGGAAAAGCCACAAACACTCAATGCCAGCCTGTGAAAGCAGCAAGGAGAGAGGCTGTACCCTACAAAGCCACAGAGACAGAGCTTGCCAAGACCATGGGAACCCACTCGTTGCATCATTGTGACTTGGATGTGAGACATGGAGATCATTTGAGAGCTTAAGATTTGACTTCCACACTGGATTTTGGACTTTCATGGGGCTTGTAGCCTCTTTGTTTTGGCCAATTTCTCCAATTTGGAAAAGGATTATTTATCCAATGCCCATATCCCCATTGTATCTAGGAAGTAATTAACTTGCTTTTGATTTTAAAGGCTCATAGGCAGAAGGAACTTGCCTTGTCTCAAATGAGACTTTGAATGGTGGACATTTGAACTAATGCTGAAATGAGTTGAGACTTTGGAGGACTGTTGGAAAAGCATGATTGGTTTTGAAATATGAAGATAGATTTGGGAGGGGCCAGGGCAGAATGATATGGTTTGGCCATGTGTCCCCACTCAAATCCCGTCTTGTGTCTCCCAGAATTCCCACCAGTTGTTGGAGGACTCAGTGGGAGATAATTGAATCATGGTGGTGGGTCTTTCCCATACTGTTCTCATGCTAGGTCTCATGAGTTCTGATGGTTTTAAAAATGGGAGTTTCTCTGCACAAGCTCTCTCTTTGCCTGCTGCCATCCACGTAAGAAGTAACTTTCTCCTCCTTGACCTCTGTCAAAATTGTGAGGCCTCCCCAACCATGTGGAGCTGTAAGTCCAATAAAACTCTTTCTTTTTTAAATTGCCCAGTCTCGAGTATGTCTTTATCAGCAGTGTGAAAATGGACTAATACATAACACCAGAGAAATCTAATACTTTAGGAATGAAGAGCATAGTAAATGGTAAATATCTGAATCAATATAGTAAAATATATTTATTCTTCTAAGTTTTAAAAAATGTATATGACAGTTGGCAATTTATACCATTGTTTAATAGAAGTTCCAATGTGTGTGGATATAATACATATAGCAATTATAGCATAAAGGGAGAAAATGAAAGTACCCATATGTTTTCAAGGTTCTGCATTGCACTTGAAGCAGTAAATATTACTTCTAGGCAAACTTTGAAAAGTTAAGTTGCAAATTGTAATCAATCACTAAAAATATTGCACAAAAAGATACAAATAGCCAATAGATAAATTTAAATGGAATAGTGCATAATATTCAAGAAATACAAATGACATAATGGAAAGAAAAATAGATGAAAGAAAAACAAAGAAATCAAACAAAATAATAAAATATTAGAACAAAATTTAACAATGCTAATAATTATACTTAATGTAAATAAAGAGTTTAAACACATCAACTATATTGAATTTAAACCAAAACAAACAAAGAAAACCATCCACTATATTCAAGAAATCCTATCAGAGGCCTTCTTTAAGTATTATGATATAGATATATTGTAAAAACAGAACAAAAAGAGATGCAATTAAAACACTAAATCAAATAAAACTAGGGTAGTTATATTAATACCAAAAAAAGTAGACTTAAGAAGTAGAAAAACTGCTAAGGAAAACAAGAGACATTACATAATGATAAAGGGTCAATTTCCCAAGAAAAGCAATCAATGTAACTCACTATATTAACAGATTGAAAAGAAAAACCACATAAGTATCTCAACAGATGTATAAATACGTTTGAAAAAGACTAATATATTTATATAATAAAAACCCCCAGCAGACTACAAATAAGAGAAAATTGCCTTAATCTGATAAAAGGAAACTCAAAAATTCATATAGATGACATCGAACTTAATGCTCTTCCCTTAAGTTGAGGAGCAAGCAAGCATGTTTACTTTTTATACTTCTATTCAACATCATGAATTCTGGCCAATACAACAAAGCAAGACCAATAAAATGTATACAAAATGGAAAAAATACAATTTTTCCTATTCACAGACAACATAATTATTCATGTAGAAATGTTCAAGGAATCTACCAAAAAAACCATTCTAGAACAAATAATTGAATTTAGCATGGCTTCAGAATACAAAGTCAACTTATAATGCTTGCTTATATTCCCACATACTTAATTCTAAATTGAAGAATTGTAAACTAAAATTAGTAAAACCGTACCATTTATTATAGCTCAAAATTAGTTAGGTGTAAATACAACAACACTCAAGGGGACTTCAAAATGTTCATAGAAAAAATAAAATCAAAAGATAAAAATAAAAAATATAAACTTTATTTCTCTACATATGCTCCATGAACATTAAGATACTTGTTAATGATTATACCAACCAATTACTTCATTCCTAAAGAAATGAGGGTCCTGGAAATTTAACCATGTCTGTGCTGTCTTTTTTACATTATTAACTGAAGAAAAATGGATGCCCTTGACAGATGTTTTAATATTTGGGAAACAAAAAGAAGTCCACAAAAGCCAAATCAGGACTGTAAGTGAATGCCTAATAATTGTCCACCAAAACTCTTGCAAAATTGACCTTATTTAATGAGAGGAATGAGCAGAAGCATTGTTGTGATAGGGAAGCACTCTCTGGTGAAGCTTCTTCAGGTGCTTTTCTGCTAATGTGTTGGCTAACTGTCTCAAAGCATATTAATAATAAGGAGATGTTATTGTCCTTTGACCTTCCAGATATGCAGCAAAAAAAAATATCTTGAGCAAGCCAAAAATGTGTTGTCATAACCTTTGCTTTTGACTGGTCCACTGTTGCTTTGACTGAACCACTTCCTCCTCTTGGTAGCCGTTGTTTTGATTGTGCTTTGTCTTCAGGATCATACTGATAAAGCCACATTCCATCTCCTGTGAAAATTCTCTGAAGCAATGCTTCAATATCTTGATCCCACGTGTTTAAAATTTCCATAGAAAGCTCTGCTCTTGTCTGCAGCTGATGTGGGCCCAATGGTTTTGGCACCATTTGGCATTCAAGTAGGTTAACAGGAAGAATACTGAAGGAGACCATTTGCGCTTCTCCTTAGTTACCAGATCTGAGCATTGTGTTAATGATAGACATAACACCATGTATTCTCCACTGGTTAAAGGCATATGCTCTATCAAGTGGAATGTTTGTTCAACTTTGGTTTTTTAGTTAGAATTGTGTACAGTGAACCAGTTGAGATGTTTCTGGTGTTGGCTATTGTTTCACCTGCCAGTCTTTGGTGCTTTTCAATTACAGCATAAACAAGATAACTTTTTTTCTTACAAGCTAATGTGAATGTAGATTGTCTGCTGCTGTGAACTTCATCTTCAAAATCATCTTGTCACTTCTTACAGTGAGTTAACCATATATAAACTGCTGATTTTTGAGGGGTCATTGTGCCTATAAACTTTCTATAAAGCAACAATGATTTCCACACTCTTTCATCCATCCAATCTTCACCACAAATTTGATATTTTTTCTTGCTTCAATTTTAGCGGAATTCATATTGTTCTGATAAGAATGCTTTCCATAGGAAAGTTGTTCTTGTCCTTCTTAGTGTCTCAAACTAGATCATGTTCAAAAATGCTATATTACATTAATAAGAGTTTATTTTGGTGCAAAAAATTGATAAGATGCATTTTTCATTAACCTTTTGAAGACCCCTTGTATGAGCAAGATCTACATGCTGAAAATTAATACATACTGATTAAAGAAATCAAAGACCTAAATAAATGGAAGGACATGCTGTGTTAATGGATCAGAAAAATTAATATAGTTTATTTAACAACTCTTCACCAAATTTATACTGGGTTATCTCGATTACAATAAAAGTCTAAGCAATATTTTTGTAGATAAACTGATTTTAAAATGACATAGAAAAGCAAAAAAAATAGAATAGTCAAAATGTTTTCAAAAAGTAGAATAATGTTGGAGGACTCACATTACCAGATACAAAACTTCAATAGTCGACATTATGAGCAAAAATATAGATACCAGAGTCCAGAAATAGATCCACAGTAATATGGTCGATTGTTGTCTAATAAATTTACAAAAAATAATTTAATGGATAAAGATAATCTTCTCAAGAAATGGTGCTGGAACAATGGGAACACGGATGGCAAAGAAATAGCATGAGACAATTTGGGGAGATGATGTGATTTTCTGTGTTCTCATTGTGGTGGAGGCCAAATAGCGCTATGCAGGTATTAAAGCTCATAAAACTATGTATCAGAAGAAGTGAATGTTATTGTATACAATAAAAAAAGCACTTGAGCTATTGTCTATAAAACAGCTACTGTATAATGGAAAGGATCCAGAAGAAAAAAAATCAATTTCAGCTCTATTGCTTCACGTTTACGAATCTGGACATTTTGACAGTTCTATTCTTATTTTCCTTATCTATGAGGTAGAAACATTAATATATTTCTCTGAATATTGGTATGAGTGTCATATATGAGATAATGTGTATAAAAGAAGTTCATATAACAAATAATTATACAAATATTGAATATAATTGTTATAAAATATTTATCAAAAAAATGTAAAAGAGAATATTGAAATACTTGTTTAAGGGGTATATTATTTAAAGTCCAAGCAGGAAAGAGACTGCACATTAACTGCATAATTTTAGGATAGTTTAAATAAGTGACTATTCACAAAGATGTGTGCAGAATGTAGGAAAACCACAAGGACTCTGGAGCCAGCAACAATCAAGGGGAATGTTGATAGGTAATGTCAATGCTGTCATTCGACACTTGAAATCTCAAAGCCACTACTGTTAGAAAGGAAAACAGAAAAAGTTCATTAACAGGAAACAGCTCTTGGAGCCCCAGTCCTACAGCTGCTCATGCAGCCTAAATTGGTGGTCATTGCAGCTGCATATTCCACTACCTCCTCTTTGTCCCTCTCCTTCTGCTGTATTGCAGTTGCAGAGGTTGTTTACCTAGTGGAATGAATCAAACTTTTGTTTCACTGGGATTTGATTCCTTGGTGGCCTGTTGGTGGTGGTAGGTTTTTTTGTTTGTTTTTTTGTTTGTTTGTTTTGGGGGGTTGTTGAATAATTTTACTGGCCAGTACTTTTTGACAAGAGGGTAATAGGAGACTCCCCAATAAATCCTCTGACCCAGGCATAGTCTCCCTTATCCCCACTGTATAACAGCAAGCTAAATTTACTTTGGTAATTGAGATCAATCCCTACGGCCACCACAGTGACATCTGTATCTGTTTGTTTTATAGCTTGAGGAAGCCAAAATGGCAAGTGGCAATCTCAGCTTCCAGCTCAATGGAAGGATGATAATATTCCTGGATGGAAGCACTCACTCCTTAGTTATTAGGCCTTCTAAATACAGAAGGCCTAGGTTATGGGAACAGAAGGAAAAAAACTCAAGTAGGTTAACAGGAAGAATTCTGAAGGAGACCATTTGCACTTCTCCTTAGTTACCAGATCTGAGCATTGTGTTAATGATAGACATAACACCATGTATTCTCCACTGGTTAAAGGCATATGCAACACATATAAGAGTGTAGTCCCACATCATGAGGTGTGGGCTCTAACTAGGGCCATGTTTGAACCTTCAGCAAGCCATTCACTATTCCATCAGGCCAGATGCTTCTGAGGCATGAGGATCTTGGTAAGAACCCATGAACCTCAAGGTTGCAAGCCCATTACTACACTTCCTTTGCCGTAAAATACATCTCTTGGGCAGAGGCAACATTGTGTGTCAATGAATATGGCATTCTGTAAGTCCAGGAATAGTAGTTGTGAAAGAAGAACTGCAGGTAGGAAAATCAAATCTGTAAGTCAAGTATGTGCCTACCCATGAAGTGCAAGGATTTGGGTTTAATATGTTCAGCAGCCACCATGTGGCTGACTGGTCCCCTGGGGGATGGTGAAAAGTGAAATCTCAGAGTTGGTTCCACTGTTTGGCATGTGGGTCACTCATCCCTTTTCCTTCCTTGTGATCTCCTTCTGCTGCTCTCCATGGTCCAAACCCAACCACAAATCAGTGTCAAGACTTTCAGATTTCTCTATTTTCAAAGTAGAAACTCTGAATTCCATGGGACACTCTAGTATCTTTTCTCCCTGTCTCTCATTCCCACCCTCCCTCCACCTTCACTCTTTCCCTTCAGCTATAACACCAGACTATTTTTTGTTTCATTTTTATTGATGCAGTAATTTCCTTCACAATATGATGGGTGAGGATAAATAACTACTTCTGTATAATGCTGTATTTAATTTTTGTTTTGTATTTGATCACTGAGATAACATTCTTTGGTGGCTGTAGTAAACTTTACATGTATTTCTCCATGTCAAATCCCACATTTAAAATTCTCCTGTCATTATTATGGCCCACAGGAAGGTGTGAAATTATGTCAGCAACTCTGTGAAATTTAGTGATGGCTGAAAACCAAAGTCCTTCTAACATTCAACATATGAACATCAGCCAGTAGATAAAATGTATTTTCTCATGTGTGTCTAGTTCTCTCGTTTTATTATGGAGCATAAAGCTGGCATCTAAATCACAGGGAGCTAGAAGTCTACTGGCATTCCATTATACAAGGCCTCCCATTGGAAATCAGGCTTCAGGCACAATAAATAAAACAGAGCTAATGGTGGCAACGAATTGGAGAGCTGAGAATGTATATGGCTATCGTGAGGAAAAGGGTGACTGTTTCATTATTGCTGCTTGGCAATATTTCACTGTTGTATGTGTATGGAAACGATTCACATGATAGAGAACTTTCGTGATGCAATAGTTTTTCTTTTGTGCTCTAACAGGAAAAAGGTAAAATTCAAAACCACAAATTAAATCCTTAACTTCCAGATGAACCTCATCACTGAAGAAATGAATATCGAGCTTTTTAATGATCTGTAAGAAATGCAAAACAATGTCAACATCAGTGTTTTGGACTGTAATGAACCTGTGGTTAACCTTTCAAGATATGCAGCCAGCGGCTTGTGCTACAAAAATGGGCTCCAGATAGAAATGATATTTCTCACCCAGCAGGGTGTTTTCCATTAAATTAAAATGTTCAATATTTCTGCACACATTAGCTTTACTAATTGAAACTAATTTAATGCTCTCAAAAAGCTTAAGAAGCAAATGTGGAGGAACACTGGTATTGAGTGGATTGTGCTGACTGATTAGCAACGTGTTTCTGTAAACAGGCAGCACAGTGGTTGGCCTACCTGTTGGTGTACTGTTAGACCTTGATGAAAAATGTCAATTTGCATTTGCATTAATGGCCTTTGACGTCGGTGCTTCACACACTGTTTGCTGGCCTTCTCAGTAGGTACGGATGCCAGCCTCCCTCAGGATGGCTTGCCATTTGCATTAAGTATTTATCACAGAGAGAAATAGTCATGGCCTGGCACAACACAAACGATGGATTTGGAGAAATCCAAGCAAGTCCCTGGGGATAGAGAAAAAGGAATGTGAGGCTTTTGCTTTCCTGAGATTTGATGGAATCTTTGAAAAGCTGCTCACCCTTTTCAGTTGGCATGACTACAAGTAGTCTACATTTGTTTATGTCAAGTTGTAAAATTTACCATGCCTATTTATATATACATTCAGTAGCCAGTCACGTAGTCAACAAATAGTTTTGTTCAGTGACTACACATATTAGACACAGCTTCAAGAAACTGCTCTGATATAATGTCCAATTCTAGTGGTAAGAACTAGTTGATAAATATCTCTGTGTTGGCATAACCTCAGGGAGAACCTTTCTGTCCCTTCCTAAGAAGATGATCTCTTAGACTGGCTCATTCCAAATGTGAAGCTGAGAATGCCTCCTGTGTGCCATTGCTCTGCATGCGGTTTACTGGAGTGGGGAGGAACACTTGGGGAATTCCAGAACAGAGCTGAATATAAAAGGAAAGGAAAATAGCACGTAAAAAAAAAACGCAAAAAAAAAAAATGAGAAGAGACAGAGCTTGAAAATGAGAAGGAAAGACACAAAAACAGGTAAAAAAAAAAAAAAAAAAAGCAAGAAATTGAAGCAACCCCCTCTAAACCCAGCAGCAACAGAGCACCCTGTGGCTGGTACCAGCAGTGACTCCATTCACCCTCAACTTTTGTTGGGTACATGTCACAGATTTCATTAATTCCTCCCAAAAAAGCAATGATAAATATGTAGGGTATATTTCATATGATAGAATGAAAATGCTTTCTTATGTTCCTTGAGGTGCTATTATACAGACACACCTTCTATCAAAAATATAAGTATGACATAGGTTTTGAAGCTGGCTATCTTCGCCTTGGAAGTGTCGCAACAGATCTACTTACTTACAATGAAGACAGTGCTTCTCACTGGAGTCTTTCAAAATCTCTCCAGAAACAATGATCTTAGGCTATGCTGTTTTATCGGGACTATTGTGAATGTATAAACTACTCATTGCTGGTAATGGTAAGCTGAATGGAAGCTATTGAGTAAGTAAATGTGTCTTCAGAGGTCCTTGTCAGCCTTTGAGAGAAAAAGGACACTCACTTATAAATGCAACAAATATTTATTATAGACCTCCCATATGTCAGGATCTGGCCTCAGTTCTGGAGATAGAGCAGTTGAATAAGAGGTCCCTGCACTAGTAAAATGCTAATCCTACATATTTATCATACTCCCTACCTCTCAGGAGGGACCCATCACCCATGGAAGTGACCTAGACATGTCAGGTTTCAATCCCAGTGTTCTAGGGACTCAATCTTGAAAACATAATTGGTTAGGCCTCTTCTTCTATCTCTGTCTCTTTCTTTTTATTCCACCAATGTCGTAAGGATGAACAGGGTGGCCAAAAGATCCTCCCCTCTCCTTGCGTCCACTCCAAGCACTGGTAAAAAACAAGGTCTATCTTGCTGATTTGAAGAGAAAATGATTCACTTCATTTTCTCCAGTGCCAGAAACTGTGGCAGAATCTCCTGTCCTCATTATGCATGGTGAGTTTCACAGTGGAGGAGGTAATAAGGGAAGTTCTGGTGACATTTTAATTAAGAGACCTAGAAATGCCTAAATCCTACTGTGATATCACTGCTCCCACCTTCCCATCTTCTCAAAGAGCAGTTATGCACAGAGGAAAACAGCCACAGTAAAGAAACCTTTTATATGTGGCTATGATATGGCTCTTCAACTTAATGTACAACTTTTGCACTAGAGGGACACAAGAATAGCTTCATTTTGCTATGCTAAAGAGGCTGAATGTCTTAGACCAAAGCTGGCCATGTTTCCCTGGGATCGGGTGGAGGTTCAGAGGACTTCCTTTCTTTGAAGGCATCACTACCAACTTCCCTGTCTGAAGCCCTCCTTAGTAAATTGTCCTGAGGCACAGTAACAATACCACCATAGCAAACAGACTCAATTACAGGCTGGGCAGTATTTAGCTGTACTCAAATTGCCTCAGCCTATGGCCTTGTCATTTCCATCATTATGGCCCCAAGACTTAGTTCTTATCTTCATCCTAAATCTTGATATTGCAGTACTATGCACTGGGTTCCCATGGTAGCCCGCAAGAAGTCTTTGTTGCCACATGTCCCTCCTGTAATCACTTAGATCCATGATCTCCCTCGGCTTTTGGCTGTCATCCCATGATGTTAAAGGCTTGTGTCCACCCCTCTCCTAGTATTTGGAGCCCAGTCCCCAAAAGTCTATCTAGTGATGAGATCCTTGTTCTCCAAAGCAGACGCCCTGAACATTGACTTGCAGCCCACAGGGCTCTCCACTTGCACACAGCCTCATGCCTCTACTTCTATGCTGCTGTTAGGGCCAGCTTGGAGCTCCAGGGCCAGCCATTGCCTCAAACAGGACCGTTTGGAATTGTACTAACACATTGGGCCTCTCCCACCTGGCTGAATCGCTGCCTCCATCGCAGACCACCATCCACCCCATCCTGTTCTGCTGGATGAGAGTTCCTGACTCCTCCCTTCTGTTCCATGTTGACATAAAACCATCATGCCTAAAATCTAAATTAATGGCACAAAAACCCACACTGTTCTTCCCTCCATGGGACTCTCTTCCCTTCCCAGATTCCTTAAACCTCACGCCTTCTCTTCTAATCAAGGTGTTTCTTCAAGAAAAGAACACGGGAGATGTGTCACTTCAACGTGGCAGTAAACTAACAGGGCTTCATCGTAAACCAGGTATTTGGAGCCCAGTCTACTGTGGATTCTCCACAGTGAAGGGTGAGCTCTCCTGGTTACAGGAGCATGGAACATTCAGAACATATGTGGGGGATGTTTGGGGACATAAGGGTTTCCATGTGTCCCTAACTCACCTTCAAGTAAGATGGAGACAGGCTTACAGGGATGCTACGCTGAGATTATTTTTCCCTGAAGAAGCCCCTCAGCTTTCCGTCTTCCTCAACCTGTCTTCTGTGTTGTGCAGAGGTAACCAGATCCTCGTCAGAGTGTCCAGAAGCTCCCTGCACACACAATGCAGAGTGTGAAGCCAGAGCCAGCCAGGCAGGGCACATTACAGTCTCCAACCTTGTAGAGACTCACGATTCCTTCTTAATCTCAGCATTCACAAACCCATAAATGAGAGCAATGGTACTTGCATTATCTGTTGAGAGAAAAACATATTGGCAAAAGTTACGAGATGCATATAAAAGTTCTATATAAAATGTTGAATTTGTTAATCATAACAAGCTATACACATATAGAAATAAATAGCTGTATGCGTGGGCAAGAAAAGCTGTCAGCCCAATCCATAAGTCACGTACAGTGTACACATGAGGGGTCCATATGCCTGGCTCTTACTCCACAGCCCTGAAAGTTTCTTGTTCTGAAGGTATGTGCCACTGGGTCTGTGTTATTAGATTGTGCATAATTTCCCACTAATAGTAGGAGACTTCCTGGTCTGTCCCAAGATGTTTGGCATCACAAGCACAACCTGAGCCCCATTTACCAGTTACAGACAGGAAGTTTGGGGCATGGGGAGGGATTCATTCCTCCCAGTCTTGGATCCATGTCCCTGCTAACAACAGTGGAGGGGCGGGGGTAGATGAAAAGTCTTCAGTGAAGAAGAGATCGCTTCTCTTCTCAGAGCAAAGCCAAGGAACAGTAGGCTCTGTGCTTAGTTCATTGACATATCTTCAACATTTATTTGGTCTGAATTACTAGGAAATACTGACCCTCATCCAGAAAGTGATAACCAAATTGGTAACCTTTCAAATGAGCAGCATTTTCTCTTCCTTTGGCCACTCAGTGACCTATTCTATTAAATGGAGATTAGCAATTTCTTCTCTCAAAGATGTAGTACCAAAACTACATGGAGAAGATAGAAACATATTTTCACACTTCTCCTTTATCCATAAGGGAAAAAGAAGTTATCCCTAAAAGTCATTTCTTTTCCCTTGGTGAGGCAGCCGCTGGTATTTCTATTATCCCTTGTTGGTGTTTGGATCAACTGTCCTCTACATCAATTTATGCTCTTAGTAAGTCTTCAATGAATCATCAGAATCAAGGCTTGTCTAAGGCAACATATTTCAAAGATAGAAAAAGTTTCCAAAGATTTATACATCTACTTCTGAGAAAGAAATATAAATTAAGCCTTCAATTTCCTTCCTGAAGCTCATGAATAAAATCTACTTTCTGGGTAAGTTCTATGAATAAGACTTCCTCAGGGCCTAAATATACTGTTGTTTATTAATTTCATTTTCCTGCCAAGAAAGTATTTTTTCCAAAGAGGCAGTGAGTCTAATTATTGCCAAGAATGATCACAACCCAAGTTTAGAAATTACGGAGTTGAACAATATGCACCTTAATTCTCTACTTTCTTGAAATAAATGCATTCTGCATTCTTTTGGTGCTTATTGAGAATCAGTTGTGTGTCAGGTCTTGTTAGCAATGAAAATAGGAAGGTGAAAAAGACACAGTCCCTTTAAGTTCTGGGAAAGCACAGTGTGCAAGGGAAGCACTGGAGAAGTAACTGGTCCAATCTTGGGGAGACGGAAGAAAGCTTCCATCACTGAGGGCAAGGGACACCTCAATGAGACTTAAGGAAGAGTAGAAGTCATGGGACAATCTAGACCAGTGCTCCTCAAAGCAAGTACCATGCATGGGTGTCAATTCATAAACTGCCTGTTATCGTAACAAGATAAGTATAAAATTGAGAGTAGGCATTAAGAAGCTTTTAGAGCAATTGGACAAATATCCAAATGTGATCAGCAGACTTCTATTTTATGTTTTTATATTTGTTTGTTTCTAATAACTATTTTCAATTGTATTTTATAAAAAGATGTAGTCTACAATGGATTGGGAATTTAGAAAAAGAAAAACTGGCACTTTCTCATCCAGGATTTGAGAAGCAGTGATCTTGTGTGTGGCTAGGGAGGGCTGGGAAGAGGGCACAGAGCAACAGATTCTAAAGCTTGCCTCTGAGGCTGGAAAGACAGGCATGTTCTGGGAACTGCAGTTCCTCCCAAAGCATCATCTCCTAAAATACATTCTCTCCTTCCTACAGCTCACAAGCAATCCTTTCTCTGATCATGGTAATTCTTAACATTGTACATGCTCTCTATGTGTCTGGCACTCCATTAAGCACTTTATCTGTGTGATCTAATTGTTATAACCAGATGACAAGGTAAATGCTCTTATTTTTCTTATTTTGTAAATGAGAGAAGTAAGATTTGGCAAGGTAAAACAACTTACCTAGGTTACATCCAGAATCCCAACCCAAGAATCTCTGTCTCTATTTATTCATCTAGTCTATTTCCTAGAAGTTGTTATACATTAACTTCATAAAATCTTTGTATTTGGGAAACTCCATCCCTTCATTAAGAAGTTGGAGAAAAGCTTCCAATTCTTCTCATCTTCTTAGCTATCCCCAGAGTTATCTCTCCTTCAAACAACACAACTTTAAAAAGAAAAATATCTATAACCCTAGTGTTGTTTCTTTTCCCTGCAGATGATCCAAGCTTTCACCTGTTTACCTTTGAGATCTGCTGTGAAACATAATCATGGCTTGAGCTACCAAAAAGCACATATGTCAGTTTGATTTCTGATCCATTTGTTCCAAGTACATTTGCTAGTATAACTTGCAGTCACTGGGGTTTTGAGAACTTTCATGAGGATCCTTTTTTTCTTCTTCTTGCTCGTTTCAAACTAAATCAGAGATGATGATGACTGCAATAAACTCCACTGAGATGATTAGTGCTCCCTGAAATGTGGCTCTCTCTGGCAGGGCTGCACTGATTGTTCATCACCCAGCTGGTTTCCTTTATACTTTATACCACCTGCCACAGTGGTACTCCTGGTCTCAGGGAGGTTGCCAGCTGACAGGGTAAACAAACAGCCAAACACCCTGATTGCAAAACTTTCTAAAATGCAAACATCTCTCCCAAGTGCCAAGACAGAAAGCTTTTTAAGTTTAATTAAGTTTTTCCAAATGTATTCCAGTCATCAGAGAAGTACAACTCCCCATGAATTTTGCCTGTGGTGATAAAAAGGTTTGAGTGTATTCCATGAGGTGACGACCATATGGGCAGCTTCTCTGAAAGAGATAATGAACAGAGCTATATTTCAGAGAATTTCAAGGAGTTTTTCAGCAGGAAAAGGTATTAAAGGTTATCTCAGATAATCTGAACTATTTTATAAAAATCAAATTTTAAAGGAAATCATCTCGTCTCCCTTCTTACACATATTATGATAACAGCACATTCAACCTGGGACCCATAATTTTATCCCAATTCTTTACTTTCTGGATTAAATTGCTGGGGAGGGGGAGGAAAATTGGCATTCGGAGCATGC
This sequence comes from Homo sapiens, assembly GCF_000001405.40. Taxonomy (NCBI): domain Eukaryota; kingdom Metazoa; phylum Chordata; class Mammalia; order Primates; family Hominidae; genus Homo; species Homo sapiens. The sequence goes on from NC_000002.12 coordinate 108,056,109, forward strand.
AACGTTCTGACCAACTGCTGAATCTGAAGGGAATCACAAGCTTCATTTAATAAGATGTTTTTTCCTCCAATTCAATTTTGACCTTCACCTTGCTCCTTTCACTTTCAAGTCCACATACCACACTCACTGCTTTAGTCATCACATAGTATCTCTTCAGAGGGGGAGCTCACTATGTTGCCCAGGCTACTCTTGAACTCCTGGGCTCAAGTGATCCTCCCTCCTCAGCCTCCCACATAGCTGGAACTATAAGTGTGTGCCACCACACCCTGCTTCTTTGATGCATTTCAAAAATCTTATTTCAAAAGGTGTTTAAATCTAGGATGTCACTGACTACATAACTAAAGTAAAAAGTTGACTAATTTAAATAAATTAGCATTATTTTGCCTTCATTCCCAATTTTTGTCTTAATATTCTTCCTTTTTTTTGGCTTCAAAAATCTGGGATGGAAGGGTTGTTTAGTTGATTTGATCATTTGTTGATCAGAATAATTATCTCTTCATTTCTAAAATAATACAAACTCTTAACTTTAAAAGATGTTCTTTTAAAATAACTCACTGCAATATCCTCATTTTAAGTGGATCCAAAACATTTAGACAAGATGAGACTTACTGCATCCTCATACTTTTTAGTTTTATTCTTAACCAACTCAAATATTATGCTTTCCTACATTTTCAATTCCTTTCTTTAAAAATAGCAGTTACCAATTAGAGGATTCAGAAAAATCAGTGAATGCAATAGGAAAAAATATTTACATTTGTGTATTTTCTATAATTCATTAATATTTGGAGATTTATGTGGTTTATAGCTATTGTATCTTGTGTTTGACTTCAGTGTGATGTCCTCTACCAGCTCATTCAATTACATTGTTTCATTTATTTTCAGGATAACCATATGAAAATATTTTTTAAATCCATACATATGTTCCAGTTAATTTGATCTAAAATGCAAAACATTGACTTTTCACTTCATAATGCAGATTCTAGCAATATGTGTCTTCCATGAGCCCTCCTTTTCCAGTTGTTTTAAGGTGGAGTGGCTTTACCAAGGACAGAAGTGTCCACCTCCTTTGTCTCAAGCCCATTTTCAAATGTCTGAAAAATTACGTCCTTTCGCAATTCTCCACCAGCTTAAAGGGTTACGGAATGCTATAAGCAGAAAGGACATCCAGGGGTCTCAACTAATAACTAATGCACATTAGAACCACTTGGACATGAGGCATTTTGTTAAAATGCCAATATCCAGGCCTCAACCCCAACCCAAATGAGTTAAAATTACTTAAGGGGAGAACCTAGGAATTAGTACTTTGTTTTGAAACTTTCCAGGTAGTTCTAATATGCAGCCAAGTATGAGAACAACAGCAGAAAGCACGTCAGCTTTGGAGTTGAAAACACCTGAGTTTGAAACCAGTGCCTTAACCCTGTGCTATAATTGAGGATTGTAAATTGATATAATTGAGGATTATAAATTAGTAAATTGATATAATTTACTAATTTTTCTGAACCTCAATTTTCTTATTGATGAAATTGAAGTAATTATCTTATACAGTTAATGAAAGAATTACATAAAATGGCATATGTGGAGGAACCCAGCACAATATTAGGCAGAAAGTACATTTCCAGTAACTAATAGATTTCCTCACGTGTCCTGTCTGACATTCACAAACTGCCATTTCGCTGAGAATGATGATGATATTAGAAGTATAATGTCCTACATCACACAATCAAAGACATACCTATCTGCTTATGTTTTTCAAATAACAAGCTATGAGGTTTTCTAGAAAAGACAGTGGGCACATTTTGCACAGATTACATTCACCAATGACAAGCTACTAGAAATCTTCCCCCAATATACAGCACAATTTGTTCAATGAAAAAAGGCTTATCTCGTGCCTAAGAGTCAATGCATAAGAACTTTTGAAGCTACATTTTTCAATAGCATATTGAAATTCAAGATTAAAAGTAATTTGGAAAAAATTCCAGAAATGTACATTATGTTCTCATTCTGTGAGAACGTGTCACAAAGCATGTGGGCTTAGCAACTACACTGAAGCTAAATAGAGCTTTTAGGCAAGAGTCAAATTATGAATTTATACTCTAGCCAATTACTCAAAAGCACTTCTGTGTCCGACTTGAGAGACCACGAGATGTTTTCATTGTCCATGATCTCATTTTTATTTTATTACTTGTTATTTACAACCTAAGCCACGAGGGCAAGTTAAAGGTCCCAGAAGAGGGAATAATTTCAGAAATTGGAAACACAAGGAAAAAGGTAATAAAATGCACTTGCTCTGACTCCATAATTTGGAAGTAGGTGATAACTGTATCTAGGAATGTCCAGCATCAATAAAAGTTCAATAATGTCATTGAGATCAGTGAAAATTGTTTTGCTTATTTAATAAGACACGGTGATTTCAAGGCCATGGTCTGTACATCTTGGATTTATGTGCTTCCTTAACTAGCGCAGTTGCTGATGTTGAAGTTGCATTCCTTAAAGTTTAACTCTGACTTTATATGAACGCAGGCTGGGCCTTTGCCTCACCTATTCTAAATATGTGATCGTTTGGTGCTGGTGGGAATTCAGATCACTTAGATGGTTACATAGTAGTGCAGGGAGGCAAAGAGGCTGGAGGAAAAGCAAGGGAGCTATTCGTAGCCAGTGCCTCCTACTCCACTGAATGCTGCCCAATGGAATTAATAGAGACTGCTTCTGGTTTGATGCACTGCTGCCTATCCTAAACTAGAACCATAACTTAATTGATATTAGTCATACATTATATCTGATTACCTCTAGAAGAAATTGTCATAAGTGCACATTAGTGAGGAGTAAGGAAGGCTTTTGCTAATAACACTACATTTCAGACTGAGTTAACAATTAATCATCTACCCCTGACTTTTACTAAAGGGTAAGTCATCTATTTCATATGGAACAACAAAGACACTATGCATAATTTCTTAAGAAAGGAAGCCCAAAAATGTTATATGTCAGATTTTGAAGCATTTGCTTTCAACCTCAAGTTTCATTTATCTCACATGCTTAAATTACTCCTAACGCAGTGATTGTCAAAGTGTGGTCTCCTGACCAGCAGTAACAGCATCACCTGTGAACTTGTTACAAGTGCAAATTCTCAGGCCCCATTCCAGAATGAATGAACCAGGAACTCTGGTGGCAGTGCTGTAAATTTGAGTTTTAACAATCTCTCCAGGTAATTATATGTACACTAACATGTGAGGTCCACCACTTTAGTGAAGTTGACATGTAAAGATACGCATTAATTGTCAGATACTACAGAATAATCTCAGGAAGCTGCATTTACAGACACCATTAGTTATGTCATGCTTCTTTCAATATTATCTGGTGTCCTACTCTGAAGAGAGAAGGACTGACCCAGGATTTATTCAAAATTCATATTTAAGCACTTGTTAATTGCTAGGTATGAAAGAAGCAAGGGCAATTCAGATAAGTACTTGCACTTGGGAGGATTAGATGAGAAAAAAATTATAATAGGGCAATAAAATATCACACCACTACTGACACCTGTATACTTAAATGAACAATCACTACTGACACCTGTATACATAAATGAACAATTTAGAACCAGGAAACAAACCATGCCACTTTAGAAGAAACTCAAGTATTCACTTGGGGTGGCTGCACACAGAAGTCAAAGGGTTATTCAATATATGATATTCATGTTCATCTTCTATTCATTTAGGTGCAATGAGAAGCACACTTGGCAGCAGAGGAGCAACCTAGGTTATTAGTGGCCATCCTATGTCCAGCAATAAGGCTACCTGGGATTGTATGTTAATTCTACCATGGGATTGTCATGACCTGCAGTCCCAAGCCTACTCCAACTCTAGGCCACTCCTGACCATCACAAAAAAATGTTATCATCAGGGGCAGCCTCCGCCGCAATACCTTAGAGACTGAAAACAGGTTCCACTGCTCCATCTGATGCCCCTGAACTACTGTCTGCTGTAGGAAAGTGCTGGTGACTCCATATTGCTTACCAGTAAGAAAATACTATTTTCCCCATCATCCCATCATTAATTATCTAAACAGAGCCTCGGTGAATGCCCCTTTGTATAGTGCAGCTGCCATTCAGTTCATCAGGCCAAGCCCTGTCCTATTTGGATTTGGCTTGCTTTCCTTCTCAGACTGCCCATAATGCTCTCATTTTAGAATGCCTTGTGCTCAATCCCATCTGTATCCAAATATATCTCCCAAACAAGCCTTGACTGGCTATATGACATTTTCACATGACTAACTACTTTGTTTGGGATTACCAAAACTACCTGTCAACATGAAAATGTCATCAAAGAATATCACCCATTAAGCCACTTACTGCAACTAAAATATGAACTCAGGTAAAATTATTGGTGTAACAGGCCAGGCCTTACCTAGGGAGAATGGAACTTTCAACAGTATTTTCTCTGTAAGCATCTGGTCAACCTAGAAGCAGTCTCAGAAGACTATATTTTTAAAATTAGGGTTGGCACAAAGTCTAAAAGGTGACTAGAAAGAATCATCAGATGACAGATGTCCCATGTCTTCTAAGAGCTCAAAAGCACTGTGAGAAATCACAGACCTTGGGATTAAACCTGAGCTTTAATCTTAATTTGCAGTGTGACCTTGGACAGTTTAACTGTTTGTACTTTATTTTCCTTATCTGTAAAAGTGAATATCAAAATATCTACTTTGCAAGGTTTCTGTCCAAATTAAATGAGAGAGAATATAAGGGTGTGTTTAACTGTGCCAGGAACAACTTTTTTAAAAAAAATCAACAAAAACAAAAGACGTTTTTTCAAGTAACACCTTTGCCACCTATCATTTTTCCATTTTCTGTAGTCTGTACCTGTAGAACCCCTAAGGCAAGTGATAAAATGGGTTAATTAGAAATCTAGGATAGCAAATAAAGGAAAGATAGAGTCAAGCCATTGAGAATCCTTGCAAGTCAACAGCATGAAAATAACTAACGGGTCATTTTAGGAATCACAGAGCCTCCCATTGAAAAGAACGCACAAGGGGTCATCTGGTCCAAATTTAGAAACTGGTGAGATTTTTCCTTCCCACATGCCCTGTCTCTGACCAGCAGTGTTACAAAATAGTCACACTGGGACTGCCAGTGGCTTCTCTGCAGGAATAGATGCTTTAGCAGAGTTAACTTTAAAATAATGCAAGCAAAGAGGAAATGTGTATTACAAATGCCTTAGATGGATTTGATCTATATACATAATATCTCCTTCCAGTGCCTTAGTTTTATGATTTGGCAGTGGAAGTCATTTTGACACGAGGTCTTTAATAACATTGGTGTTCATTCCTAGACTATTTGATACACCCAATTAATAGATTCTGCAGATGATCTGTCACCCTGTGAGACTTCTAAATGAATCAAACTCATTAAGTGCTCCTCTTTTATGAATAGCGCAAGTCCCACTGCTGCGATGTAGAAATGCTATTAGTAGAGCTGGCCTCTGCTTCTTGTTTGAACACATCTTACAAATAAGTCAGCACTGAAAGGGATATGAATCATGATAACTGGGTCTGTCACATAAGGCTGGAACAAATGGCTCCGAGCCTTGTCTGAGGGGCAGTGATACACTGCATCAGTGGCTCTGGGTGAAATCCATATCTAAGGCAGAGATTCTGCTGGGAAAAGCCTGCCTGCAATTAAGTCTGCTGTCTCTAAACCACTTCTCAGTCAGAAATACCATTGCTAAAGCCTTCTTTCTAAGAAAAGAAAGCACAGAATCATTGATTATTAGATTAGGAAGGAACCAGAAGATCATTCCACCCAGTGGTTATCAGCCCTAACTATAAATTAGAATCACCTGGGATGTTTTAGAAAAAAGCAATATCCACTAAACAAGTGATACCGATCTCAAAGTATTAAAAGAATACAGAGATTGTTCTATAGCCACAATTTAGTTATGTTAAAAAGAGCTATCAAGAAAGTCCCAAATGTTTAGAAATTAAGCAATAGAACTTAAATAGGCCATGGATCAGAGAACACATTTGAACCAAACAATAGTGGCCACAGAATATATTCATATGTTGGAATGCAGCAAAAGGAACATTTAAAGATAAATTTATGACTTTAAATGGATAAATAGAAAAAATACATAAAATCAATTATTTGTTATTCAACCATAAGAAATTAGAAAAAGAGAAATGAATCCCAGAACAAGCAAAAGACAGGAAATACCAGAGATGAATGGAAATCAGTAAAATTGGATATGGACTAGCAATAGAGAAAATTAATGAAATCAAGAGTTATCTGTGTTGGCTCTTCAAGAAAATCAATAAAATGGATCAACCTCTAGAAAAACATAATAAGAAAAAGTGAGAAAGAAAACCAAATTACTAATATCAGGAATAAAGGAAGAGACAGCAAAGATCCCATAGATAGTAAAAGAAAAGCAAGCAAAATATGAACAATGTTATGCCAATAAATTTAAAAATTTAGATGAAGTGTATAAACTCCTTGAAAGACACAATTAACCGGAATTGACAGAAAAAATAGAATGCTGTAACATCACTATCTGTCAAGGAAATTGAATGAGTAATTAACAACATTTTTATAAGGAAAACTCTAACCCAAGATATTTTTCTGGTAGATTCTGTCAAATATTTAGGCAAAAATACTAGAAATTTTACACAAATTTTATAGAACATAGAGGAAGAGGTATCATTACCCAATGCATTTTCTGAGGCAATAATGTAATATCAACACCAGACAAGACCACTATACAAAGAAAAAATTACAGATCAATATCCTTCAAAAGAGATACCAAAATCCTGAACAAAATATTGGTAAATCAAATCCATCAAAATATAATTGTAATAATGTACCATGACCAAGTTTGCCATATAAACAGAACAGATGGAAAAAATCTTATGATCTTCTCAGATTATACAGACACAGGAAAGCATTTGACAGCATTCAATACCCTTTCATAATACAAATGTTTAGCAAATTAGAAAACAGAAGAAAATTATCCAATCAGATAAAGAGCATCTTCAAAATACTTCCAAATAATGTCATATTTAATGACAAATATTCAATGCTTTCCCATTAAATTTTGAAATCCACATAGATTTTAATTAGACAAGTAGGAAATGACTTCTGTGAGAAGCCTAAAGGACTATCTAAAATATTTAAAATATTAGATCCCATTTGTCAATTTTGGCTTTTGTTGCCATTGCTTTTGGTGTTTTAGACATGAAGTCCTTGCCCATGCCTATGTCCTGAATGGTATTGCCTAGGTTTTCTTCTAGGGTTTTTATGCTTTTAGGTCTAACATTTAAGTCTTTAATCCATCTTGAATTAATTTTTGTATAAGGTGTAAGGAAGGGATCCAGTTTCAGCTTTCTACATATGGCTAGACGGTTTTCCCAGCACCATTTGTTAAATAGGGAATCCTTTCCCTATTTCTTGTTTTTGTCAGGTTTGTCAAAACTAAAGAGCTTCTGCACAGCAAAAGAGACTACCATCAGAGTGAACAGGCAGCCTACAGAATGGGAGAAAATTTTTGCAATCTACTCATCTGACAAAGGGCTAATATCCAGAATCTACAAAAAACTCAAACAAATTTACAAGAAAAAACAACCCCATCAACAAGTGGGCAAAGAATATGAACAGACGCTTCTCAAAAGAAGACATTTATGCAGCCAACAGACACATGAAAAAATGCTCATCATCACTGGCCATCAGAGAAATGCAAATCAAAACCACAATGAGATACCATCTCACACCAGTTAGAATGGCAATCATTAAAAAGTCAGGAAACAACAGGTGCTGGAGAGGATGTGGAGAAATAGGAACACTTTTACACTGTTGGTGGGACTGTAAACTAGTTCAACCATTGTGGAAGTCAGTGTGGCGATTCCTCAGGGATCTAGAACTAGGAATACCATTTGACCCAGCCATCCCATTACTGGGTATATACCCAAAGGATTATAAATCATGCTGCTATAAAGGCACATGCACACGTATGTTTATTGCAGCACTACTCACAATAGCAAAGACTTGGAATCAACCCAAATGTCCAACAATGATAGACTGATTAAGAAAAATGTGGCACATGTATGCCATGGAATACTATGCAGCCATAAAAAATGATGAGTTCATGTCCTTTGTAGGGACATGGATGAAGCTGGAAACCATCATTCTCAGCAAACTATCGCAAGGACGAAAAACCAAACACTGCATGTTCTCACTCATAGTTGGGAATTGAACAATGAGAACACTTGGACACAGGAAGGGGAACATCACACACTGGGGTGTGTTGTGGGGTGGGGGGAGCGGGGAGGGATAGCATTAAGAGATATACCTAATGTAAATGACGAGTTAATGGGTGCAGCACACCAACATGGCACATGTATACATATATAACAAACCTGCACGTTGTGCACATGTACCCTAGAACTTAAAGTATAATAAATATATATAAATAAAAAATAGAAATAAATAAAATAAAATATTTAAAGTATCTCATAGGAGAGTAGGCATTCCACCTGCAGCCAAACTAGTTGCCTCCACCTCTTAGAGACAATACCCATTCAGGTACAGAGTGAAAGATGGGGCCACCACAACATCAATATTTTCAGCACACTTCGTGTAGGGCAAAGTCATGTAACTACATGTCCCATGGTCCTTCATATATGTTGCAAAAGGTCAGTGCCCAGGACAACAGTCCCACATCCACGAAAGTGTGTGAAGGAACTGGCTGTGAATTAAAGAGGATATGGTGATCCTGAGAGTAAAACACCATAAAAAACCACTCAGGCCTGGAGTCCAGCCTGAGGTTAGTCCAGAGGGAACACCAGCTTTCTAGATCCAGAGGGATCAGAGCAGAGGACGAGGAGCAGCACCTATAGGCACTCCCAAGCCTCTCTGCATGAGGCTAGGGACTGGTCCTTTAATGGCAGCCCAGACTTGAGGGGTGAGGTCCAGCCATGAATCTTCCCCAAAAAGGCAAATCTTTAGGAGGCTGTGTTCCATCCTAGGGAGGCTGAGTCCAACTCTCAGCCTCTCCTCTGCCTTTGGACTGCCCTGAAATGGTAGAAAATGAAACTTTCCAGGAAGCAGCTGGATGGGAACAGGCAGGAAAAGACAGGCTGCGTCTCCCGTAGTGTCTCCCTGCCCTTTGGGACATAGCAGGTGGCAGAGACTTCAGAAAGAAGCCCAGCTGGTCCGCAGCTTCTCAGAGTTCCCTGGGATGCAATGGAAGCCTCAGGATAGAGGAAGAACCTATGTGATCACCCAAGCCTCTCCTCTCAAGAGAATGCCAAGGGCAGGCACATGAAGGAATGGGCAAGTTCTAGATTTATGCTGGCCAGAATTTCAGATGCATTTATTTATTTTAAGCCATCAAAATATCCTTTTCTGGGGCAACAGATGAGGAAACACACACACACACACACACACACACACACACACACAGAGAGAGAGAGAGAGAGAGAGAGAGAGAGAGTAAGGCTTTACTAATCATGTTTGAGGGTCTGCCCTAAGCGGACATACCATGCAGCTTAACCTATAACTAGACTTACTCTAACTTCGTGGAAGGGCATCCAAATCCCTTAAGCTCCGGATACCTGGAAACCCCTGCAGACTTGCAGCAGATCCCAGCCACACTTTTAAGCTGAAACCCCTGTCTCCTAAATCCCCATGGTACCTTGTGTAGCCTTCAAGGGGGGTTATAGAGTAGCATGGGAAAGGAAGACTCTTGCAGGTCTGAGCAAGAGTGCAAGCGCTCTGAAGCATCCCCTCCCTCCCCGACCTCCTTGCTGAAAACTGTTCAGGACAGACTGTGGTATGAGTGGAATATTTGGGGTGGGGGTCTCTGGGGAAGTAATAATTAGAGAAACACCACTGTCAAGTGAGTGAGAGATTGTCTGGGGAGGTGAAAAAGAGACTGTTTTTGGCAAAGTAAAATTGCCAAAAAGGAGCCAAAGTCAACCACAGAGACTGGGATTGGGGCCATGTCAAAGGATACAAAACTTCAGTTAGACAGGAGGAATAAATTCAGGAGATCTATTGTACAGTGCAGTGATTATAGTTGATAACAATGTGCTTGTTGAGTAGTTGAAACTTCCTAAGCGAGTATATTTTACATGTTCTCACTACAAAAATAAGAGTGTGTGAGATAACAGATATCTTAATTAGTTTGATTTAGTCATTCCACAATGTGCACATATATCAAACATCATGTTGTACACCATGAATAAATACAAATTTTGTCAACTTAAAAAATTAAGACAAATAAATTTCAGGTTAAAATTGAAAAAAGTTATTTAGAAATTATAAGAAATCCTTAGAATATAATATTTTCAAGAATAAATATATATAGTATGATTCCAGTTTTATGTGTGAGTATAATCTTCAGGTGCCCAAATTATTGGACACAAAGTGGTATGATTTTAGAAAAGTAGACAAAACAACAGTAGGACAAAACTGACTCTAATAAAAGAATTCTGCACACACAAAAATAAAGAAGAAAGAAAAGGAACAGGATAGCAATGCCCCAAAGAGAGCACCTGCACCAGGTGGTCCTGCCATCAACAAACTCAGGAAGCCAGTCCGAAGGTGGCCGTTGGATGTATAGGGTAAACTGCTGCACAGAGAAGCTGGCTACAGCCACTACATCCCCTACAGATTAGAACCCACAGTGGCCTCAGACACAACCTATCTCATTTACTCTGCCAACTAAGTTAACCTTGGAATTTAGAGTATGTGATACTCTAAACGGGGAAAAACAAATTCCAGAGGTGCATCAGGAGTTTTACCAGAACCCTGGTAAAATCTCTCCCTCTGAAGCAAGGTTGGCCTGAAACTGCCCTTAGTTCTGAAATTGATAAGGACCACATCTTAACCATTCATCCTCTCTACAGTTTAACGATTCCTCCCAATAAAAGGTCATGCTTGCAGGACTGATCGGTTGGCCAACAGGATTCTCAGCATAAAAATTTTTAGACATTTCTTGGTTGATTTGGTTGAACTTCTTGTGTGAGCTAACATTTATCAGGGAAGATTGGGTAAGTTGGTTTATGAAAGCATAGGGGTCGTCAGAGCCCATTAAGTAGGCACAATTATTAATTAAACAAATGAAGCTCCTCTTGTTTACCTTGATTTCCCTGGGGTTCCTGAGGATGCCTGCTCACAGCTTCATTACCAGTAGTCTCTGGAAGGGGTTCCAAGGATTTATGGCTGCAGCTTTAGCAGTCAGGTTGGAGAGCTCCTTCTGTAACTATGTGACCTAGGAACAGAAAGTCATTCCAGCATGCTAGAGGCAGGATGTACCTCAGAATGCCATGTGTATGCTCTTTCTACACTGAAATGTGCTCTGTGAATTTAGCTAGCACTTGACTTTGCGATTTGGCTGCATAATATCAATAGAAATTACTTGCAGCCTGTCTTTATTCCTTTGTTTCAGATGACACCTGATTAGAATTTTAGCAAAATCCCACCTATAATGGTTCTATATTTAGACCTCCACAAAAGACAACACTGTTAAATTGTTGGACCTTGAGCTAGCATTGTTTTTATAAAGATGTCGGCACCTTATTTCTGTTTCACTGTTGTTTTTCTTAAAGTATATTTTAACTTCAGAATTCTATTTTGACAGTTTATTTTGCAGAATGCTGTGTGGCTCGGAAATGAAAACAGAGTAAATTCTTGTTTCCATTAGAACAGAAAACAGGCTCCAGAGGGGCAGCTTAAACCAGACCTTATAAACTGAGAGTGGGCCTTTGTGGGCCTTCCGATACCCCACTCTGAATGCTGCAAGTCCCCTGATGTCTCACACTAACAACGTCCAGTCCAGCCAGAGATGCTCCAGAGAAAAGACTGAAGCCATCTCACTGTGTCTCGTAGACTGACCAACCATGCCAGTTTGCCTGCTACCGAAGGGTGTTTTGGGATATGGAACTGTCACTGGTAAAGCTGGTAGAGTCCCAGGATACAGGCCCAAACACTGATAATGGGACAGGCCCAGGGAGCAACACATTTCACAAAGAAATGCTGGAGCGATGTCATCATGAGGTTGCTGTCCACGGCCATTAAGTGAAATGTCTTTGTATCTTTCCAGTCATTCGTCAGGTCTGAGTAACCTCAGCTACCCTGGATTCCAGCTCTTCTTCTGTGAAATGAAGGAGTAAGTGGACCGGATTCCTCCCAGGCCTCCTCCAGGTCTAACACTGATGTCTGGCTATCATCAGCAGATAAACACTGTAAGGGAAAGCAAAGGGAATCAAAAGAAGCAAAAGGGCAACACTTCAAGTCAGATCACACTTTCTTCACTGCAGAAGAAGAAAAATTGCTGTTAGAAAATGGATCCATTATTGATTTTAGCAACTAGAGAGCTAAGCAATAATAACTAACATTTTACAACACATCAGTGCATAAAGCATTTTCACACATATGCCCATTTGTGATTCTCAAGACATATATCCAACACACATAAAGCAGATCTTGTTATGAAATCCATTTTACAAGCGAGCAAAAAAAGAAACTCAGCTGTGAGGAGTAACTTGCACGACCTCAGCATTATCAGAAACGGCCAGGAGCAGAGCCTCTGGGGTTGGGCTACCTGGGTTCGAGTCCCGGCTCTGCCCTTAACAGCCACGTGATATGTGATGGTCCTGGCTGTACTTTCGGGTTCTCCTCTGCAAAGTGCGGGTGGGGTTAACATCCTTTCTACCTCACGAAGTTGTTTTGAAAATTGAATATACACATAAAGCCTTCAAACAGTGCTTATCACATCAGAGTTCCCAGCATTATGCATCACCACCCACTACTATCTAGTACGTGAAACTAGATTTAAAAATAAAAATGCATATTATCTCAGGGATAACACATAGTCCTGAGGACTTTGTTTTCAGACACTCTTCTGCCATTAACTAACTGTATAAACTTGATCCCTGTTTTGAATTTAATTAAAACTACTAAATTCCTTTTCTGTTTGTCAATATTTTTTGTTTCTAATGCCAAGACCATTTAAATGCATTCCTCATTTTGTACTCGGTGCACAAATTACTTGCTGAAACTTACAGAGTAGAGAAATAGTTGATATAATGAAATAGAAACTATAAGTTTTACTGTAATGATTCCAAAGTTTCAGGTGACATATTGTCCCTCTAAATATACGCACTATTCAGCTAGTGAAAATCAAAGTTAAATAATTTCATTTTCTGATGTTGATTGTTTATTTTTGTTTTAATTTTTTAGAAAGTTGTTTAAAAGAAATAGGACTGCTTGCCCTACATATAATGGATCCATTATAGATGAATATCTTTTTTCAAATACTAGTACTTGAAACTAAAAAGGCCATTTTAAAATTGCCCATAAGTAAGTTTGACATTTGTGGCTAATGTCTACCTCCTTTGACTCAGTAATTCCATTTCTGGCAAAATGTCTTAAGAAAATAGCTTGAAAAAAAAATTACACACAAAAAGGACAGCCCACTGGCATTTAAGTGATTTTTAATGTGGCACTCTATAGACATGAGGAAATCTGATGCTTAAAACCAGTGCATGAAGTACGAATGGTTATCCCTGTTGCCACACGAGGAAGGTGAGACTGAGAGGACCTGCCCATGGACCAGGGCTCCTGCAGGCAGGAAGAGGATCTGCAGCCGCATCCACATCACCTTTCATTCCGTGCCTTCTTCATTGCTATGAAGATCAAGCAAGATAATGTGCATCAGGTGTTTTGAGAATTACAAATATTATCAAAATGAAAGACTACAAGTGGCCCTTTTATATCACAAGACATAAAACTCTACAAGATCTCAAAAAACAATTGCATCAAAATTTAATTAAGATCATTTACATTTAAAGAGATATTTCTATTCAAAAATTTTAAGATGCATTTTACAAGTCTCTTCAGAATTTCTGTTAACAGTAGGGGCATTTCTATTTAGTAGAGGCAGTGCCTTTTCAGTCTTTTGACAGTAGCAGTGGTAACTGTGAAATGAGCAATACAGCATAATGGAGAGTAATGTCTCATCTCTAAGGAGGAAAATCTTACGCTTTGACGGGATGTGACAGAGCAATCCTTCTGTGATACTACAAACCACTTCTCCAACATGCAAATGTGCTAGTGGGTTAAGTAAGGAGGGGATAGCACTGCTTTGAATTCCATTACTTAAGCCCGTTAAAACGAATAATGAAAATAAAACCTGTCCCTTTCTGCTGCTCCCTGTAACTCTCTTGCATAAATACAGTGGTTTCCAAACTTGCTCACACACTTCTATCCTTAAGAAATTTACAGCACATCCTCTCAAATTTTTATATTTATGAGTTGTGCATCTATACTACCATCATTAACCAAAATCTTAATACCAAATATACTTTACAAGTGAGGAATGTCAATCACAATTTTGATTACAAATATACTTATCAATTAGATCAATACTGATCAATTAGAATTTATTTTGATAGGTTTCTTCCTAGATCTGACTAGATTGTCATGGTTTTTAATCCATGATGAGGCTGATGAGGTGTTCTACTAGGAGTAGGAGAAAGGACAGCACTTTCTGTTTCTTGCTCACTTTTGCTCTCCTATCAACAGTTTTATTACTATCTTCGGTCTGCAATTATCTTACAGGAAGCTTTTGTAAGTCTCTTGTTGATTTTATGAAAGTTAAACTAAAACAAGTAACATAATTCACAAAAATGCTTTATTAGGCACTGATATATTACAATGTATACATACAATGATGCATTAATGCATAGTGCATACATAGAATGTTTGGTGTGTCATTGACAACCTTCTACATTGTAGACCTCCTTCCCTTGGTATATATCACAGAACATGCACCAAATTTGAGTGCTGGTCTCAAAGCATATTTTGGATACTTTACAAATTTATTTAAGTGAGCTTTGTTTTCTAAATATAGATTAATACTGGGCACACTCTCCTAAAACTCCTCACTTTGGAGACTAATGCTTTGACTTACATCTTTATAATATAGTTCTCCTTTCAGCATTGCAAGGTCATTGAAGACAGTTTATTAAGCTTTGCATCTGTTGTGCCTAGGGAAGAGCTTGACACACATCTTGCACTTAGTAAACTTCTTGGATGAATGAATGAAAAGTATTGACATTCCACCTTACTAAAAACATCTAAGGCTGGGCACGGTGGCTCATGCCGGTAATCACAGCACTTTGGGAGGCTGAGGCAGGAGGATCCCTTGAGGCCAGGAGTTCAAGACCAATCTGTGCAACATAGTGAGACTTTGTCACTACAAAAATATTTTTTAAATAATTAGCTAGGCATGATGGCATACACTTTTAGTTCCAGCTACTCAGGAGGCTGTTGTGGGAGGATCACTTGAGCCAGGAATTCAAGGCTGCAGTGAGACAAGATGGCACCACTGCACTTCACCCTAAGTGACAGAGTGAGACTGTCTCTCTCTCTATATATGTATATATATAAAATATGTGTAGAGATATATAAATTTCTCTCTATAGAAAAGTAACTTAATCTATCATTCAGATTAAGATTTTTATATAGATGTATTATATATAATATATAATAGATGTATTATATATATATATATATATATATACACACACACACATATGTACCTATATAAAGAGAGAGGGAGAGAGTTACAAGTAGTCATAGTTTCAATCAACCAGCAGCTTATTGAAAACAGTATATTTCAGTGAAAACGGCTGGGGAGTAATATTAATTTTTTTATTTTTATTTATCACTTCCTCATTGTACATCCTGTTATAGAAATGACAAGAGCCCTCAGCATGCTCTGGCCTGAACCACTTTATGTCGGTTTCCATGAATATTTCTTTGCAGGTTCTCACTCTAGACTACTGTCTGTCCAATTATTTTTCCTATCTACTGACTTGCTATTTGAGGAAAAAGTATTACAGTTTCACTCTATCATATTTTTATTTTCATTTATGTAAAGATAAAAACATCCTTATCTTAAGGTTGTTTGTAACATTTTGTAGAGATATGTCATTGTACATAAAATGAAGAACTTAGTATCATTATTTCAGGTGCTTACTAGGTTTACCATATGCCAGATTAGATATGAGCCAGATTTTAGGTCCTGCAGTTTCAGGAAGTGCTAATAATAATGGTAATAAATAATATTCGATGGCCATTTTCATGGTCATACTAAGAACTTTACATGCCATGGAATAGATCCTACGATTGTTTACACTTTCCATATGAAGAAACTGAGTCCCAGAAAGATTAAGTAGCTTGCCAAAGGTCACATAATTAAAATGTGGCAGAGGCTGCTTTCACAACCATGGCATCTGAATCTAGAATCTGTGATTTTAGGCGCTAAGTTTTCAACTCTCTTGAACTGCTATCCCCAATTACCTACCATGAATATCTGATGTACTAATCAAAACCCTATTGGTAACGTTACTAAGGACAAGCTTTTGTTCCACCAGATGGAGTCTTGTGACAATCTGAAGATGGTCACCTCATAGGAGTATTGAGTAAAGCTGACCCTCCACCAACATATTTACTAGCAAGACTAGGAAGTCTAGGAATTACTCCAATTAACAGTGGAAATGTAGCAATACTTCTTTTTTTTTTTTTTTTTTGAGATGGAGTGTCGCCCTGTCTCCCAGGCTGGAGTGCAGTGGTGTCATCTTGGTTCAGTGCAACCTCTGCCTCCCAGGTTCAGGCGATTCTCCTGCCTCAGCCTCCTGAGTAGCTGGGACTACAGGTGTGCACCACCACGCCCAGCTAATTTTTGTATTTTTAGTAGAAACGGGGCTTCACCATGTTGGCCAGGCTGGTCTCGAACTCCTGATCTCATGATCTGCCTGCCTCAGCCTCCCAAAGTGCTGGGATTACAGGCATGAGCCACTGCGCCCGGCCAGCAGTACTTTTAAATAACACATATACTAAGAATTATTTAATATATTTACTAAAATAAAACCAACATTTTGATGAGTGGCATTTTATTATTTTTCTGAACTTTCACTCTCCCAGTGGACACCAAACTCCAGAATACAGAAAACACAGCTCTTTTTTCTTTTTGTGTCTTTTGTTTCCTCACACAGCACCAAGCACAATACCTGCACATTCTCGAATGGTTAGCAATGGATTATACATTTTACTTTGTCTTCTTTAATTTTCTTAGTAGTCACATTAAAGGGAGCTACTGTGTTCCTAGAAAGTGCCTGACAATAGATGAATGCAGGGATGGATGAACAAAGGAACACTGTGAAACCCAGTTACCGCAAGCTTGTTGGACCAAGTTGAAGCTTTCTTATTCAGATTCGCCCTTTAAACTATTAAAATATGGTAAACATAAGGAAATCAATCATTTCTTAATCAGTATAAAATAAACACTCAGGGACTGCCTCTTCAGCTCTCAGCTAAGAATGACTGAGTAAAAACTGTGACTTCACTGGGAGATGTGAGAGAATTACAAGCCCAAGTCAGGAGGGCAGCTGCCTGCACAGTTTTACATTTCTCCAGACAGTGGACATCACGTATATTTATGGGCTTTCGGAGCAGAGTACTCTGTAATGCAATTTTAGCTCATCTAATTGAGAAAGAAAAATGAAGACTGTTTCCCAGGCATGTCTGTGTAAGCGTTCCCTGAATCCATGGTATTTGTATCAATAGAGGAAGTCATGGAGGTAAATTGAATTTATAGACTTGTGAAGAATAAATCAATTTCCCATGGAAAAACCCTAATACCAGAGCCTATACATAAGCTTCCTCCTTGGCTATTTTTATTTGTGCTTGCTTAGAGCATTGTAACAAAATAGGGAATTGTGGCAAGTCTAATGGAGTCATTTTGGGCAATGAGACCATTTGAAAGGTTTTGCTCTAATCATGGGAATTTTCTATTTCCACAATAGTGCCTTGGCTATACCGCAAGCTATAGAATTCCCATAATTTTTGCTTGGCTTTTGGATTTAAAAAAAAAATCACTCTTAGGAAATTAAAATGGAAGGGAAAAAAAGGAGAGGACTTTTAATAATTTGCCTTTCTAACATTAGTGCAAATTCCTTCTTATATTCCCCTAAAGGTTTACCTTTTTTTAGATTAAAAGATGTATTTGAAGATATAGACAAAGTGTGAAATTTTGGAAAGGCCTGTGTTGACCCAAATGACTAAAATGAACAAGATCTACATCTTAAACAAATAGATATCTTTCCATATTGCACCAGGCAGGGCTGCAGCTAGAAACAGATGGTACAGTCCGAAGAGCTGAGGGAAGATCGATAGCAGAACTGCTCACACATGTGTGGGCTCAGCTAAGCATGAGGCAGTGAAACATGCCAGAGCCAGCAACCCTCAACCTGTAAGGGGTGAGAGAATGGGGCTGCTACCAGAATAGAATGCAGCTATAGAATAGGGCCACGTAGACCAAGCCGGCTGGGGCCTGGCCAAGTCAGGATGGGGGAGGTGGGAGAAAATGCCCTTTCCTTCCTGCCTATCCATTTTCCAATCTCCTGCTGCCATCTCCCAGTGTCTAAACCCAATCAGAAGTTGGCATGTGAGAGGTGTTAACTTGTCCAAGATTGAAACCTGGGGGCTGATCACCAATTAAAAAAAAAAAAGAAGAAGAAAAAATAAAAGCTGGCGTCCTTCAACGTTCCTTGGGAAATTGGCCATCGCCCAGTTCTTAGGAACGTCAATCCTGTGCAACGTTCCTGTGCAACATTCCTCTGGGTCTTGGACCCCCAGAGATAGTAGTTCCCCCATACACTCACACACTCAACTGACAGAAAAAGGCCAAAGTCAAAGTGTTTGCCACACTCTACTGCAATTGTGCAGCCCCTCATCATAGCTAGAGAGGGATCTGTGCTTCTTGGATCATGCAACTTAAATTCCCTTAGCTGTCATTGGGCTCTCATAACAACTCCCGACTTTGCTAGACCTCTGTGTATTGCTCTAGAATTAAGTGAGAAATGAGGAACCCGAGTGGATTCCATCTCCTGACTGAGACTTCCCCAGTGAAAGCCTGAGATGAGTGCTCTCTAGTCATTCGCTTTTTTCGCACTCAGCAGGGAAGCCAGATGGATGCAATCTGAAGAGGTCAGACTCCATGCAGAGCAAGATGAAAAGTATGCGGATTTAGAGGCAGACTATGCCAGACCTCATGTTGGGTTTTGGGAGTCTCTCTCTCTCACTGTCTGTCTCTCATTTAAGTTGTATAATCCTGTCCACAGTTTATGCATTAGAACCTTAAGCTGTGAGAGACTGGGTTCTAGGCTCAAGCTCAGGAAGTGAGCATGCTAAGGCTGCCAACAGGGTCTCAGCAGTTGATGGGTCACAGCCAATCAGAACTCTGTCCAGGTCACATTTACTCCACTGTGACTGATTTCACTTTTACAGCAGCACTGACAGGGCTCAGGGAGATAGCTGTTGACAAAGTTGATTTCTGCCCATCTCTGTTAGGGATTGATCACTTTGTATTTCCCATCATCTTTATATTTAATGTATTTAATGTCTGGCAAATCCTCGGGATAGCAATACTAGCAATCACATTAATAGCTACCACTTAAGAATTTTCTATATGTGCACCATTTCTTACATTTATCTTCTATTCTCTCAACAAGCTTATTTGGCATTTTAAGTATTTTATAAAACAGTCTTAGAGAAGATAAGTAAGTCGCTTACATTCCCACAGATAGTAAGTGGCACAGCTCTCTCTAAACCTAGATTCAAACTCAGTCATTAAACTACACTTTAGCACACTAATTGCAGCATTATGAAATAGCGCAAACCTTAAGATAAATGACTCTTTTCTTGTATTCCTGGAAACCGTTAGGTGACCCTAGTGTCTGACCCACGGGCCAAAGTGGAAAAAAAAGTATCAGAGGTCATAAAATGTTTAAGCTGAACAAATCTTTAAAGACATGATAGCTAACCCCTTGTTTGAAAAATGGGTTTTAGTTTACTGACATCATACCTAGAACCTAGAACTCTGACCCCAAGGCTATCAAGCTAAGCTGGAACAGACCTTCAAGTCCCACAGATTAAAACAGTGAGGAGATGTGCAACACAGTGTCACTGGTGAGACTGCTGTCTACAGAGACTTTCACTATTTCTAAGAAAGAAAATCTGAACCGGTAAACACTGTTTTTCTCTGTTTCTGCCAATAACCAAACAAATTTAACTGCTAATTCCCCACCCAATTAATACAAATTAAGACCCCCTACCACTTCCTTTTTGACTGGCATCACAATAATAATTCAGGGGTATTAGAGTTCCTGTATAGAAACCTGAAACCTTGGCATAGACACCTAATCTCTGTGTGTCCATGTCTTCATTTATAATATGATGATGACAGTACCTTTCCTATTTCACCTCAAGGTTATTATGACGATAGAATGACGGAGCACAGAAACTCTAAGGATGCTAAATTATATGTCTCTGATCAAATAGCCCATATGTAGTGTGGATTTGCCCTGTGCCCAGCAGAATGTTAAGTCACGCAACAATAAGAATCCGAGTTGTTAAAGGCCTTTGAGGTCCTTGAGGAAAGAAAAAATATTGTGTTATAAAAATGTACGCTTAGTATAAACTGTCTTCTCATGCTAAATGAATTTGATTTATCATACAGCTCCAAACATGCTCCTATGTGGCTGCCCCAATATGTACACAGAGCAGCTGTGTGGAGGATCAGAGGTCTGTTGTAATATCTCATGGGACCGCTATGCCCTCTTATGCTTTTAAAGGGATGTCGCCATATTTCAAATTTGAATTTAATAGGCTGAATTATGGTCACATGTATGAAGATCAATGATTACCTAGAGGCATATCTAAGAATATGAGGACCATTGAAACAGACTGCATTTTGTAACTGTGAAACCCAATGAGTTTCAATACTGCGCAAGCTCTCAAGAGAGAAATTGCTCATCTAACTCTGCTGATTAAATTCTGCTGTTTACTTAAAGGTGGGCATAAAACCTTTGGGAAAGAAATAAATGATTTAAAAATCACTTTAGGTTCCAAACCATTAACGGAAGACTGATGAACACAACTATTCCCACTGAACGTATTTTTAACCAACTCATCATTTTAAAACTCATTTAGTCCTGATTTGTGTTAAAAAGTGGACACCATTGATTGTTGCTTTTTCAGACTACAGATCCACATACACCAGGGGAAATACCTAATTGAGTAGCATTCAAAGCTGGATCTTAATTAACTAGAAACTAGAGGCATGTTCATTTTCATTATATGTAAATAACAAAGTGACCCTCAAGCAAGAGGCATAAACCCCTCTGCATCTGAAAGTCCTCAATGAAGAATGAAGGGGAGGGGTTAGATGAGTCCTCAGTTCCCTTCCAACTCCGACATCCTTGGGTTCTGAGATTTTTCCAACACAGTGAATCCCAGTAGGCAGCAAAGATAACCAGGGCAATAGGATCTGTGGTGTTGCACATAGCAGTTAACCACTTACGGTGTATTCCCCTATACACAGGTCATTGAAAGATGCTACAATTGAATTGTGCTCTGTCCACATTTTTTTGTAGTTCTTTGCATTCACAGTAGCTACTCCGTCTCTCTTTGCTCCATTAGCTCAGCTGGGGTCTGAGAACCTACAGCCAATTCTCTCCAGCTGAGGCCTCTGAAGCACAGCTGCAAATAGATAGGTTGATGGAAAGTCTGGGTTCATTCCCAGAACTGCGTCTTGGGGTCTGCACCACTGCACAGGGATATGTCAAGGGTCAGTTGCCCAGCATGTGGCAAAGCCCTTTGTGCTCATGTGAGGAAAAGTATTCTTAGGGGAAAAATTTCTACTAGCATCTTATAGGCCAAAGCTCTAGCACAATTTTTCTTAGATTTTTTTTTTCAAATTCTAATGAAAATAATAAACCAAATTCTCTACCTATCCTTCCGTAATAGACAAATGTTGACTTCTCTAATTATCGCCTTGAGACTTTGTGTGGGCTTGTTTGTTATCAATGGAAAAGGTTCCATTCCCACTACAATGTGGAAAGAAGATACAATGAGACCTTCCAAAGGCATGCATGAGGAACAGGAAGCTGTGGCTCCTTGGCCCCTGTGAAGTCTTTGCTTTATGGCAGTTATGCAAACTATGGGCAGGGACTGAATTGTCCTCCGAAAACCAAGGGCACTGGGATGAGAGGGAGGGGGAGGGGAAACCCAATGGCATCAAGAGAGGGACACTTCATGGAACTGAAGGAAGACTCTTGTGGCTGAAACTCAGAGAACCAAAGAAAAGCAGGGCAGAACATCCAGGGACTTTAACTAGTTTGTTCTAAAACTAGGGTGATTACTTTGCCTCAGGTTCTCCCAGTTTTTTTTTTATTATTATACTTTAAGTTTTAGGGTACATGTGCACAACGTGCAGGTTTGTTACATATGTATACATGTGCCATGTTGGTGTGCTGCACCCATTAACTCCTCATTTAGCATTAGGTATATCTCCTAATGCTATCCCTCCCCCCTCCCCCCACCCCACAACAGTCCCAGGAGTGTGATGTTCCCCTTCCTGTGTCCATGTGTTCTCATTGTTCAATTCCCACCTATGAGTGAGAACATGCGGTGTTTGGTTTTTTGTCCTCGTGATAGTTTGCTGAGAATGATGGTTTCCAGCTTCATCCATGTCCCTACAAAGGACATGAACTCACCATTTTTATGGCTGCATAGTATTCCATGGTGTATATGTGCCATATTTTCTTAATCCAGTCTATTGTTGTTGGACATTTGGGTTGGTTCCAAGACTTTGCTATTGTGAATAGTGCCACAATAAACATACGTGTGCATGTGTCTTTATAGCAGCATGATTTATAATCCTTTGGGTATATACCGAGTAACGGGATGGCCAGGTCAAATGGTATTTTTAGTTCTAGATCCCTGAGGAATCACCACACTGACTTCCACAATGGTTGAACTAATTGACAGTCCCACCAACAGTGTAAAAGTGTTCCTATTTCTCCACATCCTCTCCAGCACCTGTTCTTTCCTGACTTTTTAATGATCGCCATTCTAACTGGTGTGAGATGGTATCTCATTGTCGTTTTGATTTGCATTTCTCTGATGGCCAGTGATGATGAGCATTTTTTCATGTGTTTTTTGGCTGCATAAATGTCTTCTTTTGAGAAGTGTCTGTTCATATCCTTTGCCCAATTTTTGATGGGGTTGTTTGTTTTTTTCTTGTAAATTTGTTTGAGTTCATTGTAGATTCTGGGTATTAGCCCTTTGTCAGATGAGTAGGTTGTGAAAATTTTCTCCCATTCTGTAGGTTGCCTGTTCACTCTGATGGTAGTTTCTTTTGCTGTGCAGAAGCTCTTTAGTTTAATTAGATCCCATTTATCAATTTTGGCTTTTGTTGCCATTGCTTTTGGTGTTTTAGACAGGTTCTCCCAGTTTTAGCACTGAGAATATCACATGCCAGGAAACCCTATATCTTAAGCAAATAGGGACAATTGTCTCAGGACTGTCCTGGTTCACTGAAAGGCCCATATCCTGGGTAATTCCTCAGTCCTGTGAAAAATGGAACAATTGATCACCATACCTCAGAGTAATGAAATGCCATCAATGGAAATGGCATGATCAGATTTGTTTTACATTTCTATTTTTTAAAAATTGCACAGCTGCTTGTAGAGAAAGGATCAAATAAGATTACAAACTGAGCCTGGGAGATGGACTAGAAAGCTATTGTAATTTTGATGTAGAATTGGATAAAAATAAAAAGAAAGTAAGAGTAGTTGATAAGAGAGGAGATAAGGGATACAGGGATTCATTAGCCATGAGAGTGACTCCCAAGTGTCTGCTTTGCACAATTGAGTAAGTAACTAGTCTTTTCAGTGAGACCAGAAAGGGGAAGTAGGTTTGGGAGGTAAAAAGTCAGGAGTTAAGCAGGACATGTGATATTGAAGGAGCTGTGGTTTTTAGATGTCATTACTAAGGAGTTGGAGCTTAGTGAAAGCTTACTATGTAGTCTAAATCTGAGAGGGAAAGTCTAGAAAGGAGATATATAACTGAAGTTATCAAACAGTAGTTGAAGCCTCTGGGAATTACCAATATAAACTAGGAAGAAATTGTGGAGTAAGACAGGGGTCTAAGCATTGAGCCTGGAGAAAATTCAGTAGTTGAAAATGTGGTAAAGGCAGATAATCTAAGAAAGAAGGCTGAGGCTATGTTGCCGGAGAGGTAGGAGGAAACCAGGAAGATGCTATCATGGAATCCAAGGCACAGTGGCTTTCAGGAAAAATAAGGAGGTCAATGTTAAGTGGTAAGGGAACCTCAAAACCACCACTGCAGGCTGCAGCTGTGCACAGCTGGGGATGTCTGTCAGCCACAGGAGTCTAGCTGCAGTTTCTTTTTCATAATATAGGACAAACCTAGGGTTTATCTGAATACAGCTTCTGAACTTGGGTGAAAGTACATCCCTGAGACATGGCCACACATACTTAAACAGCTCCTGAGGCTTCTTTTGCATTAAAAAATTCTCATACCAGGCTGGAAAAATTTCCATAGTGCCAAAAAATAGTCAGAGGTTTTTTATTGTTTAACTTTTATTGTAAGTTCAGGGGTGCAAGTGCAGGTTTGTTACATAGGTAAACTTGTGTCATGGGGGTTTGTTGTATAGATTATTTCATCACCCAGGTATTAAGCCTAGTAGCCATTCATTATTTTTCCTGATCCTCATCCTCCAATAGGTCCCAGTGTCTGTTGTTCCCCTCCATGTGTCCATGTGTTCTCGTCATTTAGCTCCTACTTATATGTGAAAATGTGGTATTTAGTTTTCTGTTCCTGTGTTAGTTTGCTAAGGATAATAACCTCCAGCACCATCCATGTCCCTGCAAAGGACATGATCTTGTTCTTTTTTGTGACTGCATAGTATTCCATGGTGTATATTTACCACCTTTTCTTTATCCAGTCTATCATTGATAGGCATTTATGTTTATCGCATGTCTTCACTATTGTGAATAGTGCTGCAATGAACATACACATGCCTGTGTCTTTATGGTAGAATGATTTATATTCCTTTGGGTATATACACAGTAATGAAATTGCTGGGTCCAAAGGTATTTCTGTCTTTTGGTCTTTGAGGAATTTCCACACTGCCTTCCACACTGGCTGAACTAATTTACACTCGCACCAATAGTGTATAAGTGTTCCTTTGTCTCCACAATCTTGTCAGCATCTGTTATTTTTTGACTTTTTAATATTAATAATAGCCATTGTGACTGGTGTTAGATGGTATCTTATTGTGGTTTTGATTTGTGTGTTTCTAATGATCAGTGATGTTCAGCTTTTTTCATATGATTGTTGGCTGTACATATATCTTCTTTCAAAAAGTGTCTGTTCATGTCCTTTGCCCACTTTTCTGTGGGGTTGTTTATTTTTTGCTTGTAAATGTTTTTAAGTTCCTTCCTTATGCCATATATAAAATTAACTCAAGATGGATTAAAGACTTAAATGTAAAACTCAGAACTATAAAAACCCTGGAAGACAACCAAGGCAATATCATTCAGGACATAGGCATGGGCAAAAATTTCATGATGAAGATGTCAACAGCAATTGCAACAAAAGCAAAAATTGACAAAAGGGATCTAATTAAACTAAAGAGCTGCTGCACTCCAGAAAAAAAAGAACAACAACAACAACAACAAAAACCTATCAACAGAGTAAACAGACAACCTACAGAATGGGAGAAAAAAATTGCAAACTATTCATCCAACAAAGGTCTAACGTCCAGCATTTATAAGTCAGAGTTTTAATGTCTGGAAAATAACTTCCATGCCCTCACTTCTTTTGAAATTATATGTGGTGAGGAGGGGGAGGTGATATGGTTTGGCTGTGTCCCCACCCAAATCTCATCTGGAATTGTCGCTCTCATAATTCCCACGTATCGTGGGAAGGACCTGGTGGGAGGTAATTAAATCATAGGGGCAGACCTTTCCCATGCTTTTTCTCATGATAGTGAATACATCTCATGAAATCTGATGGTTTTATACAGGGGAGTTCCCCTACACAAGCTCTATCTTGCCTGCCACCATGTAAGATGCCCCTTACTCCTCCACCATGACTGTGAGGCTTCCCCAGCCATGTGGAACTGTGAGTCAATGAAACCTCTTTCCTTTATAAGTTACCCAGTCTCAGGTATATGTTTATTAGCAGCATGAGAACAGACTAATACAGGAGGACTATATTCTTTGTCTCTAGCTGATGCCAGAAAAAATATATATAAACGCTCTCTGAACATGCACATAATTGTAAATGTGTGCCATCATTACTTTTAAGGTGTTAAATCCAACTAATGAGCAAACATTAAAATTTCCATGACATACCAGTCATCTCATAGTCAATTAATGAGGTGGTTTTTTGTCAATTATTAATTTACAAGTCAAATAAATTATCTATTTCATGGAATCCTTGCCCCTAGAGACTCAGAGGAATTCTTAAAAGGAATCTACACCAATGTCTTGTTTTGTAAATGAGGTATGTGGGAATCAAAGAGATGAAGCAACTTGTCAAAAGTCACTCAAACAAGATTTAAGATCAGGTCTGCAGACTCCTACTCTAGTGTTTTCTCCTACATCATTCAATGGAATTATTTCTCTTCTTGATATTTTGTGTTATATGGCAGTCAAAAATTTCCATTTCTTTCTGAAATGCTGTCACCGTTATTTCCCTGAGGGACAGCATTATATTTTAAGGCTCATTTAGTTTATAGTGTTTAGGCAAACCAGACGCATTTTCCCCAGATGGAATTTTCATGATGAGTCAGGGCTCCCCCAAGAGGCACCTCCTAAATGTCCCACAAAATGACTCTGTGCACTAAATCCTTGGGCCCTGATGATGAAGAACCCAATCCTTGTGGGCATAGGGGTTCTAAGTTCTTCATGGAGGCTCCTCACCTCCAGATCCTACACAGAAAACTAGAATCACGAGGGTTAGCCTCAAACCTAAAGACTGTCCTGTTTAGGCTATTGGAATCAATACTGCTTTATGAGCACATAAAAAGTCACCTGCTAATATGACTAGAGAAGTCCTTGGAGCCCTGTTTACAAGTATATTCTTGAGTAACCTTGGTTTCCTGAAGTTCCTACATTTAACACTACTCCTTAAGGGCCCTTAAAACAGCACTTGGATTTAACAGGGTTAGCATTAAACATGCACTTGTCAAATACAAAGAAAGGTACCTCACTGCTAGGTTCAGGAGAGACAACTCAGCTAATAAATACCCATACTTCATCATTGACTATCATATAGCAGAGACAGGAGCATTAAAGTCTTGAAAGCAGTCATGAATAATAAGCTCACAGAAGTGGGAGCTGCGGGACCTAAATTACAGTTTTCAAACACCAGGGCAACAACTGAGTAGACACCTACCTTTTTCAAGCATCTTCCAGTGCTCACATGTACTAAACCTGGCAAGATTCAATAGAAAAGAGGTAGGAAAAAAGGATGATGCTTTAGACTCTGCTGAACTACCAGAGGTGACATTGCCAGAAAGGCCTGGTGGTTGAGGAAGTGCCCATAGCAAAGGAGAGCGCTTACAGCGGGTTTCTACTGTGTTAGCACCCAAAAAGGAGGATAAGAATGGAGGGAAAACTGTCCAGAGGTGCTCAGGTACTGGTTTTCACTTATTACATTAAATCAACTCAACAAAGGGGCTCCAGACCCAGAGAGAACATGGAGACCCTGGGGGCTCATGCAGCCACTGGGATGCATGAACCACTAGAGGAGAGACCACGCACATGCTGAGGATGCATGAACCACTACAGAACACAGAATATAGACACTGAGGATGCACAAACCTCTAGGTATGAGACCGCGCAGGCACTGGGGAGGCAGGATTCCCTAGAGATGAGGCTGTGAAGGCACTGGGGAGGCAGGAATCCCTAGAGATTAGTCAGTCCAGGCACTGGAGAGGCATGATGCACCAAGGGTGAGACCAAGTAGGCACTGGGAAGGCGTGATTCCCCGGGGATGAGACGATAGAGACATTGGAGATTTCTCCTCTTGTGTTGATTGCCTCTCTCTTCAATTTATTTTGCTAATTTGCTCTTCTAGAATCTTAAAATAAGATTATTGATTTTAAACATTTTTATGCTTAATCGTTTAAAATATTTTTTCTGTATACACTATATTAGTTCATTACACAATTTTAATATGCTGAATTTTAACTTTCTCAGTTGAACGTATGTTAATATTTCTCTTGTGATTTCTTCTTTTGTCCACCCATTACATAGAAGTGTGTTGCTTTATTGTAATGTATTTGGGGACTTTCAGATATCTTTCTGTTCTTGAGTTATGTTTTAAAATGTCATGATCGGGGAAAAATTGTGTACGATATAATTTTTTTTTTAATTTACTGAGCTGTGTTTTACACAACACTTGGCGTTAAACCTGGCACCTGACTTATCCTAGTGAACTTCAAAGGAATATGTAGTGTTCTATCATTGTGGTGATAGGTAGTGTGGTCCAGATGCTCTGTCTTTACTAAATGTGTTTCCTGTTTTACTGATCACAGGAAATGGAGTGTGAAAATCTCCCACTATGTTTTTTAGTTTATCTCATTTTAGACTTGTAAACTTTTCATGTGTCTTTACACAGTGTTATTAGGTGCATACACATTTAGCATTTTTATCCTTTTTCTTTTTACTAATTGACCTTTTTATAATTGTGAAATATCTCTATCTCTCAAAATTTTCCTTGTCTTGAATTCTAATTTGCCTTGGAGAAATAGAATCAGTCCAACAGTTTTATGATTAGTGTTTGCATGTCATACTTTTCATCCCTTCACTTCTGATACATCTGCATCTTTTATTTAAGGTATATATTTTTAAACAGCATATAGTTGATTCTTTCTTTTCCAATCTGATAATCACTGCTTTTTAAATAGTGCATTTAGTCCATTTGCATTTGACATAATTTAAATCTGTTTTGTCTTATGTCTACCATTTTCCTTTTATTTGTTTCATATTTATGCATTCTTCATTCATTTTTCTGCCTTCTTTAGAATCATTTGGGTAGTTTTTAACATTCCATTTTATGTCTTCTATTGGATTTTTAGCTGTATTTCTTTGCTTTAAATTTTGAGAGATTGTCGTAAGTATTACAATACACATATTTAACCTATTACAGTTGACCTTTAATCACTATTATTTATGCCATGTAAAACAGAAATAGTATTAATTAAACACTTACAACAGTGTAGTATTTTACCACTCATGTTTTTTTTTCATTGCTGTCATATACCATACATCTACATATGTTATAAACTCCATGTTAGAAAACAGTGTTTTAGTGTTTGTTTTAAACAACCTTTTAAATATGTCATTTAAAGACATTAAGAAACATGTAAAATAACTATTTTCTACTTACCCTCCAATTTACTATTTCCAATACCCTTCAATTCTTTTTTCCATTTAATTTAATTTCCCTTTGGTAACTTGAACCTCTTCTATGGATTTTTGTAAGTGTTGGTCTCCCAGAGACAAATGATCTCAGCTTTTGTTTATCTGAATATGTCTTTATTTTGTCTTCATTTTTTGAAATGACTTTTTCTAGATATAGAATTCTATGTTAATAACTATTTTCCTCTTACAGCATTTTAAAGGCATCATTCAATTTTTTTGGACTGCATTTATAATGATGAAAGTTTAGCCGTTATTTTTATTGTTATTATCCTACATCAATGTGTTCTTTTTACTTCACTACTTTTTAAATTTTCTGTTTTTGCTTTTGAATCAATCTAAAATAATACAGTTTGCTTTGTGTTTATCCTACTTCTTAGATCTCTAGGTTAATATTTTTTTCAGTAAATTTAAAATTTTTCAGGCATTATCTTTTCAAATATCTTTTTCTACCCCAATTTTTCTCTCCTCTTTTTCTGGCACTCCAATCACATGTATGTTATACCACATGACATTGAACATATGTTTTTTGTTTTTAGTGATTTTTCTTTCTCTGTTTTAATTTCTATTACCCTATCCCAAAACCCACTAATCTTTCTTCTGTCCTATCTAAACTGCTGTTAAGCCTATCGGGTAAAATTTTCAATTCAACTATTGTGCTTTGTAGATGTAGAATTTTAATTTTTTAAATGTTAACTTGTATGCAGAGTCCCTATCTGTCATATTTTTTGTTTTATTTTTTCTTAAATCTTTGAACAAATTTATAATATCAATAGCTATTTTATAGTCCTTATCTGGTAAGTCCAGCATATCTTGGAATAGTCATTTTGATGGCTTTCTGAAAATTGTAGATATTATGCTGCAGGTTCTAATTTGTGGTAACTTCATTGGAAGGATGTTGAGTTTTGTTCTATGTATTTACTAGCTGATCAGCTTCAATCTATTAATTCTTACTTTTAAGCTTTCTTAAATGCTCTGGCCTTGCCTGAGTCTCAGCTGGATGCCTATGGTGTTTACTATGGCTTGTCACACCTCCAGTGTTTGCCAGAGTTGTGCAGCCCCAATCCCATGTAGCTTCTAGTAGCTATTTTCTGCAGAGCTTTAGGGAATCTGAGCATGTACAACTTAGTATTTGGCCACAGGCTCAAGATAACTTCTATACAGATTTCTGAAGCTCCTCTTCTGTCTCTACACTTCTTGTTTTATAACCTGTTCCTCACATTCCACCTGCCTCGGTGGCCCTGAACTTTATTCTGTGTTTTCTCCACCGAGCATTATCACTGCACTCTGGTCTCCATTTCCCTATGGTATGGTTTGGAAAGGATCTGCAGCAAGAAAGCCAAAAGGAATTTAAAGTTTTACTCATGAAGTTATTTTCTCCCAAGGGCCACAGTCCTATGCTCTGTTTAGTCCAATGCCTAAACACAGTTGCTCCATGCAGATTATCCTGCAGTTGTTCCTTCTGGGAAGAGAAGTCTAATACCCATTATTACTGCATAATGGCTCAAACCAGAAGTACAAGCATTACTTTTAATATGATGAAAATAAGCCTTTTATCAGTATGCATTAAATAAATTGAGAGATACCATGGTAGCACCATGCTATAATTGAAAACAAGCCTCTTTTGCATTGGAATTTAGTTTCTAGCTTCATGACTTCAATTAATCACTTAACCCATCTGAGCCTCAATGTTCTCAATTCTAAATTAAGAAGAGAATATTAGATTACATGTAAAATGTTTCCTAGTTGTAATATGTTTTCTTCTGTGGGACAAAAAAACATATGATTTCAAGTTTTTTTTTTTTTTATTTTTCATTTTGGTGGGTACATAGTAGGTGTATATATTTGTGGGATACATGAGATGTTTTGATAGAGGCATGCAATGTGAGGTAAGCACATCATGGAAAATGGGTTAGCCATCCCTTCAAGCGTTTATCGTTTGTGTTACAAGCCATTCAATTATACTTTTTAAGTTATTTAAAACCTGTATAATGAAGTTATTATTGACTACACTCACCATGCTGTTTGATCAAATAGCATGTTTTATTCGTTCTTTCTATTTTTTGTACCTATTAAGCATGTCCCCATCCCCTTCCAATGCCCCACTACCCTTCCCAACCTCTGGTAACCACCCTTCTATGCTCCATCTCCATACCTTCAATTGTTCTTATTTTTAGATCCAAACAAGTGAGAACATGTGATGTTTCTCTTTCTGTGCCTGGCTTATTTGGCTTAATATGATGACATCTAGTTCTATCCATGTTGCTGCAAATGACAGGACTTCATTCTTTTTATGGCTGAATAATACTCCATTGTTTTTTTACATACCATTTTTTTAAATCTATTCATCTGTTGACGGACACTTAGGTTGCTTCCAAATCTTAGCTATTGTGAACAGTGCTGCAACAAACATAGGCGTGCAGATATCTCTTCAATATACTGATTTTCTTTTTTGAGGTTGATATGGTTTGGCTGTATCCCACCCAAATCTCAACTTGAATTGTATCTCCCAGAATTCCCATGTGTTATGGGAGGAACCCAGGGGGAGGTAATTGAATCACAGGGGCCGGTCTTTCCCATGCTATTCTCATGATAGTGAATAAGTCTCATGAGATCTGATGGGTTTATCAGGGGTTTCTGCTTTTGCTTCTCCTCATTTTCTCTTGCCTCCACCATGTAAGAAGTGCCTTTCACCTCCCACCATGATTCTGAGGCCTCCCCAGTCATGTGGAACTGTAAGTCCATTTAAACCACATTTTCTTCCCAGTCTCAGGTGTGTCTTTACCAGCAGTATGAAAACAAACTAATACAGTAAATTGGTACCAGTAGAGTGGAGTGTTGCTGAAAAGATAGCCAAAAGAGTGGAAGCAACTTTGGAACTGGGTAATAGGCAGAGATTGGAACAATTTGGAGGACTCAGAAGAAGATAGGAAAATGTGGGTAAGTTTGAAACTTCCTAGTAACTTGTTGAATGGCTTTGCCCAAAATGCTGATAGCGATATGGACAATAAAATCCAGGCTGAGGGGGTCTCAGATAGAGATGAGGTACTTGTTGGGACCTGGAGCAAAGGTGACCCTTGTTATGTTTTAGCACAGAGACTGGCAGCATTTTGCCCCTGCCTTAAAGATTTTGTGGAAGACAGAACTTGAGAGAGATGATTTAGGGTATTTGGCAGAAGAAATTTCTAAACAGCAAAGCATGTAAGAGGTGACTTGGGTGTTGTTAAAGGCATTCAGTTTTATAAGAGAAGCGGAGCATAAAAGTTAGGAAAATTTGCAGCCTGACTATGTGATAGAAAAGAAAAACTCATTTTCTAGGGAGAAATTCAAGCTGGTTGCAGAAATTTGCATAAGTAGCAAGAAGCCTAA
This sequence comes from Homo sapiens, assembly GCF_000001405.40. Taxonomy (NCBI): domain Eukaryota; kingdom Metazoa; phylum Chordata; class Mammalia; order Primates; family Hominidae; genus Homo; species Homo sapiens. The sequence continues at coordinate 108,088,833 of NC_000002.12, forward strand.
TGTTAATCCCAAGACCATGGGGAGAATGTCTCCAGGCCATGTCAGAGACCTTCACAGCAACCCCTCCCATCACAGGCCTTAAGGCCCAGGAGGAAAAAGTGGTTTCATGGGCTGAGCCCAGGGTCCCCATGCTTGTGTGTAGCCTAGGGACTTGGTGCCCTATGTCCTAGCCTCTCCAGCCATGGCTGAAAGGGGTCAACATACAGCTCAGCCTGTGGCTTCAGAGGGTGGAAACTCCAAGCCTTGGCAGCTTCCACGTGATGTTGAGCCTGTGGATGCACAGAAGTCAAGAACTGAGGTTTGGGAGCCTCCACCTAGATTTCAAAAGATGTATGGAAACACGTGAATACCTAGGTAAAAGTTTGCTGTAGGGGCGGGACCCTCATGGATAGCCTCTGCTAGGGCAGTGTAGAAGGGAAATATGAGTTGGCACTCCCACACACAGTCCTTCCTGGGGCACTGCCTAGTGGACCTGTGAGAAGAAGGCCACCATCCTCTAGACCCCAGAATGGTAGATCCACCAAGAGCTTGCACCATGCACCTGGAAAAGCCACAGTCACTCAATGCCAGCCCATGAAAGCAGCCAGGAGAGAAGCTGTACCCTGCAAAGCCACACATGTGGAGCTGCCCAAGACCATGGAAACCCACCTCTTGTATCAGCATGACCTAGATGTGAGACCAGGAGTCAAAGGAGATCATTTTGGAGCTTTAAATTTTTACTGCTCCACTGGAGTTTGGACTTGCATGGGCCCTGTAGCCCCTTTGTTTTGGCCAATTTCTCCCATTTGGAATGGCTGTATTTACACAATACCTATACCCCCAGTGTATCTAGGAAGTCACTAGCTTGCTTTTGATTTTATAAGCTCATAGGTGGAAGAAATTTGCCTTGTCTCAGATGAGACTTTGGATTGTGGACTTTTGGGTTAATGCTCAAATGAGTTAAAACTTTGGGCGGCTGTTGGGAATGCATGATTTGTTTTGAAATGTAAGGACATGAGATTTGTAGGGGCCACGGGTGGAATGACATGATTTGGCTGTGTCCCCACCCAAATCTCAACTTGAATTGTATTTCTCAGAATTCCCACATATTGTGGGAGGAACCCAGGGGGAGGTAATTGCATCATGGAGCCTGGGCTTTCCAGTGCTATTCCTATGATAGTGAGTAAGTCTCATGAGATCTGATGGGTTTATCAGGGGTTTCTACTTTTGCTTCTCATTTTCTCTTGCCTGCACCATGTAAGAAGTGCCTTTCATCTCCTGCCATGATTCTGAGGCCTCCCCGGCCACGTGGAGCTGTAACTCAAATTAAACCTTTTTTTCTTCCCAGTCTCAGGTGTGTCTTTATCAACAGCATGAAAATGGACAAATACAGGGGTATATACCCAGTAGTGGAATTACTGGATAATATGGTAGCTCTATTTTAGTTTTTGAGGAACCTCCAAACTGTACTCCATAGTACTTGTACTAATTTGCATTCGCATTAGCAGTGAATGAGGGTTCCCTTTTCTTCACATCCTCACCAGCATTTATTATTGTCTGTCTTTTGTATATAAGCCATTTTAACTGGAGTGACATGATATTCCATTGTGGTTTTCATTTGTATTTCTCTGATGATCAATGATGTTGAATATGTGTTTATATGCCTGTTTGCCATGTGTATGTCTTCTTTTGAGAAAGGTATAGTCAAATCCTTTGCCCATTTTTTGATAAGATTATCAGCTTTTTAAATATAGAGTTGTTTGAATTCCTTATATATTCAGGTTATGAATCCCTTGTTGAAGTAGTTTGCAAATACTTTCTCCCATTCTGTGGATTGTCTGTTTACATTGTTGATTGTTTCCTTTGCTCTGTAGAAGCTTTTTAACTTAATGTGATCCCATTTGTCCATTTTTGCTTTGGTTGCCTGTACTTGTGGGGTATTACTCAAGAAATTTTTGCCCAGACCAATGTGTTGGAGATTTTCCCCAACGTTTTCTTTTAGTAATTTCATGGGTTGAGATCTTAGATTTAAGTCTTCAATCAATTTGATTTGATTATTGTACATCATGAGAGATAGGGGTTTAGTTTCATTCTTCTGCATATGGATATCCAGTTTTCCCTGAGCCATTTATTGAAGAGATTGTCTTTTCCCCAGTGTACGTTCTTGACACATTTGTTGAAAATGAATTCATTATAAGTATGTGGATTTGTTTCTGGGTTCTATATTCTGTTCCATTGGTCTATATGTCTGATTTTATGCCAGTACCATGATATTTTGGTGAGTATAGCTCTGTAGTATAATTTGAAATCAGGTAATGTGATTCCTCTAGCTTTGTTCTGTTTCTTTAGGATGGCTTTGGCTATCCCTGGTCTTTTGTGGTTCCATATAAATTTTATGATTGTTTTTTCTATTTCTGTGAAGAATGTTATTGGTATTTTGATAGGGACTATATTGAATCTGTAGATCACTTTGGGTAGTGTGGACATCTTAACAATATTGACTCTTCTAATCAATGAACACAACATTTTTTCCTCTTTTTGGTGTCCTCTTCAATTTTTTTCATTGATGTATTATAGTTTTTGTTATTGAGATTTTTCACTTCTTTGGTTAATTCTTAGGTATTTAATTTTTTTGTGGCTATTGTAAATAGGATTGCTTTTTAATTTCTTTTTAGATTGTTCACTGTTGTCATATAAAAATGTTACTGATTTTCAAATGTTGATTTTATATCCTTCATCTTTACTGAATTTATCATTTCTAATAGTTTTTTGGTGAAGTCTTTAGGTTTTGCCAAATATAATATCATATCATCTGCAAACAAGGATAACTTTACTTCTTCCATTCCAGTTTGGATGCCCTTTACTTCTCTCTCTTATCTGATCACTCTATCTAGGATTTCCCAGTCCTATGTTGAATAACAGCAATAACACTGAGCAACTTTGTGGTGTTTCAGACTTTAGAGGAAAGGCTTTCTGTGTTTTCTCCTTCAGTATGATACTAGCTCTGGGTCTGTCATATATGGCTTATATTAAGATGTGTTTCTTCTATCCCCAGATTTTTGAGGATTTCTATCATGAAGAATGTTAAATTTTGTCAGTTACTTTTTCAGCATCAATTGAAAGGACCATATGTATTTTGTCCTTCATTTTATTGATATGACATATCACATTGATTAATTTGCATATGTTGAACCATCCTTGCATCCCAGGGATAAATCCCACTTGGTCACGTTGGATGATCTTTTTAATATATTATTGAATTCTGTTTGCTAGTATTTTGTTGAGGATTTTTGCATCAATATTCATCAAAGATATTGGCCTCTGGCTTTCTTTTATTGATGTTTGTCTGGTTTTAGTTTCAGAGTAATATTGGCCTTGTAGAATGAATTTGGAAGTACCCTCTCCTCTATTTTTTGGAATAGTTTGAGTAGGATTGGTATTACTTCTTCTTTAAATGTTGGGTAAGATTCAGCAGCAAAGCCATTCAGGTTCCAGTGATTTATTACTGGGAGACTTTATTACAGCTTCAATTTCATTACTTGTTATTGGTTTGTTCAGGTTTTGGATTTTTTTCCTGGTTCAATCTTCTGGGTTATATGTGTCTAGGAATTCGTCCATTTCTTCTAGATTTCCCAATGTATTGGCATATAGTTGCTCAAATTAACCACTAATGATCCTTTGAATTTCTATGGTATCAGTTTTAATATCTCCTTTTTCATTTCTGTTTTTATTTATTTGCTTATTCTCTCTTTTTAAATTAGTTAGTCTGTCTAAAGATTTGCCAATTTTGTTTACCTTGTCAAAAAACAACTTTTTGTTTTATTGATGTTTTGTATTATTTCCTTCATTTCAAATACGTTTATATCTGCTCTGATATTTATTACTTCTTTTCTTCTACTGATTTTGGGTTTGGCTTGCTCTTGCTTTTATAAGATGCTGGGAAGGCTTTTCAGGTATTTTAAAAGACTTTTCAGATATTCAAAAGGGTATTGTAATCTAAGCTGAATGTGTTTTAGGAAGCACCCTAAGCCCAGTAATGCTGTGGTTCTTGCAGACTCATAGAGGTACCACCTTGATAGTCTTGAACAAGATCTGGGAGAATTATCTGGATTACTAGATAGATACTCTTGTGCCCTTCCCCCCTTACTTTCTTCCAAACAAACAGAGTCTCTCTCTGTCTTCTGGGACACCTCAAGCTAGGGGTAGAGTGACACAAGCATGCCTGTGGCTACCACCACTATAATTGCACTGCGTCAGGCCTGAAGTCAGCACAGCACTGAGTCTTGCCCAAGACCTGCTGTAATCACTCCCTGGCTATTGCCTATGTTTGCTTATGGCCCTAGGGGTCTTTGCAAGTGGCAAAAACAGCCAGGCCTGTGTCCTTTTCTTCAGGGCAGTGGATTCCCCCAGGCCCCAGGTGTGTCCAGAAGTACAATCTGGGAGTCAAGGGCTAGAGTCAAAAATCTTAGAAATCTACCTGTTGTTTTATTGTACTGTTGCTGAGCTAACACTCAAACCACAAGATGCAGTCCTTTCCACTCTTCCTTCCCCTTTCCAAAAGCAAAGGAGCCTCACCCTTTGGACACTGACACCACAGACCACAAGGAGTTCTGCCAGACTCCTGCCAATGTTCCCTTAAGGCCCAAGGGCTCTTAAGTCAGCTTGTAGTGAATGATGCCTGGCCTAGGACTCACCCTTCAGGGCAGTGGGCTCTCCTCTGTCCCGGGGCAAATCCAGAAATGCCATCCAAGAGTCAGGTCCTGAAATTGGGGACCTCGAGAGCCCATTTAGTGCTCTACCTCCCTGTGGCTGTGCTGGTACCTGAAGCAAGCAAGTCTCAGAGGCTCATCCGAGGCCCCAGATGTAGTACCTGGGTATTGCTGCTGGTTGTTCAGGGCCCTAGGGCTCTTCAGTTAGCAGGTTATGAATGCTGCCAGGACTGGATTCTTCCCTTCAAGGCAGCAGGATCTCTTCTGACTCATGATGTGTCTAGAAATGTTGTCTGGGAGCTGGGGCCTAGAACAAGGGTCTCACAACTCTGACTGGTGCCCTATCCTGCTGTGGCTGAGCAGGTATCCAAGATGCAAGACAAAGTCTTCCCCACTCTTTCCTCTCCTCTTCTCAGGCAGAAGGAAGGGGTCTTTTTTGGAGCTGTGAGTTGTGTATCCTGCAGTTAGAAGAGGCGTAATGCCAGCAATCCCTTAGCTGCCCCACCTTGTGTCTCAGTAGGTCATGTGTCCCCTGCTCCCACAAGTCCACTGTTTCTGGGCCCAGGTCAGCATTAGGAGTTGCCTAATAGTTGCAATCCTTGTGGTCTAGACTGCCTTTCAAGTTTACTTAGAAACCCAGAGTACTTTGGCCCTTGGTGGTGAGATTTGCAGGAACTCAAATTTGGACCATTGGGATGGGCAATACCCTCTCTGGCTAAAGCTGGTTTAATTGTTCCCTCTATGGGCGGACATCAGCTGAGTTTGGTTTGGTTTTCTTTTCTGTTGAAAGAAGACAGCACTGAGTTCAGTGCCTCACAAATGCTGTTCTCTTCCTCTCCCAGTGCCCAGAGATGCTCTCTGCACCATGCTGTCACTGTTGTGGAGTGGGGAAGGGGTGGCATTGATGATTCGGGACTGTTTTTTCCATATCTTCAGTGCCTCTTTCAGTGATACAGAGTTAAAACAGGGTACTATGAGTGTTCACTTGATGTTTTGTTCTTATGAAGGTGTTGTTTTTCTGTGTAGATAGTTGTTAAATTGGTGTCCTTGCAGGTAGGACAATCAGTGCATCCTTTTATTCTGCTACGTTGCTCTACCTCCCCTGACATTTTCAGTTGTAAGGAAGTGCATAACAGTATCCCTTTTTTATGAGTTCTGATAATAGTCCATAAATGCTCTGATAGGAGAGGTAAAAAACAAACTGAGCACTTAATGTACCACATATTGTGTTTTATAAGCTGTGTCTAATGCTTAGTACATTACAGGCATTTAAAATTTCCATAAGAATAAATGTAATATATCATATAGCTCAATGAACAATGCCGTCAAAAATTATTCATTCCAAATGAAACAGATTTTGTGTTTTATATTAATTCTAAGAATTAGTTGAATAGTAACTGCTAATTTACTCATTTATTTTTCTTTTTTTGTTGAAGATTATTCTGGTTTAATGCCCAGACTTAAGTAAAATTGGAATAGCTAGTATAATTTGAAGACTCAAGAATCTTACCCTTTTTCTTCATTTATTTGTTTATTCCACATGTACCCATTGAGAACATATGAGGTGCTAAGCAGTATCCTAGCTTCTGGAGACAAAGTAATTAGCAAAATAGACTTGATTCCTGCTGTCATAGTTTAAAGTTGAGTGGTGGAGAAAAAGGATCATTGAATTGTGTATGAAGTCTTAAGTGAGATACTCTGTGGAAGAGAAGAATGTGGTTCTATACGAAGGTATAATTTTAGCTAGAAGGGAAAAAAACACCAAAATAACACAACAGGAAGAAGAAGCCAATAGAAGCTTATCGTGAGAAGAAGTTGGGCAAAACAAATGTCTAAAAGAAAGCATGGCAAAACATAGCGAGTGAAGGGAGCCAGCTGCAAGATAAAGCTAGGATAGTTAGGGGTCAAGTTATTTGACTTTTGTAGGCCATAGTAAGATATGTCTTTTCTAAAAATTGTGGGACACATGGAACATTCTCCAGCTTAGACCATAAGTTAGACCAAAAAACAAGTCTCAGCACATTAAAACATTTGAAATCATCCAAAGCATATTTCTCAGCAACAATGAAATGAAAATTGAAACCAATAACAGAAGGAAAATAGAAAAATGTACACATATGTGGAAATTTAACAACACTCTCTTAACCAATGAGTCAAA